>NC_000001.11:181366405-181669435 GCF_000001405.40 Homo sapiens | reverse complement strand
GTGGAAGTGGCTGTGGGGGTTGGTTATTTCTAGCCAAAGAAGTGATTACCTGGGAAATCCGGGAACAGTGAGCCGTGTGGCCAGGCTAAGGCAGAGGAATCGTTGAATTGAGGCTAGAAAAGTAGGTTGCAGCAAAGCTTTGAGAGGTCTTGCAAAACAAAGAACATTAATTTGGACCTTTTCTTTAATGAATTGATGGTGAGTGAAGCTAGCAGTTGAGTTTTTGTGATTAATCTATTTGTTTTAAAGTCTTTAACTGCTAAAATTAAAAGTTATTAACTCTGTATTCAACTTTTCTACCCAACCAATGTTAGTTTTGTTGTTTATTTTTTTCCTGAGAACTTACTGGTCCATAATTTTAAAAACATGATTTAATAATTATTGGTCTACCTTATTATAATTTTTTTTGAGACAGGGTCTCACTTTGTTGCCCAGGCTGGAATGTAGTGGCACAAACACAGCTCACTGCAGCCTCGACCTCCTGGGTTCAAGTGATCCTCCTGCTTCAGCCTCCTGAATAGCTGGGACTACAGGCACATGCCACCACACCCAGCTAATTTTTTTTTTTAAAAGAGACTGAGTCTCGCGTTGTTGCCCAGGCTAGTCTCAAACTCCTGGGCTCAAGCAATCCTCCTGCCTCAACCTCTCAAAGTGCTGGGATTACAGGCATGAGTCACCATGCCCAGCCTGGGTCTACATTATTGTCTTATAACTTCGAGATAAATTTGTTAATTAATAAGATACTTATTAATGTTCATTGTATATTATTTAATTTTCTAAGCCCACAGGTAAGAATATGGAAAAACCAGAAGTCTCATGCATTGCTAGCAAGAATGTAAAATGGAACAGCCACTCTGGAAGACAGGTAGGCAGTTTCTTATAAAACTAAACATGCACTTACCATATGGCCCAGCGACTGCACTCTTGAGCATTTTTTCCCAGAGAAAGGAAAATTTATGTTCACACAAAAACCTGTACACAAATGTTCTTCATAGCAGCCTTACTTGTAGTAACCCAAACTGAAAAAAATTCACATGTCCTCCAAGGAGTGCATGGAAACAAACCGTGGTATATCCATACCATGGAATACTATTCAGAAATAAAAAGGAATGAACAACTGATACATGGAAAACCTGGATAGACTTCAAGGCAATTATGCTAAGTGAAGAAAGGTCAATTTCAAAAAGTTTTCTATCCTATGATTCCATTTATTTAACATTCTTGAAATGACAAAATTAGAAGAATGTGTTGGCAAGGGTAGAGGATAGTAGATGTGGCTATAAAGGGTAGCACAAGGGGTCTTATGGTGATAGGACAGTTCTGTATCTTGATTGTGGCAGTGGTTATGCAAATTTACACGTGATAAAATTACATGGAACTACACACACAAATGAGTGTATGTGAAACTGGTGAAATCTGAAGCTCTATGGATTGCACCAGTGTCAATTTTCTGGTTTTGGTATTGTGCTACAGTTATGCAAGATGTTACCACTGGGGGAAACTGGGAGAAGAATACATAGGACCTCCCTGTAATTTTTTACAACTTCCTGTTGATTCTATAATTATTTCAAAAAAAAAGTTAAAAAAAAAAAAGACAGACACGTCCTCCACATTGCCAGCTTCAACAGCTATTTTTTAGTCAACTGTGTATTGGATCTCTATGACTCATTCAGCACTTGGGGTCTTCTCATTCCTTTTTGAAACCCTGTACTTCTTCATCCTCTATGATGTGATGTTTCTGGTATGTCTTTTTGAAAATCTTAATATTCTCTTAAATGGTGTTTCTAGAAACCTCTATCTGTGGCTGTTTTTTCTTCTCTACCTCCCCTCCATGGATAACCTTATGTATTTGTACCATTTTCTCTATTGTGTTCTGATAGTGTATCATATCTTTCCTCCCTCTTTTCTTAAGACACAGATATTGGATGATCCTATCTACTTGTCCAGGCCTCTTGAACTTCAAACTTTCTAAGTCTAAAATTAAACAAACCTTTCTCTCAGAATAAGAGCTTTTTTCTTCTTCTATTATTCATGTCAGTAAATGGAACCAAAGTTCTCCAAAACATTTGCAACTGAATCTTGGGATCATATACTAGGTGATCTTCCCTACTGCTTACAGCCAGTCATTCATCATCTCCTGACTATTTTACCACTTAAAATCTTCAGCTGGTTTTCACCTTACATTTCAGCCATCAGTGCTTGAAATCCTCATTTTCTGTCTGGAACTAGAGCTTTATTACAATCTTATTACTTATCAATCATCTTTTTATCACCTTCCTGAATCCTCTATATAATCAATCTAAAATTTAAAACTAACTCATTTGTTTTTGGAAGTTATTAATAAATTATAGTGGTCAGTGTATTTTTATTTTTACAAATTCAAACATATCAATTATTTCCTTTATGGCTTATTGATTTGCATAATGCTTAGAAAGGTCTTCTCCCTTGAAGTTTTTAAATTGTCTGTGTTTTCTTTGAATCCTTTTATGATTTAATTTTTAAAATGCATGTACTAGCTCCACCTGCAATTTATTTTGATATAAGATATAAGATGGGGCTCCAACTCAATTTTTGTCCTGCCAAGTAACTAGCCAGTCACACAATTCACTGAATGATTTGTTTTCAATGATTTGAAATGACACTTTACACTTATATATACTGTAAATTCATATATATACACACACATACACAATATATGTCGTGTGTGTGTGTGTATATATATATATATTTGGTTCCTGTATTCCTATATTATATCACATCATTTCAATTATTGTAGCTTTAGAATATATTTTACTCCCTATATAAAAAGTTCCTGTTCCTCATTGTTCTTTAAGGAAATGTCTTGGCTACTCTTATACATTTACATTTTCAGATAAATTTTAATATAATTTAGTAAAAACATTGTTTACATTTATCAATATCACATTAAAGACTAAAGTGGAGAAAGCAGACATCTTTGTAATTTGAAGTATTCCTTTTCAAGAGCAGGGTTTGTCTTTTCATTTACCTAAATCAGAATATATGTCCTTAGACTCTCCCCATACTGGAAAGCAACTTTTATGAGGGCAGGGATTTTTGTTTTGTTCCCTGCTGTATTCCTAACATCTAGAATACTGCCTGGCACACAGAAGCTCAACATCTATTGAAAACTGGTTAAGTGAATACATAAGTGATTCTATCGTTTAGGCAATGGGATCCCATTATAAATAACTAAGGTATACAAATTCTATAATTAAATGTCTGGTTTGTAAAGACTGTTTTCTCATGAATAGCAGGCTGCATTACAGCAGGGAGAACATTTAAAAAGACAATTGCTATAGTCCAGGACATAGTTTTATGAAACTTAATCAGTAGGTCTTGATGAGCAATTAGGCCCAGAGAATAAGTGAGGAGAAGATACCAGGATTAACTCAGGTTTCTATCTTGGATAACAAATGTGATAAAAGAATCACAGAAAGAGTAAAAGAAAACCAGAGAATATAGAAAGAATAGAGAGTGTGTTTAGTGATGAGGAAAAGAAGTTAAAGAATGAATTCTGTTTGGGGCATCCTAAGCTTAAGACACCTAAGGGATATCTAAGTGAATATGTACACTTCGGAGCTTAGTAGCAGACTGGAACATTAAATCCAGGTCTGTCTCTTAGCAAAGCCATCTTTTTAAATTTTTTTCATTTGTTTTTATTTTTTAATTGGCACATTGTAATTGTACATATTTATGGGGTACAATCTGATGTTTCGATACATAAATATGTTGTTTAATGATTAAATCAGGGTATTTAGCATATCCATCACTTCATGCATGTATCATTTCTTTGTGGTGAGAACAATTAAAAGCCTCTCTTCAAGCTACTTTGTAATATATAATGCCTTACTGTTAACCATCATCACCTACTGTGCAATAGAACACCAGAACTTATTTCACCTATCTAAAAAGCCATCTTTTTAAACATTACTTCATGTTATATTTTACTAAGTAGAAGTTATCTCCTCCTCTAAAAAACAAATAAAACTAGATTTTAAAATGGAACATTCTTGAAATAAGTTTAAATGTAGTCACTCTGCAAGGCAAATTCAGAGAATGGCACAATCATCTACTGGGTTCCTTAAGTACTAAATGAAGGGACAAATCCTGGAGTATATGAATTGCAGTTTGCACATGAATAGAAAACATCATATACATGTGTGAAAATGTGTGTGTATGTATGCATATATGGGTGTATATATACACAGATATGTACATATGTATAGATGTATATGTGTGTGTGTGTGTGTGTGTGTGTATAGGTATATAGGTATACAGGTATCAGAGTGTTAGAAGATTTACCTATACTAAGTTAGAGCATGGCTGAGGAGCTACAAGGATGTTTCAGTTACCTAAGAACTTGGTCAACCAGAAATTTCATGTGTGAAAACTTGAACAGAGAATGGAGGCATTTTTATATTTGGTTATTGTCTTCATATCCAAAAAGGCACCTAATGAAGTCCCAATCTAATTGTCAACAGTTCGCTTTAAAAAGGATAAATGCTTGTAAAACAGTACCTTGTTTTGATTATTTATGTTGATAGTTCTACTTACTGATTTCTCTATTCCTTTTCCCTCAACACCTTCACCCTGCCTCTCACATGCAACCTTTCTGGATAGGATTCTTGGCTTCTCCCAGCTATGACTTCACCTCTCCACCCCCGCCATACCTCTGCAGCCAAGGATGCTCTCACCTTGGCTGAGCCCCCAGAACCACCTATCCTGACACTGCCTCTGCTTCTCAAGGTAGATAACAGCAAGAGACACTAGAGATTAATTTTTGAAAGGAGACAGAATTTTAATTAATACAAGAAAATCAGAGCCTTTTTCCCCCCAAAAGCAGCTGCATTACATTTCACATTCACATTTCACAGCCCATAGCGTTATCAATACAGGGCAATTTCAGGGTGTTGGTGCTGATTGTACTTCTTCCTAATAATAAAGTCCTAAAATGGGGGTAATATTACATAAAATATAGATTACATGTGCAACAGAAAAATATAAGCTCCATGGAGGCAGGGATTTTTGAATCCCCAGCATCTAGAGAACAGTGTTTGGCACTATCTGTTGAATTAATCAACTCAAAAGAGCACTTTGTTGTTGTGCTGGGGCATGTGTGTAAATCACATCTCTGTTGTGAGTAGAAGCTGAGCAGCAAAGGTCCCATTGCAAATGCCCACTCCATAGGGGAAGCACTCCTTTGTGGAACAAGAGCACTGGACTGGGAGTCCTAAAATCACACTTACATTTGTCATTTAGGGCATGTCACTTGCCCACTTCGAGCTGCAATCTCCTTGTTTGTAAAATACTAATATACTTCTTAGGATTATTGTGGGAATCAAACACATGAAATGCTTTATAAACCAAATGCTCTAAAATAAAAAAGAATAACTGTTTTGTCTTTTTCTGCTTCCAACAGCCTTATTTGCCCACAATTGCCTATAGGATAACAGCTTTAACAATCCTTTAGAAGTGATTATTCTGAAAACATGCACCACATATGATATAAAAGGTTAATATCCTTACTATGCAAATAATCTAAGTTCATATGAAAAAGATAAATATGCCAATTTATGGGAAAATGGGCAAATGGTATAAGGAATTAACTCAAAGAAAAAAATATTAGCAATGGCCAAGTGTAAAAATGTCCAACCTATCATAATTACTTGTCTGTAATGCTTGTAAGCTGGGATCAACATTCCAGAAAGCAAACAGCTTCTCTGCAGGTTTTTCGAGGATCTCCAGTACCAGTGATTATGCTCCTGACTTTTAAGATGCCAGCCTCTTCCTCAGTTCTCTGCAATACTATCCTCCAGGAGGTCATAGGGGGGCATGGCATTCCCTAAGAGGGTCCTGATGTTACTCGGTTTCCCTTCAATTCATCAATCATTTCTTGAACACAAAAACAAGGCACTAAGATATCAGGAGCGATCCAAATACATGGAAAGACATCCTCAGCAGAAGAAACAAAACTTAATGGGTGACAGAGACATCTGTGACTCCAAAGCACAGGAAGATAGTGCATCCAGGAGAAGGGAGGAGAGCTCTGCCTCTCATTAGACTGTGCACCCTTAGGCAAGACTCTTAGCCACTCTCAGTCTCCATTTCCTCAATTATAAAATGGGGTTAACAGCAGTACCTGCCTCATAAGGCTGTTACAAAAATTAATTGAAATAATGTATATAAAGCATTTACCATGGTATCGGGCAGATGACAAGGTTTCAATAAATATTACATCTTATCTTTAGTAGTATTAAATTATATAACAATTCCATGATATTACTATGAGTGACAGATTCTATAACAAACAGGCATATAGTGCTATGGGAACATGTGGGAGAAAGATTTTAATACTAATTGTAAAATGAGATTGGGGGGTATAGACCTGGAAAGATCTTGTGAAAGAAGCCAAAGTTAAAACAAGCTGAGAGGGATGAGCAGGAATTTAACAAAGAAAATTAGAGGCTTACTCCAGACCACATGAGCAGAGAATAGAAAGGCCCAGGTACTCCAAGGAACTTCAAATGGTGGAGTGTCTAAGCTGATGGCCTCATGTGGGGCCCAAGGGCACAGTCTGTCTTTGCTGTTCCCTGTAGGGTGCCATGGATGGTCAGCTCTACCAGTGGTATCTGAAAACATCTGAGCTCATGCTAATTGACTCAATGGGAGTACTTGGTAGGTAAGAATGGCTCTTTCCCAGCCCCACCTACTGAGTGTAAACCAGGCTCTTGAGAAAGAAATCTGCTACTAACAGCTAACATTTATTAAGTAATTACTATCACCCAGGTATTAAACACTTAACATGTATTATCTGATTTCATTTCCCCGGTAATCTTATATGACAAACACCAATATCCTTATTCACAATTGGGTAACTGAAGGTATAGAAAAGTGAAATAATTTACCTAACATCATTGTCATAGCTGGCAAGTGATAGGAACAGAACTCAAACCCAGCTAGACTGTCTAGAGTCTGTATTTTACTACTAGGCTATACATAGGGCATGGAGGAAAAAGCACCCCAGACAGGGAGCCAGGGCAGCTAGCTTCTAGCCAAGGTCTAACACTAAATAGCTGTCTACAAACTGAGCAAGTCATTTCACTCTCCAGCCGAGTTTCCTCCACTGTAACAAGGAGGCAGGCACAAACGACACTTAGAGTCTTGTCTTCCTCAAATAATTTTTATCTCACCCTAAGATACAATTTTCACAACTGATACACTAAGCAGTGTCTTGGGGAAATGCAGATTCTCTCAGCAAGCTCCCATAAGCTTTTTATGTGACCCCCATGGTCACACAACTCACCCAGGAAAAGTCCTTCTCATCAGTGTAGGAATTATGAACACCCCACTCTGGTCATCATAGCAGGGTATCATACAGGAAATTTCTGTCCACAGGACTGGGAAGTTACATGTGCCATGGCCGTCATGGAGGACCTGTTCATTTTCATCAAGTTCTGCTGTACTAGATGACAGATAATTTCCTTCCATAAAGGACATTTAAACTATCTGGAGGATCTGCTTAAAAGCATAGGTGTTTGTGCCTAGTAGATCTCAGTCCAAATTCTGAATCTACTGCTCATGAGCTTTGTTTACTTTGGCAAATTACCAAGCATCCCACAGTATCTCTATTTATAAAAGGAAGTTAGTACTTCCTCATATGGTCACTGTGAGGATTAAATGAGACAATATGTGTCATGTGATTGGCACAATGCTTGATGGGTAGCACAGTCTCAAAAAATTATAGCTTACAAGAAAAACAACTTAAAACAAACCCTACTCTACTCCTGTGAACTGGCCAAAAGTCATGAAGTGTGTTACGCTTTCTCATACTCAACAGGTCCAAAACCTGCCCTCTTTCCCTTAAGACCTACCCTTTGGCCTGTGTTCTCCCCCAGCCACCTACAGTCTCAATTCAGAAACCTAAAAGCAATCCAGAAGACTTCCCTCTGATTTCCACACCAAACCCACTCAGACATACCCACACAGTCCCGAGTCCTGCAGATCCGACACCTGGCCCCCAACACCTCCTGGAGCTGTCCTGTCCTTTCCGTCCCCACCGCTGTACTTCAGCCCCGCTGCTTCTCTGCTTCTCCCCTGAACTGCTGCTCCTCTCTGTTTGCTTCCAGTCTTGCTTCTCTATGTACCTTCTCCAGGGTGATCATCTTCAAATGCAAATCTAGCCATCTCCTTATCTAACAATCTAAAACCTCCCACAAGCTTCTGGAATCAAGCTTAAACTTACCAGCTTAGCCCAAGAAGCCCTTCTCGATGAGCCTCTGCCTGTGCCTCTGTGCTAGAATGTGCTTCTCCCTTGTGCTCGCAAACTATCGCTGGCTCTTCAAAGGCACACACCACTGTCACCTGCCTCAGTTGGCCTTACCTGATCCTTGCCCCTTCTAATTTAAATGCTCCCCTGTTGCTATCTCTTCCTAGACTCAAACCCGTTGAGGGGTAGCAGCTCTCTGTCCTTGTTTGACCTGGTATCCCTAGCCCCTAGCAGTGAGTCACATACAACAAGTACTTAGTAACTCTTGCGTGAGTCAGTCATTGACTTTCTACTGGTTGATTCCAGTGTTAGAATCCCAGCAGAATTACTCTCCCTTATGTTAGCCAGTCACCTTCAATGTCAGCCAGCCTTGGGAGGAGCAGATATACGTCAAACTAATACCCACCAACTCCCCTCAGAGATCTCATCTGGAACACTGAGCTGGGCATGAATAATTTCCTTCTTAAGACCAGCAGCCATTCCTGTCTCAGGTCAGGCATGGGAAACACTCAGGAACCACCTCCTAAGATGCAATGGCACACCCAACAGGAGATGCAAGGTTTAACACTGAAGTTATAGTTGTTAATATGCCCATTGTGGCCAAGACCTAGGTCTTATTCATCTTTTTATCCTCAACAATGCCTTGCAAGATAGTAGGAACCCAACATTAGTGACCTGCATATATGAATCTCAAAAAAAAATTAGCTTTGGGGAGGGACTAGCCTTCTGGACTATTTGAACTTAGAGTCCCATTACATGTATTTTTGAAATATTTCCATAATTAGTCTACAATCTCCTCATTTTACCCATCTTTGTATTCTAAATGTCTAGCCAGGTATCTTTTGCATAGCAGACACTCAATAAACACTTGCTGAATTGCACAGAATCAGCTTGCACATGAGTTGCTAGCAAGGCAGACAGCTGTAGTTTGGCTTGTCGTGGGAGCCACTCTATGCATTCATGAGATGCAACCAGAAGAATTCCTCCTCTACTATGGACACTTCACTACTTCCCATTAGTCTTAGGGCAGCAGGACCTTGACAGTGGGTCTTGGCATCTTCTGCCCTGTACACATACCGGGTCACATTGTATACGTGAACATCAGTGTGTGTGAATTAGTGTGTACATCAATGCACATACACATTAAAACTTGCACCAAATCTATATGGTCAAGATGATATTCCAGGCTTACCACTGGCGGCATATCTCTGGGTATGCCACCTCAGGTGTCAGTATCCCTGAATAGAAGCTACGTAGTGTACACTAAAATAAGCACTAACTAGAAGTTGAGAAATTGTAACCTCTGGCCCCACCTCTGCCAGTAACTAGTTGGAGATTAACTAAACCTCCCTCTTCTCATTTCCAAATAAAGATACTGTCCACATACTGCATGGAGTCATTGCAAAGAACAAATATGATCACAAAAGCAAAGGTGCTTTGAAAACTATGGCATGCTTTACACAAGAGAGCTCACATTGCTCCCCACACGTATATGGAAGCAGTCTCTGGTCTGACTGTCCCTGCTCTGGTTTTGAGACAGCTCAACTGCTTCCCCATATTTACCTTTCCCTGTCCAGAAGCCCAGGCAACAATGGATGGAGACAGTGGGATGGCTCATGGTCATTTCTGTTTGTGTTAGCCGCTGCCCTGTAGCCCCTGATGGCATTTCAGGATGTGCTTATGCAGCCCTGCTTTGTTTCCATGGAGACAGGAAGCTCTGCTTCTCTTCATGCCTAAGCTAATGGTTTTCATCAAATCCCATTTCCTTTGAGACAAGTAAAAATGCTACAATGCTTCCATCCATACTTCCTCTTTAAATCTGAGCCGACAAACATGCCTCACAGCCTTCCTCCCACCAATGCCTGTGCCCCAGAGGCAGGTGCCTCAGTCATTTCCACACTTGGCATCCAGGGGTCCCTGAGCACCAGTGGATGTGGCCTGCCCCCTCTCACATGGACTCTCTCCCTCACTTGCCCAACCTAGGAGCCATGTGTGTTCCCCCTTTAATTTCTGTCTCTCTCTGCTCTGGGAACAGCCTTGGTACATAACATTCAGCTGCCTGCAGGTCACAAGAAACCTGCTCCCTAGGTTTCCAAGCTATTTCCCAGGCTGCTTCTGAATTAAATCCCAACTAAACCCCCACTCTAAGGAGAAAGCTCACAATCTTTCCAAAGGCATGTGAGAGACAACCAAGCAGAAGAGAGAACCCACGGCCCCTCCTGTACACAGGACTGGCTGCTGCTGAACCCCCTGCAGACACCAATAAAGCCCACCCCAAACTGTGCTGAGCTTCAGAATGAGAAAAAGAAACCAGGTCAGAATGATTTCAGTCCCAGCCTATAAGGCCCCTATTGTGAACACTCCTTAAAATGTCAAAATTTATTCATATCAGCTGTTCCCAGCTGCCACTGTCACTTCCTAGGCTTCTCCAGAAGTGCTAAGAAGGCATCTGCCATCCCAGTTCCATGACATCTAATCTGTGCAGACCATCTCCCAGAGGAGCCCATGGCCCGACAGCTGGATCAATCGAACATCCACAGGCCGTTAAGCAGGTGATGCCACCTGGACCTAAGAGGCTGAGAAAATGTATGTTAATATTATCGAAGGATATAGGCAGCTAATAAGAGCTAAGGGCTACTCCATGCCAGACCCTGGGCTAGGGTTTTGTATATGAGAGAGCTATTGCTATCCCATTTTACAGAGGAGGAAGCAGGCTCAGAGTAACTTATCCAAATTCGCAATGCTAATAAGTGGTTTCTTACAGGGTTAGGCTTCTCACCCATGAATGTCAGATGCTAAAGCCCATGCCTCTTCCAATGTACAACTGTTTCCCATGCAGAGAAAGACGTAAGAGAATGAAAAGATGTGATTCCAAACCAGAGAGAGTCCATGTGGTCAGACACAAGGCACTGTCCAGTATGGTAGTGTTCTGTTCCATTTCCAGCTCTGTTAAGACACAACTCAAACCTATGCTGGAGCCTCATCCAGAACACCAGTGGCTTTTGTTGGCACCACATCTACTTTTCTCCCCAAATATATAGTAAGAATCTGTCTTAAATTTTCCAAACTAAAATATATACACACTTAGGACAAAGAATATCAGATAAGATTACACAAACATGACATTATCCTCTCAGTAGAAATACAAGAGGAGAGCCTGTGGTCAGGCTTCTCTGGGGGCCAGAGTTATGGAAGGTGCACATTGGAGTTGTAGGTACTGGCTGGCTGGAGACAGTAACGTCTAGCAGTGCTTGGGCACGAACAAAGAATGCCAACAAACACTCACTGAATGAGTAAATATAGAAGAAATCTCTTATGTCTTAAGACTCTCCACTCAAAATAAACATTATTAAAGTTCTTCTTTACGATGTCTTCAGTTTTTCACAAATTACCACCACAGGCTCTTAGTACCACGTCGTTGGATTACTATGGTTGTTTCCTGCTTAATCCTACTGAATCTGGTCTCTCTCCATGCCAATCCTTCCCCCACGGATGTTAGATGAATATTCTTATATACGCCTTTCGTCCTACACTTTTGTGTGTGTGCAATATTTTTACTTTAAAATTTAATTTCTATTTTTTCAAAGTAACACATGTAGAATTTAAAAAGTCAAATAATTTTGAAAGACTTCTAATGAAAAACTGGCAGCCCTCTGCTTTACCTCTCCTAACCCCTGAATTTCACTCCCCAGAGGCAACCACTTTCAACTCTTTTACCTGTTTCTTCTGGTATTCATTTCCAAATTTCTAAATATTATACTTAAAAACTGAAATGTCTTTATCTTTCCATTTTAGATATTGCCTAAATACTTCCTTACTGTGGAACCTAAGATTTCAGTCTTTGACTGAAATCTCCCCCTCCCTTTCCCCTCCTCATATTCAGCCTCCTCCATCCACTTAAGGTAATCACAGCACTGTAAGGGGCTATATCAAAATTCGGCATCAGCAACATAAATTTGGTTGACAACTGAGCTGAATAGAGGACCTACTTACTATGCTTATATTTCTTACTGGTAACAATTTCATATTTCATGGAATTAAATGCTTAGAGTGTTTTTTTGTGTATGTGTGTATATACAAATACATACATATATTCATACAGTCATGTATGGCTTAACAAAAGGGGTACATTCTGAGAAATGCATTGCTAGGCAATGTTGTTGTTGTGTGAACACCAGAATGTGTACTTACACAGACCTAGATGGTATAGCCTACTACATACCTAGGCTATATGCTGTAACCTATTGCTCCTAGGCTGTAAACCTATACAGCATGTTACTATACTAAATACTGTAGGAAATTATAACACATCATTAAGTATTTGTACATCTAAATATATCTAAACATAGAAAAGGGATAGTAAAAATATGGTATAAAAGATTTTAAAAAATGGTACACCGTAGAGCACTTACCATGAATGGAGCTTGCAGGAAGTTGCTCTGGGTGAGTCAGAAAGTGAGTGGTGAGTGAATGTGAAGGCCTAGGACATTACTGTATGGCACTGTAGACTTTATCAACACTGGACACTTAAGCTACACTGAATTTATTAAAAACATTTTTATTTCAATAAATTAATCTTCACGTACTGTAACTTTACCTTATAAACTTAGAAAAAATTTAACTTAGACTCTTTGGCAATAATGCTTAGCTTAAAACACACATTGTACAGCTGTACAAATATATTTTCTTTCCTTACATCCTTATTCTATAAGCTTTTTTTATTCTTACTTTTTACTTTTTTACTTTTTAAAATCTTTTGTTAAAAGCGAAGACACAAACACACACACTAGCCTAGGCCTGCACAGGGTCAGAACCATCAATATCACTGTCTTCCACCTCCATATCTTGTCCCACTGGAAGGTCTTCAGGAGCAATAACACACAGGGAGCTGTCATCTCCTATGATGACAATGCCTTCCTCTGGAATACCTCCTGAGGAACCTGCCTCAGACTGTTTTACAGATAACTTTTTTAAAAATAAGTAGGAATAAATTGTAAAATAACAATTGAAAGTAAATGCCAAATCAGTAACATAGTCATTTACTGTCGAATACTATATACTGTACATAATTGTATATGTTCTACTGTTATATGATGGACAATTCAGGGTTTTTTTACACCAGCGTCACCACAACCATGTGAGTAATGCATTGCACTATGATGTTAAGATGACTATGACATCACTAAGCCACAGGAATTTTTCAGCTCCACTAAATCCTGTGGGACCACTGTTGCATATACATCAGTCATTGACTGAAATGTCATTATGTGGCACATGACTGTATATAGTTTTGGCAAAACCATGAGCTCTTTTGAAAATAATAACACACATTGGGGAATACATTAGTTTTATTTTTTCTTACAGATAGCATTTTTAGAGGCCTCTGTCACCCTACTCAAATCTTGATACTGCTTGATACTCTCTAGGCTTCTGTCATCCTAGACTTCCGTTCATCGCCCTGGGAATCAATTCCTCTTCTTTCTCTCCTCCATCGAATCCCTTGTTTCCATGAGTATCACATTCTTCTCTTTCTTCAATTACTTCCTTATTTTTAGTGACTCACATTCACCAGTAACTTTTTCAAAATGGATATCAAAAATATTGTGATCCCATCCTAAAAAACAATTGGTATTCGAGCTAGGTATAGAATTCTATCTTGAAAATTATTTTCCTTATGAAAGTTTTAAGAACTTATCTATTTGTTACTAACTTTCAGTGTTGCCATTGAGAAGCCCAAAGCTATCCTGATTCCTATTTCTTTGTAGATAAATTCTATCTCCTTCCTAATTACCAGGCACTTTCAGAATATTTTTTAATCTGATATTCTGAAATTTCATGATGATTCACCTTGGGGTTCTCACTTTCCATTAGTCATGCTGAGTTTTCAGTGTGTATTTCATTATTAATTAAACTCATTTGTTCTCTTTTACCTCCATACCTACCTTATATCACCCTGCTATAAAAATTATCATTAAAGTAAAATAAAAATTTAAAAAAATTATAATACATTCAAAATGTGCCTTTGATTTGAATGTATTTTCACAAACTGTATATTTTGTGTGCATGTAGTTTTATGTAAATGGTATCATATCACAGTGATTCTTGTTTTCACTAAAATCTATGTTCTTAAGATATCTTATGTTTCTTTTTTTTTTTTTTTTTTTTTGAGATGGAGTCTCGCTGTCGCCCAGGCTGGAGTGCAGTGGCGTGATCTTGGCTCACTGCAGGCTCCGCCCCCTGGGGTTCACGCCATTCTCCTGCCTCAGCCTCTCGCGTAGCTGGGACTACAGGCGCCCGCCACCTCGCCCGGCTAATTTTTTGTATTTTTAGTAGAGACAGGGTTTCACTGTGTTAGCCAGGATGGTCTCGATCTCCTGACCTCGTGATCTGCCCGCCTCGGCCTCCCAAAGTGCTGGGATTACAGGCGTGAGCCAGCGCGCCCCGCCCAAGATATCTTATGTTTCATGTGTACACAGTATTTGTTGCTCTGTGCTACATAGGATGCCACAGTACATACTGCTACATACTGTGCCATGGTATACATCCAATATTTTACCTATATAATCTCCCAGTTATGGACATCCACGTTGCCTCCAACTCCCCACTACCATGAAATAATGCTGGAAAGAACATCCTTGCATCTGCCTCAACACATCTTTTAATCTGGCAATGTGAGTCTTTTGGCTCTGGGAACATTTCTTAGATTTTTGTTAATTTCTTCCTTTCCATGTCTCTGTTCTTTTTATAGAACTCCTATTATAGTTAAAAGCTGGATCAATCCTATTTTGCTGTTCTGTTTTGTAGGTAATTTCATCAATTTTATATTCCAAATATGTATTACCTTTATATTTTATTACATTCTTATATTTTTACATTATTTCATTTTTATATTTAATGTAAATATATATAAGTATATATATATTACTTTGTAAAATGAATGTACATTTTACATTAATTTCCAAGAGCCCTTAACCTCTAAATGTTTTTTTTTTTAATTTATTGGCCTGTTATTCTGTAAATGAAATGGTTTCTCTTCTATCTCTAATAGCAGATACAGCTTTTAAATTTGTCTTCTACTCCCTGCATTGTTCATATTCCCTCAATTACCTTTTTATAATTCATGATTTTGTTTTTTGTTCTTATGTGTTGGTCATTTTCCTCAAATGCTGATGATCCCTAGCTGTGTGTTCATATTTAAAAGCACGGCACAAAAGCCTCATTGGCAACTCTGTATGCAAGCTTGGAGCTTGTAGAATGGTGAATGTAATGGGATGACTGGGAGCCCCCCAAAAGATTTGTTCACATCCTAAGTCCTGGAACATGTGAATGTTACTTTATTTGGAAAAATAATCTTTGCAGATTATTAAGTTAAGGATGTTCAAATAAGAGATCATCCTGGCTTATCAGAATGACCCTAAATCCAATGACAAGTGGCCTTATAAAACTGCACAGACATTGAAAAAGAGGCAATATGATCACAGAGGCAGAGATTACAGTGACGTGGCTATAAGCCAAGGAATGCCTGGGGCTGCCAGAAGCTGGAAGAGGAAGAAAATCAATTCTCCTTTAGAGCCCTTGGAGGGAGCACAGCTGTATTAGTCCATTTTCGTGCTGCTAATAAAGACATACGCAAGACTGAGGCATTTACAAAAGAAAGACGTTTCATGGACTCACAGTTCCACGTGGCTGGGGAGGCCTCACAATCATGGCAGAAGGTGAAAGGCACATCTCACTTGGCAGCAGACAAGAGAAGAGAGCTTGTACAGGGAAACTCCCTTTTACAAAATCATCAGGTCTCGTGACAATCATGAGAACAGCACAGGAAAGACCCACCTCCATGATTCAATTACCTCCCACCAGGTCCCTCCCACAACACCTGGGAATTGTGGGAGCTACAATTCAAGATGAGATTTGGGTGGGGACACAGCCAAACTATATCAATGGCCCTACCAGATTTTGGGCCTGTACCCTTCAGAACTATAAGAAAATGAAGTTTCTCTCACAGTTTTAAGCCGCGGAGCTATGGTAATTAGTTGAAAGCAGCCATAGGTAATTAATACAGTGAGTCTCACCAAAGGTGATGAGGTAGGAACCTGTTTCTCTGGTCTCTCCCAAATATCAGTATAAATTTGTCCCTTCTCTTCAGACAGTTCCCCAAAAGAGGAATCCTCTCAACTCCTACCAGACTGCTATGTTTTTAAGAGTCAAGCAGAAGTGGGCTGGACTACGCACATTCAGTTTGTAGACTTTCATTTAGCCCTCCTGTTTTCAGTACAACATATCAACACTACCCTCAGGTGTATCTGATGGTACAATTCCAAGCTTCTCTGATTCCACATCTACAGAGATTAAGTCTCCTAACTTTTGCTAGGATGGGAGTTGGGTGAAGCAGATATCTGTCAGCATTGCCTGGAGGTTATAGTGGGGTGGGGCAGGGATTCTAATGTTCCTTACAAGGACTTTGCATCAGTCCTTTTGTTTTTAGCACCACGCCTACCCCAGCTCTCAGACCTACCTGGTGTCTCCAATTCCTGAGCCTTTCTAGGGCTCCGAAGAACAATCAGTTTGCTTTTTTACTGGCATTCCCTAAACAATTAAACTTCAGCTTTCCTATCACTGTCTGTTGCCAATTTTTTCTATGTTCAAAAATGTTGTTGACATCTTTCATCTCTTGTCATTCCTCTTGTTCTCTTTGTCCTAGTGCCCTTCTTAAAATTTATTTTCTGTGTTAGTGGAGTTTCAAGAAATGACCAACTTAGTTCAATCTGCCATGTTTAAACAGAAGTGCCACCTTATAAATTTTCATTTGAAGAACGTATGCCACTCTGACAAAAAATTAAGTTCAGTTTTGCTTAGAAAAATATAAGAATCTCTAAAATATATCCCCGTCTCAGCTCTCCTAAGATGTTACATTATAATTTCTTCACACTCCATGACAAGTCCCATTTTTTCATCTTTGCTTATGGTGTGATGTTCCCCTTCCTGAAATGTTCACTCCCATATAGTCTATGTAATCCTACTACATATTTCATAATCCAAGCAAAATCTCAATCCTTGATGAAACTATCCCTGATGACTTCAGATTACATAGATTTGTCCTTTCCCCAAAACAAATGATTATACCTTGTATAAGTCAGTAAAAGAACTCCTATTCTCTGTTTCATGTGTATCATCTTCTTGGCAAAACATGTTTCCTAAGGAGAGGAACCACACCTTATACTTTGTGTGCTCCTGGCGATGCTTACCATGGTATTGGACCCCAAATAGTTGCAGATTTGTATAAACTAATTCAAGCCACAAATATGAGACTTGATCCCCAAAACACTACAGAGTAAGAAACTTTTGAGGCACAGCCTGTGTCTAGTTCAATTTTATTTCCCTAACAACCAGCACCGTGTTTGACATAGGTCTCTGACTGCTGAGTTACTGAATGAAAGCATGGATGAATAAATGAACTCTCACTACATACTGTGTTCAGTGTTGTGCCTGACATCAAGACTTTTTAATTCCTGAGAATAATCAAGATTATTAGAATGATGGTTCACTACTGCATTCCCAGCATCTAGAAAGCATTTGGCACAGAGGAACTGCTAGGTAAGTGTCTTCTAAATGAAGGTTAAATGAATGAATCTGCCATGAGTCAGGAGGCATTAGTTTACAGTTAGCAGTCAGCAAATGAGTTAAGAAGAGAGAAACATCTGGCTCACCCGGAAAGCACTCCCAGGACTAGGTTGAGAACAAAGAAGGATCCAATGATGATGAGGGGGATGAAGTACAGCCAATTCCAGGTGGCTCCTAAGGCATCATTGGTCTGAAAGAAAGAAAAATGGTTCCTTAATACTTAAAGCCATCTTCCATAAGTAAAGCTTACATTCTTGCAGCTGCACAGAGGGTGATGTAAAAACCACAATGCAATACAGTTAAATATTGCCTTACTCCATTCCCAATTTGGTATTACCGTGAGTTAGCTCAAAATCTCCCATGTACGTAATGAAGAACACAGCATCAGCCTCACCATAATATACTGAGTTGGAATATTCTCACACTCTTGCTTAGCACATGAGAAGACAATACAGAAAGGTCAGATACTTTTCCAAGGTCACGCAAACAACCACTGGTTTTATAGCATTTGGTAATGTGGGTTCTAAGCCTCTGCACACAAAATTGGGCAAATTCTCAAAAAGACAAAGGCAGGCTGTGCCCAATCTATTCCATGGATGCTAGCAAAGGCCTTGACAGGGTTATTTGGAAGACATTTTAGGGTCCTCTGCGTCTTGCTCAGCCCTTGACCCACGCTCAGCTTGCTTTCTTCCATCATAGTACAATAGCACAGAGCTGGCCCAGGCTTGGCCCCAGCAAGGCTCTGGCCAGAACAAGGAATAAATCTAGATTTGAAGAGTGATCACTTGCACTCTAATGTTAACACTCAGTGAATTAAAAAATGCCTGCAAATCCATATTCCGGATTCTCGAATCATGAATCAGATGCAAGACCCTTGAATGGTCAGGGATTGAGGAAGAATTATATCTCATGACTTAAACAAAGAAGCAATTCTTAGCAGGATATCTTATTAGAACCTTGAAATAGAGCTTGGGAGTCTCTCTAAAAGCTGTACCACTCAACTAAGGGTTCTCAGTCTTCCCTTTGACTCTTCCTCCCCTGACAGCACCTCGAAGTCTTTCCAAATAGTCTTTCTGAATTGCATTTCACATATGCAGGGCTTTGAAATCCCTTCGACCCCCACTCCACTCTCTCACACACAAACTCTAAGACCCATTTGAAACTTACAACAGATATTTTATCTCTACTTCACTGGAAAAACAAGGCCAAAGTCAAATGCCATGCCTAAAACTCACAAGCTAAATTAGTAAAATTAAGACCAGAACTCAGAATTTCTATAGCAAAGTATTTCTTGTCCCTCCAATTTACCTTTTCCCCCTCTCACTACTAAATTCTGAAAACATATTTTGATTCATTGTCCCCATGCTTCCTGTGGACTTCTGTGACATTCTCTTGTTTTCTTCCAAATTATCTCATTTCTGTCTCCCATTCAAATATTCCAGTCCACAGAATATAGCCTCTTATCAGTCATGGAAGCTATCACTGTATAGTTGATTCATCCATTAACAACAGCTTAACTTTTATATTAAGTTCAAGGGTACATGTGCAGGTTTGTTATATAGGTAAATTCATGTCAGAGGGGTTTGTTGTACAGATTATTTCATCACCCAGGTATTAAGCCTAGTACCCAATAGCTGCTTTTTTCTTGGTCCTCTTCCTTCCCCCACCCTTCACCCTCCAAAAGACTCCAGTGTGTTGTTCCTCTCTATATGTCCATGTGTTCTCATCATTTATCCCCCACCTATAAGTGAGAACATGCAGTATTTGGTCGTCTGTTCCTGTGTTGGTTTGCTGAGGATAATGGCCTCCAGCTCCATCCATGTTCCTGCAAAGAACATGTTCTCATTTTTTTTAAGGCTACATAGTATTCCATGGTGTATATGTATTGCATATTCTTTAACCATTCTGTCATTGATGGGCATTTAGGTTGATTCCATGTCTTTGCTATCATGAATAGTGCTGCAATGAGCATATGCATGCATGTGTTTTTATAACCGAATGATTTATATTCCTTTGGGTTGTAAGCAAACCCAGTAATGGGATTGCTGGGTTGAATGCTAGTTCTGTTTTGGGGTATTTGAGGAATCACCCCACTAAAACAGCTTCTAAGGCAATCTCCTTTCACCACACTTGTGTCTTTTTTTTTTTGCCCCTACACTATTCAGAGAGAGATAATTGCAATTGAAGCAGAATAAAAGTTAAAAGTAAACAAGAAAACACTTTCTGAATGGGAAGGGACAGATGCAGGGACCTGCCAATTTCAGTGTGTAAGATGGAGCTCTTTGGTTCAATCAGGTCTGGTCAGTTAAATACAATCAGGGAAGATGTGGGCCAGACCTCAGAGAAAACTGTTCCTGAATATTAGTAGAAAGATCCAAAGGAACTAGATGCCAAGAGTTGTTGAGGGTTTTAAGGGAGGTAGGAAGCCGTTTTCTCTGAGATCGTTAAGACATGGACCTTCCCTATGAGCTGAAAAGTGAATTGCAATGATATTTGTATAGCTAGCTCTGTGTTTATTTGTGATTACAAATCAGTCCTTCTGTAAGGCTGGCTAGCTCTGATGGTTCACCAGTAAAGCTCCAGATTAACAGGGTTTATTCACTCTATGGCTTAGCCAGTGGCCAAACCCCCCAGCACCCCAACATTCCTTGGCAACAAAAACTGAGTCTACACCCAGCACCCAGATAGGACTTTGTTGCCAACAAACATTAGCAGGTATCAGCAATAGCAATGATGAAATTGTGACTTTTAAGATAATTTTGTTCTTAAATAATTGAGCTACAGTTTGAGGGTGGCTCAGAGCAATTTCACTTGGGTGACTACTTGCCAGGGATGCTGTAATGAGGATGTCCAAAATTACATTGTTCTCATTGCTAGAGATCTGTAAGAAGTTAGTGTATTTTGTGGAAAAGGGGCTTCTGTAACCAAAGAAATTTGGGAAACAGCAGATTATATTTTCTTCTGAGCCCGTGAGAAGATCCACAAAAAAAGAACATTATTTACCTTGTTTATTCCACCATTTCATAAACACTTTTGATCATAGTGAAACCCTCATTTTCAGAGAAAATCTAGTAACACATCGAAGAACATAGCCTTTGAAATGTAGGAACTACAGTGGGTCAGAATCTGGAATGTGTTTCTCAATTCTATAAAAAACCAATGACGAGCAGTGTCTTTTGATTCAGCATTTTGTGAGTATGTTTTGGTGTTGCTTCAACCTATATTCAGGCAGAAACCTTAACTGTCTGCTCATTTCTGTATCTGGCACCTAACAAAGGGTTTGGCATGCATAGATGGTCGACTAATCAAAAAACGTCCACAATTCTAATATGAAGATTCTCCTGTTAAAAATACACTGATACAATTCATTCTCATAGCCCCCTCTCAATCTGTGGAGATTTCTCTGAATTGCCGCAAACATTATCCACCACAGTGGGGCCTGCTGGATGAAAAAAGAGGAGGATGGGAACTAGAAGGAGAAAAGCATAGCTGGGAAGACACCAGCACCAGCAAGGCCCTGGGGGTTCTTGAAGATGACTGACAGCTTAAAAGGTTCTTCTGGAGAAAGCAGCTTGACAGCTCCTGTAGGTTATTCACACACCTTTTAATAGGCTTGCCCCACCCTTCTCCACACCTTGCTCCTCTCCCTCCTGTTTCATTCTTCCTGGCCAACTGGCTTCCACTCCCCTTGCATGTTTGTCCACGGGTCAGTGACACACCCGGTAGGACAAAGGGACACACCTCGGCAGGAAGCAGGCTAGCAAAGGAATGCATGCTTCCCTTTTTCAAAATGGCATGGTTCTTTCTGATGCCAGTTGGGGCTTCAATCTCCTTCTGATTCATCATTATTAAAACAAAATTGTCCAGTGTAGGAGAGACAATGACTCAAGCGTCCTTTGAGATTAAAAAAGCAGCAGCAACCGACAACTCAAGGCAGCAAGTACCCAGAAAGCACGTGAAGTGGAAGTCGGGGTGAAGCTGCCAGTTCAACCACAGAGTTGTGACTGTTTTCTCTCTCGTGGTGTGCACGTGTCTGTCTCAGCAGGAGGTGCAAGAGAGGAGGGTTGCCTGTGAGAGGGAGAATCACTCATTCTCTCTCTACAGCATCCCCCCCAACTTCTGTGACAGAGTGGCAGTTCTCGCAAGCTCCTTTCATGTAAGACTTGCACTCTATTTTCCCCAGAGACTCTTCCTTCAGGAACACGGGACAGCCATGCTAAGTACTCCAATCAAGATTCTGGCCCCAGGAGAACCTTCACAGCCGAGACCTCTACTGTGGAGCAGCTAAGGGAAACCAGGGCCCTCCCTGCAAAGAATGCTGCCCAGAAGACGCCAGCCCCTCCATCCCACACCACTCATGCAACACCTACTATCAGTCAGGCATCATAGGAGAGTGCTTCTCTTTGGTCAGTGTCCTCTTACATGGAGCACTGATGCTCCTCCCATCTCCCAACACCCTCCCCACCCAGCCCTTCCCTAGACTGGCACACTGGCTGCTCTCCATCTTCCTCACCTGCCGATCCCCTGAGTGACACACACATGCACACGTGTGCACGACGAGGGTGATGACAGAGAAAGCAGTTCGGGGGCGGCAGCCCACCTGCACAGGAGTGCTCAGCGGGTACCAGTCCTGACATTGTGGGAATGTGTTCCTTTGGGAACCTGACTGATGGGGGTGGTGAGCTCACCCACTCCCTGCGTAAACAGGCACACATGGTAATTATCACATTAATCTCCAGGGGACTGGGGGAGATGCTGCAAGGTGGGGTGGGAGGAGGATTGGAGAGAAAGATGGGGATAGAGCAAGCAGGAGGAAAGGGGCCCCATGGGTCCCCTGAGCTGAAGCTATGCAGGCAGGGCCCAGCCCCCAGCCCCAGAGACAGGTCTCTAACAGGGTTCCCCAGGGCTCCATGGAAAACATTCTCCCTGTCTGTGCACCCTCTTCACAGAGCAGCTGTAACCTGGGAGGCTGAATTGCCTATGACTGAGTGGGGAGGCTGAGTGTGTTGGGGCTGGGAGTAAGGCAGATGCTGATTCCATGGTCCTTTCAGAAGCAAAGGGTCTCTGGGGAACACCTGCTCCAGAGGCTGTCAGCAGCACCTGCTGGTTAGATCAGGGCTGGCCTAGGCAGGGCTTCCTCCACTGCAGCACTGCCAGCACCTGTGGAGAGACAGTTCTGTTTGGTGGGGGCTCTCCTGTGTGTGCCTTAGCAGCATTCCTGGCCTCTACCCATTAGAGGCCACTAGTACTTCTCCAGATGCAACAATCAAAAATTGCCAAATGTTCTGGGGGACAAGATTACTTTTGATTAAGAACTGCTGGACTCAAGGCTCCATCTCGAGGAGAGATCTTCGGCTCAGGCCAGGAGAGGGTTGGAGCAGCCAACATAGGCTAGCAAAAAAGCCAGGCCATTCATCTCTGCAGAAGCATCTGTCCAAAGCCTCTGCTGACCACTCCTAGGGAAAGGAAAATTCACAGAGCAGTGAGTGGGGAAGGAAAGAGGCCAGGGACTGATTCAACTACTTCACACCTTCCCTCACAGACACATACCTGGCCTCCTGCACCTCACAGGCCAGCACACCCTCCCCTAGGCTCCCATTTCCTCCAGCACCAAGTATGACAGCTCCTGTCCCACCCCGAGGGACTTGGATTCCATGTCTTGGAGCTGAAATGCCATATTTTTTATTCAACACATTCATGGGCCACCTACTATGTGACAGATAATTTTCTGTGTGTTAAGGATGATGAGCAAGACAGTCTCAGTCCCAGCTCTTTGAAACTTGTGATCTAATGGGGGAAACACCCATGAAGCAAGTGAGCACACAAATGTAACTTTAACTCTGGAGTGTGGTCAGTGCTATGAAGGGAGCACAGGGAACTGGGGCAGGTGGGCCTGCATGGGTCCGGGAAGTCAGAAAAGGATGTGCTGAAGTTTTCAGGGAAAACAATAACACGGGAGTCTAAGAAACTACCTTCGCTGAGACAGCAGAAGCCAGAAAGGCAGTGAAAAGATTAATTATGGAGGTAGAAGAAAGATGGAGAAAAAGATTAAGATGAAGACATGCCAAGAAGTGGGGGACCTATAAGAAGAAAAAAGAGGGTGGGGAACGCCCTCTCAGAATGAACTGCTACTACCTTGCAGTAGCAGCGCCCTGGAGCTCTGTGTGGATGTTATGCTGAAATGCAAGTCATAAAGGTACCCCGGATTTTGTCAAAATATATATCACTGGACAACCAGCCTCTAGATAACCTTAAGGTCTTCCTCACGTCCCTTCCTAGGCACACTATCCCCCACCCCAAATGTAACATCATCCCAACTTTTAGAACAATCACTTAGATTGACCTAATTGGAAATCCCATCTGAACACTTTCCTGCATGTGCTGAGCCATCCACAGGAATCAGCCACCCAGGACAGCCCTCTCCCACCCTACTCCTGCCTTCCTCCCTGCGCGGCTGTCACCAGTAAGGACGTGGCAGGCTCTGTGGCATTCTGGCCCATGTCTCATCCCCCAGCTGCTATGTAACTGTTGGCTGCTAATAACTCACACCTGCCTTGCTCCTGTACGCTTTTCAGATGCTTGCCCTTGCCTGACAGACCAGCTTCACCTGGAATGTTATTCCTGCCCCTGCTGGTGATGATGGGGGGCTGTAACAGATAACTACCTAATGTAGGAGTTATCAATGGCCCGGCCCTTTTGCCACTGGGTAAGACAATTGCTGTGGTGGAATTCACACTTTGGGCTGCCCATGGAACCAGGCTGAGGCTTTGCCTAGTTTTTCCCTTGACCTATCCTGCTTCCCTCACATACCTTTAGGTAACTCCTAAGAGCAGTCCCTCATTAAAACACTGCCACAAGAAGCTCAGTTTCACAATCAGTTTCTAGGGAATTTGATTTAAGGCATTCTATCAGGGTTTTGACCCACCATACAAAGCTGGCAACACCCCTCCCCTGAGTCACACCAGTTGGATGGTGTTTCTACCTCAAAGCCAAGGTATGATTCCTCTGACCACACCCACATTTTAGGAAAAGGATACAATGTACAGCATACCCCACACATCACTGGGCAATTAAATGCCTATAACGGGTTTCCTGCAGACTAGGAAATCCAGTCATACTCTTGGAAGAGGATGATGAGAACAAGTCATCCAACTCATCATTCCATAGGAGAGGAAACTGAGCCCCAAGGAAGCAAAGCGACTTCCCTGAGGATCCAAGCAACTTATCGGCAGATCTGGGGCCACAATCTAGAACCAAAATGGGTCAACTTCTTGCAAACCCTTGACTCTTCATGTCTGCTTTAGTTCCAGAACTCTTAAAAGCAATCCTACCCATACTATTACTACCTTCTAGGGCAGAACAAAAGACAGATAGGACAGTCACCACTAGGATCTTACAGCCAGAAAAATGAAAGCTGTCTTCTCAGCCCCCAGGCAAGAGGCAAAGGTTGGGGAGCAGGGGAAAGAATGAGGACCTAGAGCTCCAAGTGAAACATAGGCACCTGCTGCCACCCAGCCAGGAGGCTGAGCCTGTCAGGCCCAGGAGCAGGGCGTTTCACTGTAACTTGGAGCCCTGAGTATATTTAATAAACATACTAAGTCTCCCCACACAAACAATCTCTGGAGGCAGCATCTGGCTTAGCCAGGGGCCGTTATGAGTAAGCAAGGCTTCCCACACATTCTGGTCATTCAGAATCCTCTGGACTTGATGCAGCCACCATCTCCCCGCTGCCAAGAATGTCAGTGATTGTCACTGAGGATGAAGCAGTGCCTCAGTCCAGAACCACATTTCACCACCTATTCTTCCCCTTCTTTTGCCAGTGGGAAAATGCAGCAGAGTGTTTGGCAAAGAGGAGGAGCACAGAAAGAAACACTCCTCCACCCAACCTACAAGCAGCCACACGATGCTACCGAGACCAGGGTCAGGAGCTCTGGCCGGTCAGCTGCAAGGGCTGGCATGGCCCACCCCAGATGTGGGCAGTCCTCACCACTGGCACTGGGCAGGCAGGTACCCGTGTGTCAGTGAAAACCCATCCACGCTCTTGGGAGGACAATTCAAGAGCAAAGAGCGGTGCCACATAGGACTACGAAGGCTGCCGTGGCAGGGTCTGCAAAAGTGGGCACCTCCAATATGGGCAGGGCTCAGGGTCCTGCTGTGCTTAAAATCCCTCTGCTTAAATCCTAGTAATTCCAACATTGATGTCATGTGATATTTATCCTGTCCCTCCCCTCTCCCTTTCTGAACTCTGACACAGAAGCCCAACAGGGAGATGCCGGATCCTCTAAAGACTTTAAGGTCTTCTTGTAACTGCTGGGGCTGATGTGGGTTACATAGGGTTTAATATTTTATTCTCTCTACTTTTGTGCATGACTGAAAATCTCTATAATAAAAGTTTTAGGGTCTTTCTCCAAAATAAAATTAGTTTATTTAAATAGTTCTGGGTCATGGGTGAATTTTAAAAGAAAACCTTTTTTAGTCAAAACAGTGAAAAATGTTATTAATAATAGTGATGATAACCTGTGGGGGGAGTGAGGGGGTAGAAATGAGTTATTCTTAAAAATTATTTTTATATTTTTGCAACTATCATGCAATAACAAAGTGTTGTTTTAGGGTTTGAAAAAAATGATTATTAGAAAAACATTAAAAAGAAGGCCCTCTGCAACTGCAGCCCAGGGTGCTGGGGAGGCAGATGCTCTGGGGGGCCAGGATGGAGGCAGCTGACCCTGTGCTGGGCCATCCAGGCTGGGATCCCGCTTTGCTTTGGGAAAAGGCCAGTGTGTTGATCTGACACCACTCCCACTGTATGCAGATCAGCCAAAGCAGGTGAATTTAAGAGAGGATTAAAGAGAACGTGCCCAGTGGTGATGAGCTAAAGTGCATCACCCCTTTGCCCCTTCTACAGGGCTTGCTGATGAGAGATTTGTATTCTTTAAAGAGTGGCAAGCACCAGAAAGGGCTCTGAAAACAAGAGGGGAGGTGAGTATCAGAAACGCAAAAGAGTACAGGAGGCTTCATATATCCTCTATTGTGAACGTTTTGTGCAGTGCCCATCCTATTCCAGAAAGAACATGCTGGATAATACCAAGGTAACCGCTCTTCAACCAGTCCCTCTCTGATTCTCCACTTTGTCCTATGGTTGTCAGGAATCAGTCCTTCTGGTCGCCATCATTTATTGCTTTTCCTGATGTTCCCCTCTCCCCTCTTACTAACAAATCACTATTTCCCACTCAGTCTAATATGAGTACTCTAACCTTTATCATCTTGCAGATTCTAGAGCTGGAAGGAATCACAGCATCTTGCACAAACCCCTCATTTTACAGAAGAACCAAGGTTCAAAAGCCAAGTGACTGCCAAAAGGTACTCCACTTATTGGGTACGGAAGTAGAACCAGAATGCAGGACTTCTGACCTCCAATCAACTCTGCACAGTTCTTCTGTTCTGTCTACTCTGTTTAGCACCTAATTATATACAGCCCTGCTCCCTCTTATTATTTTGTATATAATTAGTGTTGCCCCAGGCCAGGCGCGGTGGCTCACGCCTGTAATCCCAGCACTTTGGGAAGCAGAGGCAAGCGGATCACAAGGTCAGGAGTTCAAGACCAGCCTGGCCAAGATGGTGAAACCCCGTCTCTACTAAAAATACAAAAATTAGCTGGGTGTGGTGACGCATGCCTGTAGTCCCAGCTACTCAGGAGGCTGAGGCAGAAGAATCGCTTGAACCCAGGAGACGGAGGTTGCAGTAAGCCGAGATCACACCACTACACTCCAGCCTGGGTGACAGAGCGAGACTCTGTCTCAAAAAAAAAAAAAAAAAAAAAAAAAAAACAAAAAATTAGTGTTGCCTCATGATCTCATTTGAAAGCTACCCGAGGTTGAAGACCATGATTGTCTCTCGTTTCCTCTGAAGGTTAAGACCACTGAAATCAGACCTGCAAACACTGCCATTTAATGAAGATAGGAGCAAGGATAGAGATGTCATGTAAGGCTTCCTGAGACTCTACTTTCACCCAGACATGAAGTGGAAGGTGGATTCAGATGGCCAATCAACAGAGGAAGACATTCCAAGGAGAGAGAAAGAGGTGGGAATGCTAAGGCCACAGTGGGCTGCCTTTGGTGGCAGCAAGCAAGGCAAGGTAAGACCTGAAGGATCAGATCATGGAGGACCCTGAATGGTGGCATAAATTGTTTGGATTTGCTCAGTCCCCGTGAACTCTTCCTTCTTTCTTCTCCCTCCTGTCCCCTTACTCCACCAATTACAAGTCCTCTCATACTTGAAAACACTGCTAAGCCGCTATAAGGTTTCCCCTAAACATGTCATTCTACTTCACTCCAGAATTCCCCCAGCAATTAGGCACACCTCACAGTAGCATACATATTCATTCAACACTTTTGAGTGTGTACTCTGCACAAGATGAATGAGAAAGGAAAACAGTTCTCAAGGGCTTTGGTATCCATAAGAAGGCTAAGTCGTGAGTACAAATACCTATAATAGAAAACAGAACATTAAGTGCTGCACTCAGGCATTTATTTGCACTTATTTATGGACCTTCTTTATATGTGTTCTGTCTCTTTTACATATTGGTCCTCCATTCCCATTAGGGCTGAATGTTTCTTAAAGACAGAACTGCATCTTTATTTCTGTGTTCACTCTACAAATGCCTAGAATATTACTCCACAAACAGGAGATTCTCGATAATGTTGTTTACTAATAGGAGATTAGAAACCTGCTGGCATTCTTCTGCTTCACAAGCCTATATAAGTTTCCTTCTCTGGAAATAAATATATCACCTGTAAAATGTCATCTCTGTTGACATACAGCAAGTACACTTAGCTCACTCAAATATTCAGCACAGCCTACAAGGGCAGACGCTCAAGAAAAAAGCTTCAGATAATCATTTTTCTTGGCTTCCATTCTTCCCTCCTCAATGAATTCTGAGCAGAAGGCGAATTAATTTATCATTGAACATCTCTGTTTTAATTAATGATTGTGTATCAAACACTATGTAAGTCTGGTTAGCCCCACTGGTTTCCTGAAGAAGCCCCAGGACAGTTAGTTTCGTTTATTCTGTGGCCACAGGAAACACTCCTATTCCTTAACAAAAACAGGTTGAAAGCAAGGAACCATGGCTTGTAAGTCTTTGTATCTCCAGAACCCAAGACAGCATCAATGGAAGACATGCTCAATAAGTCTACATCAGCGTTGATGCAGTGATAATGAAACGTCAGTCCTACATGCCTATTAATCACCTGAAGGCCTGAAGGTACATGGGTGAGTCACTCCAAGATGGCCCTATGAGGTCAGTTTCTCATAGCACACTGAGCTACAGATGTGCACAAAATATCTTCCCATCACCTCTTTGACAGACCTTGGGGACAGTCAGTCCCCAGGCTGGTCAGCTCCATTTGTAAGTAGCCTCATCCACTTCCCGTAGTGCCATATAATTGTTATTTATAGAAATCACTGTGTCAGGCAACCATCTGTGAGGGACACTGATGCCGAATTCCTCCCTTGAGTAGGTGCCTGTATCAGACGACAGATGTGGGGTTCCTTCCCACTCAGACTCCATATTTCTCATTTTGCTTCTCCTCTCTCTCATGGACTCTAACTCTCAGGTTCCAATTCTGCCATTCCCAACCCCCTTCTCTTTACTCATCTCTTGATTTGTGATGATTTGTACTCTCTTATTCACTCTCCTGCTGCCCTCCTAGAAATTCATCTTGGTTTTCCTCTTTGCCCAAAGATACACAAAGCTCATTCCAAATGAGCATCCCCATTAGTTTGGGGCACAACAAGATTAAAACAAAACAGAGATAATAAAGTAATCATGTTCATTGTTTCTCCAATCTGGGAAACATCGGAAAGAATCCCTTTTTACTTTGACCACTTTGCATAGCTCTCTCTGCCGTTCATTAGGGTGGAATGTAGGAAGAGCAGTGAAGATGGGAGAGCAACACAAGAATGCACGTAAGCTGTCGGAAGGCAGAGCTGACCTAAACCCATGCAGACCTCTTTCTGGAAGTACTAAGAAGACATAATTAAAACATCTTTATCTGAACATTTTCCTGTCACTTAGACCCTAAGGCTCCATGTATCGAAGGGGAGAAAAATAATAATGGTTTCCACTTGTTAAGCATCTACTCGGCTGGGCGTGGTGGCTCACACCTGTAATCCCAGCACTTTGGTAGGCCAAGGTGGGTGGATCACAAGGTCAGGAGATCGAGACCATCCTGGCTAACACGGTGAAACCCCATCTCTACTGAAAATACGAAAAAATTAGCCGGGCATGGTGGCAGGCACCTGTAGTCCCAGCTACTTGGGAGGCTGACGCAGGAGAATGGCGTGAACCTGGTCAGCGGAGCTTGCAGTGAGCCAAGATCATGCCAATGCACTCCAGCCTGGGAGACATAGCGAGACTCCATCTCAAAAAAAAAAAAAGGCATCTACTCTACTCTAAGCTGGACATTGGACCAGGTGCATAGCATACATTAATCTTCACAACCACATGCAAGAGAGGTGCTATTGCAATTGTACATGTAACAAACTGTATTGGTTTGTTTTCACACTGCTATAAAGAACTGCCCAAGGCTAGGCAATTTATAAGGAAAGAGGTTTAACTGACTCACAGTTCAGCATGGCTGGGGAAGCCTCAGGAAACTTACAATCATGGTAGAAGGGGAAGCAAGGCACCTTCTTCACAAGGAGGGAGGATGGAGAATGAATGCAGGAGGAACTACCAAACACTTATAAAACCACCAGATCTTGTGAGAATTCACTCACTATCATGAGAACAGCATGGGGGAAACTGCCCCCATGAGTCAATCACCTCTACGTGGTCTCTCCCTTGACACATGGAGATTGTGAGGATTATAGGGATTACAACTCAAGATGAGATTTTGGGCGGGGACACAGCCAAACCATATCACAAACCAACAAGCAACAATAACAACACAACCCAGGCTCAGAAGGCACAGGGGATGTGCCCAAGCTCCCACAATAAGCATGTGAAGCTGGGTGAAGATTCGGAATCCACACCCAGCTTGGGCCTCTCCTCAAGAAGCTATATTGTATTGCCTGGGTTAGAGGGCAAGGGGGTTAGAGATAAAAATAGCAATGTTTTAACTTACAATATATTTGAGAAGGGAGTGATGGATGCTGGTATTTACAACAATGCCAGCAGAGAAAATAGTTTCTAATTTCATATTGTAATACTATTCCAATGTTGTGTTGCTTCAATTCCTTTGATATCTATACCCTAACTTGGCAATTCCTTCCCTGCTCTGGATGTCAGATAAGGTTGGAAGACTGTCACAGCAAATTCCCTGGCTAGTTGTACAACAGCCATTCTGTTGCCAGGGAGATCTTGTAAAGTGGGGCAAGTGATTCCCAGGCACAGCTGGTTTCATTCTTCAGAGCAGGGAAGAGTTGTCATTTCTAACCAACACATCTTGCCCTGTCTCTCCCCTGCTTAATACCTTGAAATGGGAATTTGCCCATGCCAATCCCCTACCATGACTGACCCAACCTACCCTCTCTAGCTCATCTGTCTCTCACAGCATCTGCCTACCTGTATACCAAGTCACACAGCCACATCCAGCTTCTTGCAATTCTATGCCACATTCTTTCCTATGTCTACACTATTGCTCATGTTGTCCCCACTGCCTATAATGCCTTTCCTACCTTTTCCACCTGAAAAGCCTCCACTCAATCCCTGACTGAATGTTACCTTCACTAAAAAACCTTCCCAGAGTCAGTCACTCCCTTATGCCCTACACTGAATTCCACCATACCACTTAACTGCAACATAATCATTGTGGGCTGGTATGTTGTTCACTTCTACAATATTTGACACCCTCAAGAACAAGAAGCAGGTTTGCTTTGTCTGTTTCTGGCCCAGAACCCAACTTAGCTCTCAGTAGGTGCTCAGCAAGTGTTTGTTGAATGAACAAACAAATAAGTGAATAAGCGGAATGTATGGCTCCGATTAAATCTGAGACAAGCAGAAAGGATGAAAGACAGAAAGACACAAAGACACACAGAAAGGAAGGAAGGAAGGCAGGAAGGAAAGGAGGAAGGGAGGGAGGGAGGGAGGGAGGGAAGGAGGGAAGGAGGGAGGGAGGGAGGAAGGGATTAGAAAGATTTCCCCAAGAGTGAGTTAAGTGCCTAGGGTTTTGTGTTTTTTTTCCCACCACTAAAATAGCAAAACTAGTAGATGATTAGAGGGGCTTTATCAGGGATGATCACTTAATAACCCCTTCCCAGGTATATCTTGCCACAAAGAACTTCTAATCCTCTCTGTAAGAAGAAAGTTTCTATCACTCTTATCTCTGATGAGCTCAGGAAAGGATTAAAACAAAACTGGTAGATTCTGCTTTCTCATATAGCTACAGTCTCAGCTGTGAAGCTGGGTCTAAGAGACAGAAAAGAGAGACCTGACTCAACATGAATGTGGACTGTGGTCCCTGTAGAGCCCCAGACAAAGATTGGGAAACTCTCTCCCTGATTTCCAAATAACAAGAGGAAATCACTTCTCTCAGGGATGGGGGTGCATATTGAAGAGGGGAGAGGGCAGCCTCTTTGGAGAAGGTTCAGAAAACACAGCCTCTTTGCTGATGGGCATTGCTAGGAAACGCTCTGATAATGCTGACAGCACCAGCCCCGTGGCATTTGGGCCTGAAAGTGACCCTGGTTCTCTAGATGGAAAGACTGGTCAAGGCTAAGCTTGAAACTCTCACACCCCAGCCTGAGGGTTCTGCCTTCCTCAGCTGTGTCAACCAGAGACTGTAAAGCCTCAGTCCTGACAATCCCCCTCCCTCCTCCAAAACAAGTTTCATGGTCCAAATCCTGGCCATCCATCAGGGCCTTTCTTATATTCCATTGGGGTGCACTGATTCTCCGACAGCCAAGTAGGGCTGCTTCCTCTGACTGGTGCTCCAAGGAGTTTTCAGGCCTGTTTTGGAATTCTCTAATCCCCACATTGAGGTCCAGCCCCCATCCATTCTCTTGACAAAATCCTGGAGATTTATTTAGTCTGGAAGATATCAATTTCTCTAGGCCAATTCTGTGATATTCAGCCTCAGGTCAAAATATGTTGGTAATAAGAGTCAACGTGTTTTGGAGTAATTACTATATATGTTTTGACTACATTATCACATTTCATCTTCTCAGTAATCTGCTGAAGCAGAAACTAGTACTATAACCTTTTCCTCTGATGAGGAAACTGAGGCACAGAGTGGTTAAGTAACTTGCCTGAGGTTGCACAGATAATGACAAGTCAGGACTATATCCCTAGCAGTCTGACCGCAGCACTCTTAACCAATATGCCTTGTATGTGGTACAGTATCTGAAACATAGTAAATGCTCCACAAACATTAGATGTTAATATTATTATTTAAATAGGTTAAGCTCAGTTCCCTTCAGGCAATTCTTGGCAAAGAAAGAAAAATAAATGAATAGGTCATTATTATTTATATTCCTATCATCTAAATATTTTACTTGCCATGAGCAAGGAGTTGGTTGTATACTTTTAAATCTCTTATTATTTGCAGGTTATTACAATACTTATCACCCCATATAATAATTACTTATTTACTGTGTCTTTTGTACAGATCTGTGAACTCTTAGAGGGCAAGGTTTTATGTTTCTCTAGGTAGCTAGTACCTAGTACAGTGTTTCACACTGAATAGATGCTCAATAAACATCTGTTCTATGAATGGATGAATGAGCTAATCAAATACTTTAGAATCAAAATGCAGAGGAATATTCCAGCCACAACCAAATCAAACTGGGTAAACATAGTCTAGCGCAGTTGTTCTCAGAGTGTGGCCCCTGGACCTGCAGTGTCAGCATCATTTGGGACCTTGTCAGAAATGCACTTTCTTGGGTCCTGGTGCAGAGTCCAGATCAGAACTCTAGAGGAAGCTCAGCAATCTGTGTTTTAATAAGCCCTTTAGGTGATGCTTGCTAAAGTATAATATAAATAAGAAGTCTACCATGAGTAGCTTTAGCTGCTACATTGATGTATCATAACTAGGAGTAAAAAAAGAGAGAGAGAGAGAACTGGGGAAGGAGAAAGCTTGAGGTTGAGTGGGGAGGAGGAAAGATGACAGAAGGCTGTGGGGAGAGATGGAGAGGGAGGAGAAGAGGAGTGGGTGACAAGGAGATTGATTCACCTTGCAATTGCCTCTGAATCAAATGGGTTCATGATCTCAACTGGTTGCTGCCATAGCAACAGGTACAGCCCCTCCCACAACCCCTTCTCTAGGATGACCGGGCATCAGACACACCTACACTGAGTCCTGAAGCCTGCAGAAGGATGTAAGTTTCAGGAGTTGGAAAAACAGAGGGGAAAGCTTAAGGGAGGATCTTCCCACTTGGGCTCTGGCCCCAGTAGGGCTCCTGGAAAGGCTGCTTCATAGCATAAAGGTAGAAGAAAGCTGTTCTGTCTCAACAAGCGGTGAAGACATATCTGGCTGAAAGCCAGTGTAGAGGTGCTGGGGTGTGTCCTCTGAACGCCAGGTCATACCATAACCAAGTCTGGCTAGGATGGCATGGCTTCCCTGTGGGACTTCTTGCAGGAAAAGAATGATCGGCTTATGAGGAAAAGGAGAGAGAGCCCATCGTAGAGGCAGGGTTAGAAGCAGAGGAAGGCACAGCGAAGTGGGGGTTCAGAGAGCAGGGATGGGTTACTCCAGAAGCCAGGTGAGGGGACATACCTGGAGTAGGAGAACAGAAGCAGAACTCACACAAAAATTCAAGGTTGGAGGCTCTGATAGGCTCCTGCCTCTGTGGATAATGAGGGGCAGAAGGCTCACAACACTGTCACTGGCCTTTGCTGGAGTTTCTAGGGCACCCACAAGGCTAGCATACACATAATTGGCCTCCCGAATAAAGCCAAGATGGGGACTGCAAGAGGAGGACATCAAGATAAGCAAACTGCACAATGCTCTACATGTTCGATGGAAATAACTTAGTAAAAGCAAGTTTACAGCCAATTAGACATTAAAAGTAAGATATAATTGCTGTTGCTATGTTTGTTTCCAAGAAGAAATGTGTTATGATTAGACTAACAGGCTAGTGTTAGAATTCTGAGCAAACTGCATGGAAGACAGTCTCGCTTTCTCTCTTGCCTCTTGAGAGAGGGAAGCAAATGACAAAACGCTGAATCAATAAACTATGGCTATGTTCAGAGTATCTGCCCTTAGATAATCTTTGTGCAGCCTTGAACCCTTTTGCCAGGGAGGGGAGAATGTGCTGAGAGATTTCTCATACCTGATTTCTTTTAATCCTCATAATGACCCAATGAAGTCATCATTATCACCCCCATTTTAAAGAAGAGCAAAGTGAGCTTAGAGGTGTGAACTGACACGTAAGTCATAAAATGAGAGCTAGAATTCAAACCCACATCTGCCTAACTTCAAAGACCACGCTCACTGACCCACAACAAAGGGCATGATCGGTCCACATTAATGGAAAGGGGTGCAAACTGGTGGGCCATCAATTACCCAAGGTCTGTGATGCCTTCTCCAGCCAAAACTGGGTATCTACCTGGACAGGTTATCTCTGTGAGACATCATAGGCTAATAGGAAAACCCTGGCCTTACCTCTTTCTTCTTTGTTCTGTGACATCGGGTAAATCCCTTAACCTCTCCATGCTTTAGTTTCTCAATTTGTACAATGGGAATGATAATTCCTATCATGGGATAGCGCTTTGAAAATTACATGTGAAGTACAGTTTGAGGCCAGGCACAATGACTCATGCCTGTAATCCCAACACTTTGGGAGGCCAAGGCAGGCAGATTACTTGAGGTCAGGATTTCAAAACCAGTATGGCCAACTTGGTGAAACCCTGTCTCTACCAAAAATACAAAACTGAGCCGGGCGTGGTGGCAGGCGCCTATATTCCCAGCTACTCAGGAGGCTAAAGCATGAGAATCGCTTCAACCTGGGAGGTGGAGGTTGCAGTGAGCTGAGATGGTGGCACTGCACTCCAGCCTGGGTGACAGAGCAAGATTCCATCTCAAAAAAATAAAAAAGTGTAGTCTGACAGTTATTAATAATTCCCCTCTCCACCTCTCTGCCTACCATGGTATTCATTGTGCAGTTCACTTCTCTGCCCCTTAACTGCCTCATCTCTACATTGCATGAATCGGAAACAGTGCAGCTAAAACACTCGCTCAAGCTATGGCAAGCAGAAAGCATTCGGTAAGTATTAGCTATGGTGATAAGAATGAATTTGAATGCCTGGAGTGGATACCATGATATTATACTCAGGTTCTGCTTTCAGGGCAGACACTCTTATTCCCCAGCTGCTGCACCCTTCCTTGGAAACTGCCCCTTGCCTCGATTAGAGACACCTCTGAAGGGACATCCAGTTCTGGTGGTGCGAGTCAGCCTTTCCTCTGTTGAACTTTGGCTTTTTTGCATCCTCAGGTGTATCTTCCCAAAGCACACTTCGAAAGACGTTCTGCTTGCAATTCTCTTTTGCAGAGCTGACTTCCAGGGAAACCAACCTAAGATAGTACCTATATCATACAGGGTGCTAATAAAAAGTAATTGACAACAGTAATAATATTCTCCAAACTCAAAAAGACTATGGTATTTTTTAGGAAACTACTGGAAGCTTTAAAACATTGTTGGCTGGACTGTGCATTCTTTGAATACATGGATTGTGTCTTGAATGTCTTTATGTTTCCTCCAAGTGCCCTGTAGATGGCAGATGCTCCAGAAACATTTGACTTGTACAGGTTCTATTTCCATTTAGCCCAGAATCAAATCAATCTGCATGGGTCCAGGGGGTACAAATTTCATTTCCACGGTGTTGACACATGTGACTCATAACTGGAACACACAGAGGCTCAGCAATAAGGAACTTTATAAATGAAATTCCTCTGACAGGACAACTTTGTAAAACTGGGCCAAACAAATCACATCAGGAAGTGGGTTATATATGGGCTATGACTGTCATTAATTCTTTTTAAATTAAATATTAAATATGTAACAAAGCCCACATCTGTAAATACAGGTGTTACTGACCTGATCCCCAGCATCCTAGCAAGAGGGGCATAAGCTCCTTGGGGGCCAGCCAATCCCCAGCAGCAGGCTCCTTTCAACACCTGCTCCCACCCCATGCCTTGACCAGGATGACACAGAGAGCCAGTGGCAGCACTTGGAATAAAAGCCAGCTCCCTTACTCCCAAACCTGTATTCTTGGGTTACTCTATACCCTCTATAAACTGGCTCCTCTGGAAATGTACGGATACAAGAAAAGAGGAAAGGCACAAGCATTGCTCATTCAGTGCAAAGAAACAGGTTAGCTCCCCACTCTTGCTATCCCTCAGGAATATCTCTGTGGAGACTACAGGGTGAAGAGAAGTTGAGAAAAGAGGTGTCATATGAAGAATGTGTAGCTGCCAATATTGCATCAGCTTATTCAATTCAAGGTGAATCTGGTTCAGTCTGAAGTCTTTGGGGCTACACTGGGATGAACTCTTTTAGAATATCAGACAGATTTGTTGCTGTTGATACCATCTCCTGCACTTCGTGCCCTAATTCTGAACTCCCCTGAAAATCTGAGTTCCAGTGGGATCTTGAGATCTACTTGAAACCTGAGGTAAATCTGATCTCCCTGGGCTTATGGAGTCTTCAAAGGGATCTAGGAATGCCCATGTGGATCATGTGTCTCCCACAAAGGATCTGTCAATGCAAAAAAGTGGTCAAGCCCGGGGTTCCTCAGCTCTCTACTTTCAGCTTGCAATGAGGGAATAAAATGGGCATTTTGCCAGTTGAGCTTTCAGTCTAATCCCTGGAAGCTGAAGATCTATCTCCTCCTCTTCCTCCCTCAGGTGCTCCAGGGTTTACTTCACACTGACAAGCACCATCCCACTGAGGGGGCAGGCAGGAGGCCTATCTCACCACCCAGCCATACTGCAACAACGCCCTCTCCTTCTGGGAATACGGCCCAGGCACTCCTCTGGAATCCTGAACACACTCCAGGCACCTCTCTTCTTGCTGAACACCACCTATGCTCAGAGCACGATGCTGGGGGAGCACACTGTGAGAGGACACCTCTGGTATCAGGCAACTTAAGATATATTCAGAGAGACTGAAAACTGCAAGGATTCAAGGCATAGCAGATGATATACAGGCAAGAAAAAAGACATTTAGAGAGGGGGATAGAGCCTGAAGGTTTGAATGGTCCTACAAGACTTTCTCAAAAGTCATCACCCTGGACCTGAAACATCAGAGCTCTTTCCAGAGTAAGTCTATTCTCAGAGGTCTCCAACAACAGCCCAGACTAATCAGCACACAGCCTGGGCTGCAGGACTACCTATAGTTACCTAATTAACTGAGGATCATGCACCTGGCTGGCAGCTCGGCCACCCTGGGCACCAGGCCGAGAAAGCTCCCCTATTCTGCAGCTATGCAGCGTCAGGCCAGGTTTGTTTGTTCTTGGAGAGTAGGCCTTCAAAGAGCCCTGGGGCTGAGGGTGAAAAACCCAGGGCTCCTGCCAGCCAGGCCTTCCAGCTGCCTGAGAGCAATTTCAGAAGGTGCTGGCCAGCCTGGCCTGGGAGGAATTAGGTCAGGGTCAGAAAAAACAACACTTGGGAGGTAAGCAGAACTTGAAACCAGTACACATGGACAGCCTCTGTTGGAGACCTCTGGCTGAGAATAGACTTACTCTGGAAAGAGCTCTAATGTTTCAGGTCCCAGGGTGACGACTTTTGAGAAAGTCTTGTAGGACCATTCAAGCCTTCAGGCCCTATCCCCCACTCTAAATGTCTTTTTTTCTTGTCTGTGTATCATTTGTTATGCCTTGAATCCTTGCAGTTTTCAATCTCTCTGAATACATCTGAAGCTGCCTGATACCAGAGGTGTCCTCTCACATGGTGCTCCAAGCATAGGTGGTGTTCAGTAAGAAGAGAGGTGCCTGGAGTGTGTTCAGGATTCCAGAGGAGTGCCTGGGCCGTATTCCCAGATGGAGAGGGCGTTGTTGCAATACAGCTGGGTGGTGAGATGGACCTCCTGCCTGCCCCCTCAGTGGGATGGTGCTTGTCAGTGTGAAGTAATTGACAAATGTTTTCTTTTTAAATAATAACCAAAGTAAGAGATGAATGAATATTAGGTTTTAAGGCGGGGTGGGGGGGCATGTTAATTACACTGCTTTGTCCCATGCATGAAGACAAAGCCCTCAGGAAGAGGTGGAGAGTTCATCTCACCTGGCACCACAGAATTGTTTTCTAGCTGGTTTGAACAACACTATGGCAAGACAGTAGCAGAAAAAGTGTACTAATCTGTTCTTAATTTCTAGGTACTTATTTTGTCTTTGTACATTAAATTACAAAGGCAATATGTATACAACTGCATACAAAGATGTATATAGAAAAAGTTACTTGCCCCCACCCTCCCCCCATTCCCATCCTGCTGTGGTAAGTGCTTATGGCCCGATGTGTTTTCTTCCCACCTATCTTCATGCACATTCAAACTTACACATAGCATTTTGCTATTTTTTTGAATGGGATCATACTATACACATTACTCTGTAACTTGCTTTTCTTATTTAAAAAACACACTGTGAATGTGCCTCCAGGACAAGCACCTAGATCTAAACTCATTAAAGTAGACCCACACAGACGCACAGAACCACAGGTAGGCAACATTCCACTAATCTTCCTACTCATGTTAGCCAATCTGATGGATAAAGAATTGGTCCAATTTATTGCTTTAATTTGCATTTTTCTGAGTTTTAGCATCATTTCAGGTGTTTATTGGCCATATGGTTTGCCTTTCCTTTGAATCGCTTACTCTCTTCCTTTGTCCATATTTCTATATGTTGTCTTTTTCTTATAAATGTATAGAGGCTCTTTATATATACTTATATTAGAATTTTTTTCACGTGTCATTTTTCTCAGTGTATTAATCATTTGTTGACATTACTTATGGTGTCCTTTACCATAAAAAATTTGTAATTTATATATAATCATTTTTAATGTTACTAAGTCAAATATGAGAGTTCCCACTAAAACTGAAAATATTCATGTTTTTTCCCTCTCAATCTTATTTAGGGGTGCCCTCCTACTTCATGAATATAGATTGAACTTACAGATTGAAGTAAGACAATTCACACTACAGAAACTCCACAAGTGTATTTGATAGAAAAGTTGGAGAGAAATAATAGTGAAATAACCCCTCCCTGGCCATTAGAAAAATACATGTTGCAAACAACTTTTCCCCACAACTCACTCCATGTAGAAGGCTAAGCAAAGAGCATCAGCTGCTTCACTGCTTGTCCTGAGACTGAAACTCCTCAACACCAAAGTCCTTCCAGTTAGTTAATCCCAAACCTGCCTCTGATCCTGGTCTTCCTTGGATGGGCATCACCCAAGCAAGCACCTCCTCACATCTTCAGATCCTTCAGTAACCCCTGCCCTGGGAAGCCCTCCCCAGACAGAGGGACTCCGTGCTACCACAGCTTCTCTGTACTCCTAGGATTTGCATTTACCATTTCCTACGGTAATTGTTTACCTGTCATTCTTACTTATATTCCCAGTCCCTATCACTGGGCCTGAGACATAGTATTTACTCCTTAAGTAGTTGCTGAAAGAAAGTGAGCAAAGAAAAAAAGGCAAGAAAATCAAGAAAGAAGCACTAAAATCCAAATCTGAATGTTAGCAGTTAACTGCCAACTCAAGATCAATCAGTAATGAATGTTAAACACTGCTGAAATTACAGGGAAAGTTAATGAAGGAGAAAAAAGGATTCCATTTACAAAAAGCTGATTGACACACAAGATTTCAAGAACATGCCTGGTTCCTAAAGAAAGGCCCGCCTACACTTCGGGGTTGCAGGGCTGTCTTTCTCTCGCTACCATATTTCACTCTAGGACAAATGGGTTTTGGTCAAAGTCTAAATATTCACTTTTTAGACTCCTAATGAGTTTTGGAATGATCACTATCATTCAGCCCTAACTGCAGCCAATTTTCTCTGAGTTAATCTTGACATCAACACCCCACCTAAAAGCCTTTTCTATGATAAAAAGAAGATTCATGTGATAGCATTCACACTTCAAGCTCACATCTTCCAGAAGTGATATATTTTTGAATTGACTATAAGACTACAGAGAAGGCACTGGCAATGAGCTCCTGGGAGAAAGAATTTCAATTTTTTAATAGAAGAATGATAATTTAATTATACAGAGTCCTTCTTGAGAAACAGAGCCACTGTATCCACTCTGTAAACCCTGGACATTTACTCTGACTTGGTCTCATAAGGTCCCTGAGTGTGAGTTTGCTGACGAATCTAAGAAAATGGAAAGTTCTGAGGCACCCCCAGTGATCAGTCCTGAATCAGCAGCTGAACACGTGCATTTGCAGTAGGGCAATCGAGGTTCTCACTTAGGACAGGTTCCAAAGGTTATCGACATTGACTCAAGAGACACACAGTCCATCTCAACTTCTTCATCTCATTATCTCATCATCTTCAATAGCTTCTGGGTGATTTTTTTCGCTTTTAAAAAATATGACTTAACTAATCCTATTTTTTAAAACTCTAGCTTACAGCATTAAAGAATATTTCCAATGATCTCAAATGCCAATTTCACAATACAGAAATAATTACTTCCCTTTAATACTAAAATGAATATGAACTAAATGCCAATAACATGGGGTGGGAGACGGTTAGAAAGAGAAAGCAGAGGTGGGTGGAAAAGACATGACACTAAAACAATGAGATTATTGTATCACAATTCTAACAAGTTTAGCAACCTGTAGCCTCACCCACTGAATAAGCATGTTAGTGACACAATTTAAACCTTAATCTTCCTAATTTGTAATAATTAAGAACACCTGGGAAGAAGCCTGGTGCTTATACAGCATTCCCTTACCCTGAACCACTGTGCTGCCCAGTGAATTCCCTCTGACCCTCCTGAAGCCAACATCAGTGTTCCCAACACACTGTTCTCATGGTGGCCTTCCTCTGCTTAGAACCCTGCAGTGGCTCTACTTTGCCCACTAGTTAGACACCATGACACAACAGTCTGGGCCTCATCCATTTACCGAGCCTTATCTCCCCCCACTCCTAAGGAGGATCCCTCTCAGAAACATTCACGGTCCTTTGATAATGCATTACATTTTCCAGATACAGGTACCATTTCCTCTTCCCAAGATGCCCCATTTTCATATTCTGTCAATTGATAACTCTTCCTATAAGACCTAGTTCAATAGCTTTCCCTTCTGTGAAACATCTTGCTCTGTGAACAGCTCTCCTTCTTGAATCAGTTACTGGTAACCCCTGCAGTACCTGTAACATTGTAAGTGGTAAATAAATATTTATTGAATGAAATGGATAAATGTTCACTGAAATGAACTGAATTTTGAAATTCTTCCTTGTTCTTTCATCTTGCTAGAGTATCTATCATTCTTTTTTATAGGATTTGTTTCTTCTAACTATAAAAGTTATATATGAACATTTAGAAGTACAGAAAAGCATAAACGGGAAAACAAAAATTACCCACAATCATTACCTAGAGATAACCACTCTCATTACCCTTTTAATTGCACATTTTACACCAATGCAATTAAGAAAATTTGTGTAGTATGGAAGTCCTACGCCCTGGGCATGTTTTCCTGAATTTAGATCAAGTAGCATACTCTACACTAACCCAGCATTTGGTTGACCAGAATCTCTGCTAATGAGCACTCCTACTTAACAGTACAATGAAAGCAAATGTTCTTGGTGATGACTACAGAGCCCCATAAGTTTCTGAAGTGCTTTCTCTTCATGAAAGAGAAAGTGAATCATAAATTCATAGAGCTTTACTGCTCGGAGGGACCTCAGAGAACGTCTATACTTACACTACCTATACTTCCTCCTCTGCATTTGCTGACATGACTAACAATTCCAGGTACTTTTCATAGATGGGTTTGGACATGGTCTCAGAATCTTTCTCCAGTAAACCATGTCCATACACTGAAAACTGCATGCAAGGTAAATCTAGTTGTCATCTGAGAGTCCATGGCCTCACCTTGTAAATGGTGAAAGGCCCTGAGAGAGGCTGAGTAACTTCCCAAGGTTCAAAAGTCCATGAAAGGCACAGCAGAAAGCAGAATTCTCTAACCTGGCTTTAGTGTTCTTTTCTTTTTTTCACACATCTAAGACACGAGATTAGTTCTACAGGCATACCTCATTTTACTGTACTTTACTGCACTTCGTTTTATTGTACTTTACTGCACTTCACAAATGTTGCATTTTTTACAACCCTGAGTCTAATAAGACTATGGATGCTATTTTTCCAACAGCACATGCTCGCTTCGTGTTTCTGTGTCACATTTTGATAATTCTTGCAATATTTCAAAATTTTTCATTATTATTATATCTGTCATGGTGATTTGTGATCAGCAATCTTTGACGTTACTATTATAATTGTTGTGGGGTACCATAAGTCATGTTTATGTAAGTTGGTATGCTTAATTGATAAATGTTGTGTGTTATGACTGCACCATTGACCTGCCATTCATTCCCCCATTTCTGTCCCTCTTTTTTGGCCTCCCTATCCCCTGAGACACAACAATATTGAAATTGGGCCAGTTAATAACCCTAAAATGGCCTCTAAGTGTTCAAGTGAAAGGAAGAGTCACACTTCTCTGACTTTAAATCAAAAGCTAGAAATGATTAAGCTTAGTGAGGAAGGCATGGCGAAGGCTGAGATAGACTAAAAACTAAGCCTCTTACACCAAATGGCCAAATTGTGAGTGCAAGAAAAAGTTGTCGAAGGAAATTAAAAGTGCAACTCCAGTGAACACATGAATAAGAAAGCTAAATAACCTTTTGCTGATACAGAGAACGTCTGAGTGGTCTGGATGGAAGATCAAACCAGTCACAACATCCCTTTAAGCCAAAGCCTAATCCAGAGCAAGAACCTAAGTCTCCTCAATTCTGTGAAGGCTAATAAAGGTGAGAAAGCTGCAGAAGTTGGAAACTAGCAGAGCTTGGTCCACGAGGTTGAAGGAAAGAAGCCGTTTCCATACATGAAAGTGCAAGGTGAAGTAGCAAGTGCAGATACAGAAGTTACAGCAAGGTTTCCAGAAGATTAAGATAATTGATAAAGACGGGTACACTAAACAACAGATTTTCAATGTAGATGAAACAGCTTCATATTGCAAGAAGCTGCCATCTAGGACTTTCATAACTAGAGACGAGAAAATCGTAAGTAGAGAAGACGACGTTTGGCTTCAAAGACTCAAAGAACAGGCTAACTCTCTTGTTAGGAGGTTAATGCAACTGGTGACTTTAAGTTAAAGCCAATGTTCATTGGCCATTCCAAAAATCCTAGGGCCCTTAGGAGTTATGCTAAATCTACTCTGCTTGTGCTCTATAAATGAAACAACAAAGCCTGGATGACAGAACATCTGTTTACAGCATGGTTTCCTTAATATTTTAAGCCCACTGTTGAGATCTGCTTCTCAAAAAAAAAAAAAAAAAAAAAAGATTCCTTTCAAAATACTGATAATGCACTTGGTCATCCAAGAGCTCTCATGAACATGCACAAGGAAATTAATGTTGTTTTCATGCCTGATAACACAACATCCATTCTGTAGCCCATGGATTAAGGAGCAATTTCAACTTTCAAGTCTTATTACTTAAGAAATGTACTTCATAAGGCTATAGCTGCCATAGTGATTCCTCTAATGGATCTAGGCAAAGTAAACAGAAAACTTTCTGAATAGGATTCACCATTCTAGATGCCATTAAGAACATTCATGATTCATGGGAAGTGGTAAAAATATCAATATTAACAGACATTTGAACAAAGTTGACTCCAACCCTCATGAATGACTTTGAGGGGGTTCAAGACTTCAGTGGAGGAAGTAACTGCAGATGGGGTGAAAACAGCAAGAGAACTAAAAATAGAAATAAAGCCTGAAGATGTGACTGAATTGCTGCAATCTCATGATAAAATTTTCATTGATGAGGAGTTGCTTTTTACTTTTTGAGATGAAATCTACTCCTGTAAAGATGCTGTGAATGTTGTTGAAATGACAACAAAAAATTTAGAAAATTACATAAACTTAGTTGATAGAAGAGCAGCAGGGTTTGAGAGGATTGACTTCAGTTTCAAAAAAAGTTCTACTGTTGGTAAAATGCTACCAAACAGCATTACATGCTATAGAGAAATCTTTCACGAAAGAGTCAATGGCTGCAGCAAGCATCATTCTTCTCTTATTGCTATAGTTTGGAAATTTGACCCTCCAAATCTCATGTTGAAATTGGATCTCTAGGGTTGAAGGTGGGGCCTAATGGGAGGTGTCTGGGTCATGGGAGTGGATCTCCCATGAATAGCTTGATGCCTGGTGCCATCCTAATGATGACGAGTTCTCCATTCTTGCTCTATTAGTTCTGTCTAGAATTTTTAAGAGCCTGGTACCTCCCTCCCCACTCTCTTGCTTCCTGCTCTCACCATGTGGCAGGCTCCCCTTCGCCTTCCACCATGAGTGGGAGCAGCTTGACGCCCTCACCAGAGGCAGACGCCAATGCCATGCTTCTTGTATAGATTGCAGAACTGTATGGCAAATAAAAAGCTTTTCTTTATAAAATATCCAGCCTCAGGTATTCTTTTATAGCAAGAAAAACACACTAAGACGTTTTAAGACACTGCCACAGTCATCCCAACCTTCAGCAACCACTACTCAGATCAGTCAACAGCCATCAACATTGAGGCAAGACCCTCCACTAGCTAAAGATTAAGACTTTCTGAAGGCTCAGATGATTGTTAGCAATATATTTCTTATTTAAGGTATGTAGATATGTTTTTTTGACACGATGTTATTGCACACTTAATAGACTACAATATAGTGTAAACATAACTTTTATATGCACTGGGAAACAAAAATTTGTGTGATTTACTTTATTGTCATTCACTTTATTGCAGTGGTCTGAAATCAAACCTGCAATATCTCCAAGGTATGCCCATATATTGTTTGAATTTAAAATGTATTTTATTGCTGTTCAATTTTTTCAAAATTTGTAATCTACGAAATCTATATAATGTTATTTAACAGTAATTTCTAAATTTATGGGCCCAAAAAATACCCATCCTCAAATTATTTAATCATTTAATCATTCAGCAAACATTTGAGAACTTTTTCTGTGCCTACTCTCTGTTAAATTCCAGCAAACAAAAATTATATAAAGTGTGGTCTTTTGTCCTTAAGGAACTTATTTTGTTATGTATATGTGTACATTAAAGATTTTAAGGTACACTATAATACATACCAAATAAGTAATACAGATGTCAAATGTTACACAAATTTTGAAAAGGGGTTTACCATTGTGGGCCAAATTAGTTAGGGAGAGCCTTCTGGAGATGGCGATTTTAACTGAGGGGTTGCATAATTGGAAAGGTGGGAATGGGGTTGGGGAATGTTTGTTGAATGACCAAATGGACTTCAATTGCAGCTGATGATGATTAATAATCATTGTGTCCCAGTTATAGTATCTGATTTGAGAAAAAATGATTGTTTTTCTTTTCCTAATTAGCCTAATAAAAGAAATTAGAAAATTTCCTTCACCACAGGAAGTCCAACTGTGAGGGTGTGTTGCTGCTGAAAGGTGCCCAGAAAAAGCTCCTAAGCATAAGTGGGCTGTCGCGGTTTTTTTAAGCAACACTTCAGATCTCTCCCTTGCATCTTCTGGATCCAGGCTCAAATAGACTTCCAGAAAAGGTGAGGGAAGGGAAGTAGAATTAGGAGAGCAAGGACAACAGGACAATGAAATGTGGAGTGGGAAGAGCTTCCCCAGGATTATGATCGGAATTGTGTCTCCCACCAAAATTCACCCCAAGGCCATAACTCCCACTATATTTGGAGACAGGGCCTTTTAAAGAGGTGATGTGGTTTAAAAATCAGGTCAATAGGGTGGGCCCTAATCCAACCTTACTGGTATTATTACAAGAAAAGTAAACTTGTACACAAAAGATGCATGCACACAGAAAAAGAACATGGGAGGACACAGCAAGAAGGGGGCCATCTGCAAGCCAAGGAGAGAGGCTCAGGACAAAACAAACCTGCCAACACCTTGGCTCTAGGACTCCCAGCCTCCAGAACTATGAGAAAGTAAATTTCTGTTTAAGCCAGTAGTCTGTGGTGTTTTGTTATGGCAGCCCTAGCAAATATACCCACCAACTACTCTAACATTACCTTCATAATCAGAAGAGGTTCCATCATGAAAGGGCCCTGACTCAGTGAAAGAACAGCCCTCTACTAAGCCAAAAGCTGGACTTCCCAGAGTTCCAAGCAATTACAGAAGACTCGCAGGGGAAGGAAATGAAAGATCTAGCCTTGGATATGCCAATGCTTCCTACAGCATAACCTAGGCATGGAAATAGGCATGAGGCAGCTCTGATGGACCAGTGCCATGGAGAGTTGGTGGAGTCCCTGTTGACCTAACTCATCCAGGAGCAGGGAGTAGGGACTCTGCTATTCTTGCTACTCAAGGACAGTTATTATGGCCAGGGGCATTCTTGGCAGTGACAAAGACCCCATACTGGATGTCTTAGCTCGGCAGGGTCTTGTATGCCCCTTGAGGAAGGGATGCACTCATGGCTGCATCAGGTATGACCCTCGCCACAGCTGACAAAGCTGGCTCAGTAACTAGAGGTTCCCCTACCTATGTATTGTAGAGATACTGAGCTTGGCACAGTGCAAGGCTAGGTAGCACAATAGGTCACTCAGTCTCTCGGCATCTTGGTTTCCTCATTGAAATTGAAAGATGGCTGATAACACTAATTTCATAGGGTTGTAGTAAAAAAAACTCGTGTGATACAGTCATGCTTTAAGCCATTAAGGAGCTCCATAAATGCTAACTAGTTGGCAGTTATTAAATTTATTCACTATATCTCATTCTGCTTATCTATGTTCTGTCCTCCCTTATTGACAGGCTGACTTGCAATGTGGATATGTGTTTTATATTCACAGATATACCTGGGATTATTACTGTTGAATTTTTTTCTGTCTCCCTTTTACATGTATTAGAGAACCACGGACATAGTAAGCATTTACCAAGCACCTAATTGGTGAATGTACAGTCGACTCTGTATGTTTGAAAATGACTCCATGTCTTTCTGTTAACCCATACTGAATTACCTTTAACACTCTCCACTCTTTTCCTGGTTTATGGTTTTCCTTCACTTCCCCACCACAAGTCACCCCATAACCCAAGCCATCTGGCACATTGTTGCCAAGATATCCTTCTAGAACACTATTTTTAAAACATCAACCTCTCATCCAAAACCTTCTATACCTCCTGATTGCCCATGGGGCAAAGTCCTAAGTCCTTGGTTTGACATTCAAGGCCTCACATTGAATAGCAACAGCCCACACATTTTTGTCACTGCTTTCCTAAATGAATCTTCCACTCTGTTCAGTGTGATCTCAATGATGCCAGACGATAAATATTTCCTAAATAAGTAGATGGATATTTGACTAGCATCAGCCAAATAAACTTTCCATGTATTATGTAACTCTATCTCCTTGTTTTTTTCCATGCTTTTTTTCCCTCCTGGAGTGTCTTTCCATCTTGGGGCCATACACATGGATTGTGACATTTATGGTGCTGTTTAGAGTTGTTTATGTACAACCTGCACAACCACACTAGGAAGCCCTCTTCCTCTTTACTTATTTAAGTCTTCCCACTCCTCAAAGGTCAGCTCAAGCCCAATCTCCTATGTGAATGAGCCTTTCCTGACTTTATGGCACCTAGGATTTCACTCAGAATTTCTCATGACTCATATGAACTATTTCATGCCTCTGTTGTCTGGCACCTTCCATCTTGCATTACTATTTGAATTTTCATGTAAGTCCACCAGATAAGTTCCTTAAGGGAACTCTCCAAGTCTTCTACTTCTTTGCACCTCCATTACCAACCATAATGCCATGAGTATAGCACAATCCATTTGGGGCTCCTTGGAAAGAAACACCTTATGACAAGTTGAGAGCAGCTGTGTTCTCAGGGTTTCCTCAGCACATGATCTCCAGCCCATTGGTCAACTCTACCTAAGTCTCACCTTGAGGTGAATGTATCACAAGAAAAACAAGAAATGAATTCAATTGCACGTGTATGCCCATGTCTCAACATGTGGATGAGGAGTGCCTACATGGTGAAATGACATTATCCAGGTGAGTTTATCTTCATATCTATAATAGCAATCAGGATGTCTTCCCCTTCACAGAAAGGATGATAGCAGAGCTGACTCAACACCCAAGGCTGCTTTCCTGGCAGTGAGGCTGGCTTAAGCTGATCCACCCCCTTCCCTCACCAGCTCACCTGTAGAGTTAACACATACTTGCTCTACATGGCTATCTTGGATTAGTAGCCCTGAAGCTAATCAGTTGACCCCCAGAATATAATAGAAAACCCTATCTTGGCCATATACTAATAAAACTCATGACATCAGCTTTATTCACACCTAATTCTCATGGTCTTAAAAACTATATACTACAATAATGCAGATATATATGTATTTTTTCACCACAAACTTCTCTGAATTCAAGTCATTTTTCTACCTGCCTACAAAAGATCCTCTATGGATGTCTAGTAGCCACCTCCAACTTCACGTTTAAACCTGAGTTCCTGATCCTTCCCCCCTCCCCAATAAAACACAGACCTGCTCTTCTCACCATTCTCCACAGCTTAGTTAATTACAATGCCATCCTACCAGCTGCTCAAGCCAAAAGCCTTCAAATAATCATGACCCTCCCCCTTTGTCTCGCATATCCCATGTCAGGTTCATCAATAAATCCATCAGCCTTTCCTTCCTTCAAAACCTATCCAGAATTTCACTCCTCCTCACCATTCATACTGCTACCCTCTGGGCTAAGCCACCATCATCTCTCACTCATATTATTGCAATTGCCTCCTAACTGGTCTCCTTACTTCCATCTTTGCCCCCTTTCAGTCCATTCCCAACAAAGCAGCTAGGGTGACCCTATTCAAATGTAAGCTGAATCATGTCACTGACCTCTTTGAAGCTCTCCAAAGGCTTCCTAACTCACCCCAAGTTAAAGTCAAAGTCTCATCATGACCTACAGGATTCTACCTGACCTGGCTCCCCTAGTTGATAAGCTCCATCCATATGGTTCTCCTAGCTCCTCCCTGACCTCTCTAGACACCCTCCTTCCTCAGGGCCTTCACACTTGCTGTTCTTTCTCAAAATGCTTGTTCCCCAGATGTCCATATGGCTTAATCCCTAGCTTTCTTCAGGTCTTTATTCAAAAGTCAACTTCTCTGTGAGGCCTTTCCTAACTACCCCATATAAAAGTACACCATCAGGCCCTCCTACCAAAACCGACCCCGTCCCCTTGTACTGTATCACCATCTAATGCACTATGTATATGATTTATCTGTTTTATTTTTACACTGTAAACAATGTAAGTTCCATGAGGGCAGGGATTTGGATTGTTTTGTTCCCTGATGTATCCCCAGTATTTAGACCAGTGCTTTGTATATAATATTGATACTCAACAAAAATTTGTTATATGAATGAACCCTCATCTAATAAACTGAAATCCATTTATTTTACTTGTTATCATGTATCTATGAATTTAAAAACTGATAATTTTTGTAGTACTTTAGGGCCAGATTAACCAGATGCTCTGGAGAACAACTTAAAGTGTAACATAAATGAATTTTCAGCAGCTGTAGGTATATATTTGGTGTTTACTCAGCAAATATTTATTGAGCACCTACCCTGTACTACTCACTGAATTAGGTGCTGGGAATACAACAGTGATCAACGTCAATATAGTCTTTGACCTTTGAAATTCACAGGCTAGCAGAATCAGATTCCAACTTCTTCTTCAAATAATGAAACATCTCTGGATTTCAATTGTATTGTCTATAAAATATGGATGAGGACACTTCGTCTACTGAAGGACAAAGGACTCAACCAGATGGTTTCTTTTTTCTTTCTTTTTGAGATGGAGTCTTGCTCTGTCACCCAGGCTGGAGTGCAGTGGCACGATCTTGGCTCACTGAAACCTCCACCTCCCAGGTTCAAGCAATTCTCCTGCCTCAGCCTCCCGAGTGACCAGGATTACAGGCATGCACCACCATGCCCAGCTAATTTTGTATTTTTTAGTAGAGACAAGCTTTCACCATGTTGGCCAGGCTGGTCTCACACTCCTGACCTCAAGTGATCCACCTGCCTTGGCCTCCCAAAGTGCTGGGATTATAGGCATGAGTCACCACGCCCAGCCCAGATGATCTCTTGAAGTCCCCTCTACCACTGTGACTCTCATCTGCCATGCCCACCACCATCTCTTCGCTGGTGTCTTCTTATTCTTCCCAAGAATGCTTCTCTCTAGTTCATCTAGTCCCCTTGTCTCACATATTCATACAAATACAGACATACAGCCAATTCATAGTTGGTTCATCTGTAACATTCAAAACAGCACCGTAGGCGAATTAAATGTCATGCAGAGACTCATTGTCTACATCTTTGGGCCTCTGAAGCAAGGCAGGGGGAAAAAGCCATATCAACTTTGGAGTCTTTGAAAAAAATAAAAGGAACTGACAGGCAAATCCAAAAAGCTTTTCTTCCTACACCGAAAATAAACTCCTTCAGCTCTGGGGCTCACCCAGCTAAATGTGGACAAAACAGCAGTCACCCAGATGACATGCAAAGCCCTAATGGCACATCCAACGGAGTCATTTTGCTAATACCACATCGCTCTGTCACTGTCATAACTTTGCGCCCCTTAAAATACCAGGAGTCATTTGGGCTCTTTTGTAATGAAGAGAGGTGTGGGAGGCAATCTTTCTGTGAGAGAACATTGAAAAGGAGGGGTTGTTGGGAATGTTGGCAAAGAACATGCTATATACTTAAGCTTGTGGCACCCCTCACTGCTATAATTGTGAGTGATGGAGGTGGGAAGAAGGAAAGCAGAAGTTCTTGATAGGGGGATTGGCATGAAACAGATAAGCATGAAGACTGGCTAAATCATCGTCAGATAGGGAATACACAGAGAACAAAAGTCCTCAAGGGAGTTGCACCGATTCACTTGTTGCAGGACAAACTCAGATTCCTGATGATCTCTGTCCCACCTTCCACCCTTGACAAAGACCTCAGTGCTCATTCTCTCGTTCATTCAATATTTTCTGGCGGAAGACTTAGGATGTTCCAGCTACTATTCCAGGTACAAAATACCATGATGAGCAAAACACACACTAACAACTCCCACTAGGAAAAAAAAAAAATGCTGCTCATAAGAAATACACCTTAAATATAAAGATATGCATGGAAAAGTTTGAAACAGAACAGCATATTAAACCCCTCAAATTTAGAAGGAAATAAAGAACATAAATAAAAACAAAAATAAATTTACAATCCAGAAAAATCAACAAAACCAAAAATTGGTTCTTTGAGAAGACTAATGAATTTGATAAACTTCTAGCAAGACTAATAGATATAAATAAATAAGAGGGAGAAAGCAGAGATTATCACCATCAGGAATGAAAAAAGGACATCACTACAGATCCTATGAATGTTTTAAAAGATAATAAGGAGACATTATGAGCTTTATGCAACTAAATTTGAAAATAAGAATGCAATGGATAAATTACTTCAAAAAATAACTTACAGTAATTGACACAAGAAGTAGAAAAGCTTAATGGTTCTCTTTCAAAGAAATTAAATCTGTAACTTATAAGAGACATAAAAAAGACAAAACAAAGAAAGTTTGAACCTCATTAAATTTTTTTCTGCATTGATTCCATGATTCCCCCCACCTCCTTTTTTTTTGTTTGTTTGTTTTGTTTTGTTTTTTTGAGATGGAGTCTTGCTCTGTCACCAGGCTGGAGAGCAGTGGTGCGATCTCAGCTCACTGCAACCTCTGCCTCCCCAGTTCAGGCAATTCTCCTGCCTCAGCCTCCCGAGTAGCTGGGACTACGGGTGTGCACCACCACACCCAGCTAATTTTCGTAATTTTTTTAGTAGAGATGGGGTTTCACCATGTTGGCCAGGATGGTCTCAATCTCGACCTCATGATCCACCCACCTTGGGCTCCCAAAGTGCTGGGATTATAGGAGTGAGCCACTGTCCCCAGCCTATTCTTTCAACATGGTAAATAACAGATTGATTCTCCACTGTGTTAAATTACAACTTGGTAGAAACCACAATAAAAAACAAAAAAAACAAAACAAAACAAACAAACAAACAAAAAACCTCCAAGCCCAGATATCTCCATGGGTGAACTCTAAGGAAGAAAATACTTCAATCTTACAAAATCTTCCAAAGAGTAGAAAAAGACAGCATATCTAGCTTGTTTCATTAAGGAAACCTAACCTTAATATCAAAACTTCACAAGAGCATTGCAAGAAAAGCAAATTATAGGCCAGTTTCTATTGTGAAAACAGATAATGCAATCGTAAAAAATCAAACCCAATGATATAGAAAAAACATATCACAACAAAGGTGATGTCACTCCAAGGTTGCAATGAAAAATCAATGTGATTCACTATATTAAAAGAATATAGGAGGAAAATCATGATCAGTGCAATAGCTGCAGAAAAAAAATTTAGTAAAGTTCAACTTGTGTTTATTAAAAACACCTAACAAATTAGGAATAGAAGGAAACTTTCTTAGTCCTAAAAAGGGTGTCTATAAAAAACCTACAGCAAAGATCATGTTTAATGAGAAAACAGTGAAACTTTTCCATTGAGACTGTGAATGAGATAAGAATTCCATTATTGCCACTTCTATTTAATTTATAACAAGGTCCTAGCCAGTATAATAAGAGAAATAAAAAGGGAATAAGAATTGAAAATGAAAAATTAAACTACCATTATTCACAGATGACAGGATTATATATATAGAAAATCCAAAAGAATCTTCAGATACACTACTAAAATTGGTAAGTGAATTTATCAAGATAGCTGAATATGGCTAAATTAATGTGTATATTTATATACTGGCAACAAAAACTAGAAAACAGAACTTTAAAAATAATGCCAATTATGATAGCATCAAAATGAGTTTAATAAAAGATATATCAGCCAGGCATGGTGGCTCACACCTGTAATCCCAGCACTTTAGGAGGCCGAGGCGAGCAGATCATGAGCTCAGGAGTTCAAGACCAGCCTGGCCAAGATGGTGAAACCACATCTCGACTAAAAATACAAAAATTAGCCAGGCGTGGTGGCAGGTGCCTGTAATCCCAGCTACTCCAGAGGCTGAGACAGAGAATTGCTCGAACCCGGGAGGCAGAGGTTGCAGTGAGCCGAGATCGCACCACTGCACTCCAGCCTGGGTGACAGAGTGAGACTCCATCTCAAAAAATAGAATAAAATAAAAGATATATCAGACCTCTACACAAAATAGTATAAAACTTTAATGAGAAAAAGTATATAATGAATGGATGACTATATTACCTGCATGAATGAGAAAACTCAATATTATTATAAAGATGTCAATTCTCCCCAATATTCTATAGATTCAATGCAGTCCCAATCAAAACCCTAGCAAGAGTTTTTTTAGTAAAAATTGACAGGATAATTCTAAAGTACATACAACTGATCCTTGAACAACACATGTTTGAACTGCATGGGTCCACTTATATGCAGATTATTTTCAATAAATATATTGGAAAAAAAATTTGGACGTTTGCAACAATTTGAAAAAACTTACAGAACTGTGTAACCTAGAAATATCAAAGTTAGGTATGTCATGAATGCACAAAATATATGTAGATATTAATCTATATCATTTACTACCATAAAATATACAGATTATAAAAAGTTAAAATGTATCAAAACTTATCCACACATTTACAGACTGTACATGATACCATTTAGTTAAGAGAAATGTAAACAAATGTAGAGATGCAGTATAAAGCATAACTGCATAAAATTAACTGCATGTGTAACTGTACTACTGCCTATATTTTTGTAGCCACCTCCTGTTGCTATTGCAATGAGCTCAAGTGTTGCAAGTATCTGCTTCAAACACCATGTGACAATAATCATCTCTGAGTGAGCAATTGTCTCCAGTAAATTGCATGCTGTAGTAAAAAGTGATCTCTCATGGTTCTTGCATAGTTTTCACTGTGTTTAGAGCAATACTGTAAACCTTGAATAACATCATGGGGCCCATAAGAAATGTCACTACTAGTGATGCTGGAAGTGTTCCCAAGAAGTAGAGAAAGGTCATGACAGTATAAGAAAAAGTTAAATTGCTTGATATTTGCCATAAATTGAGGCCTACAGCTGTGGCTACCTGCTATTTCAAGACAAATGAATCCAACATGTGGATCATTGTAAAAAAGAAAAAAAAGAAAAGAAAAGAAAATTGCGAAGTAGTTGTAGCAGCTACGTCAGCAGGTACAAAAACATTATACTTTTTGTGAAATATCTTTTTATCTCATATTAAAAATGCAGCTTTTACATGGGTGCAGGATTGCTATAAGCAAGGCATACCTATAGACTAATTTGATTTGAAAAAAATTGAAGTCATTATATGACAAAGGAAAAGGAATGTGAATTATCTAAAGCTGGAGACTTTAATGCCAGCAAAGGATGGTTTGATAATTTTAGAAAGATATTTGGCTTAAAAAAATGTCAAGCTAACAGGAGAAGCAGCTGCTACCAACCAAGAGGCAGCAGAGGAGTTCCCAGGCACCAGTGAAAAAACATCATCGAGGAGGAAAGATGTCTACCTTAAGTGGTTTTAATGCAGACAAAGTGCCCTATTTTGGGAAAAAAATATGCCACAAAGGACATTTATTAGTAAGGGAGAGAAGTGAGCACCAGGATTTAAGGCTGGAAGGAATAGGCTAACTCTACTGTTTTGTGCAAATGCAGTTAGGTTTATGATCAGGACCTTCCTGATAAAGTACCCATAAAGTTGCTAACCCCCAAGCCTTGAAGGGAAAAGATAAACACCAGCTGCCAGTCTTTTGGTTGTACAATAAGAAGGCCTGGACAACAAGAACCTCCTCCTCCTCAGCCTACTCAATGTGAAAATGAAGAGAATGAAGACTTTTATGATGATCCACTTAGGCTTAATCATAGTAAATATGTTCTCTTCCTTATGATTTTCTTTTCTCTAGCTATCTTAAGAATACAGTATATAACACATATATTATATAAAATATGTATTAATGGACAGCTTACGTTATCAGTAACGCTTCCAGCCCATAGTAGGCTATTAGTAGTTAAGTTTGGGGGGTCTCAAAAGTTATATGTGGATTTTTGCCCAGGAGGTGGTCAGCACTCCTAGCCCTCATGTTTTTTAAAGGCTAAATGTATACATAAATGCTGAGAAGAAAACAAAATAACCAAGACAAACCTGAAAATAGAGAACAAATTTAGAAAAATTACATCACCACATGACTTTTATTATAAAGCTACAGTTATTAAGAAACTGTGTGGTATTTGATACAAAGAGATACAATGGAATAGAACAGAGTCCGGAAGCAAACTCATACACACGTGGTCAGGATATGGTTATGATAAAGGTGACAGACAGTAACAGAGAAAATAAAAACTTGTAATAAATAGTGCTAGGTCAATTGGATGTCCACATAAAAAAATAAATCTTAACTCCTGCTCACAACACACATAAAAATCAATTCCAGGTGGATTGGAAACTAAATGTGAAAAATAAACCAATAAAACTTCTAGAAAATAAAACAGGAGACTGTCTTTATGACCTCAGGATAGGCAAACTTATTCAGTCAACCTGACAGTTATATGTGTACTCAAAAACTGAAGGAGGGGGTATCTTGTGTGGGATTGTAGATTGCAGTAGCTGTATAGCAAAGAGCCGTTATGAATATGATATCTCTGTGCATGAGTCTACCCTCCATGGAACTGTCCCAGCTGCCTTAAAGAAAACTCAGAGTCAAGTATCACCAAACTGGAAAAGGAATGGCATCAAGGACTATTGCCTACAGGCCAGACAGCATTCTCCCAGGAAGCCTCTAGTGAGAGGCTTTCCTGAGTAAACTCTATCTACTCCAGAGTCCAGCCCTCAATGTCAGTTGCTCACAAACCTGATTGATCAGCCCTGACAGTTGATTGTTTCTCAGGTCGAACTCACTACACCTGAGCATTCCAATGAAAAATAAAACCTTGCAAAGACCAGGGCCCACATGAGCTCAGGTAAACCCATCACCCTCTCACAGGCAAGCCTCCTGGGAAGTCAATTTGTGATTGGAAGATGGATCAGAGCAAGGAGAGTGCATCACGTGACTGAGATAGTCAGTGGCATTAGGCTGCAGTAGCATGGTTCAGCCTGCTCCCCTCCAGAGAGACCTGAAAGTCCAGCCCTTGGACGGAGCTCCCTCTTCCCTACAGATGTTGGGATGGGTCCTACCTATTCTTTCCTCTGGTGCTCTTTCCCTTGCTTCCATAGGTGGCCAGGCCATGAGAGGGTCATCCTTTTTTGGGTATGGTAATCTCAAGTGTCGTGTTTTCTCCTGGGACAGGAAGACTCTGTAGGGTGACTTGACAGTCTCTGCTCTTAGGTGCATTGGTGCATTGGCCTTCAGATGGAAATCTTCTCTTGCGTGTTTTTTTAGAGAATATCTTTTTTGCCTTCTGTATGTATCAAGGGAAAAGTTTATTCTCAACTAGAATTTCATCAGAGATGATCACAGAGAGTTGGTTGCATACTAGAATGATCATATACAAGTGGTCTTTATCTAAGAACTGTAACATAAGCCTGTTGCCCAAGAAGAAATCTGCCAACCATAGGGTCTTTCAATATTATAGCTTTAAATACACTATAGTAACTATGGCAGTAAACATAACTCAGCCACAGTGCAAGGATAGGGTCAGAGGCTGAGATCTGCTTTCTAAGTCAGGAAGCACCCTTCCCCTATTGAATCTACAAATTATCTAGTGGGATAGGGCCTCTGGAGGTAGATCCACATCATGCATGAACTCACTTCTGTGTACCTCAGGTCTATCTTATCCTTGAGGAAGAATGGCAACTGTCTTGACAGTAGAGGTGCACCTGCCCAAAACCCACCATCTGCCTGCTAATGTCTCACATTCTTTTGATAATTGACAAGGTTTTTCATTCTCTGATTAGAGGTAAGCACTCAGAATGAATTGCTTCTGAGAAAAAAAAAAAAACACTGACTTAAAAATCAAGCAAAAATGGAAGTAACTGAAATTAGAATCTTTCCTTAGAGCAGTGCCCACCATGGTACCTAGCACATAGTCAGCATGCAATAAAGATCAGTTGACGAAATGAATGAAGGAATCAATGGGGAAAAGAATTTGCTAGTGGAGACAGTGAGAGGTAGAAGTGTGTTGATGGTGGTGATGGGGGTGGAGAATTTTACGAAAGGTTCTAAGGGAAAGGACAAAAGGGCTGGCAGCTAGAAGGCATGCCTTACTATCTCACAATTTTGCCAAGGCCTTGCTTGTTCATAATCATGGAAATGGATTAGTATCAGAACCATGCCCTGTTGGAACTACTACACAGCAGGAGGCATGTCTTTCAGAACTGGTAGAGGCTAAGATCATGGACTGAGCTGTGACTTTGGTGAGTTATTAACTCTTCTGTTTCCCCATCTTAAGAAAAAAAAATTGTAGTAATGTTAGATTGCAAAGTTGTAAGAGTTGGAAATAATGAACTTAAGCCCTCTACATAGTGCCTAGCACATATTATAATAGTAAAAGTCCAATAAAAATAGCTACTTCCATTGTTTTTATTTATATTAGAGCAAAACTGCATGCTGTTGTGCATGGGGCTGAGCTGGTCCTCAAAAGTCCTCATTGGAACCACCCAAGATGCTCCAATGTGGCTGAGGAGCTCACCACAATGCAAACAGGGATTTCTTGAGCCTCAGGACATCTCTATTGACATTACTACCTGAGTAAGTACATGTCTCTGCAAATAAGACCTTAGATGATCAAATTCACAAGGCCTGATTTCAAATTTTTCAACAAACTTAAGCATAAGAAACAATGTTTGGATCAGAACTTTTTGCTGTATTGCAAGGAATAATTAATAATATTCAGCATGTCCAACTTCAAAGCCAAAGACAGACCACACTGTATTCTGTAGCTGTCTTTTATAGACCACGCAAAGTAGAAAGTGCTGCAGACAAAGACATAGCACTTGGGCATCACCCAACAAGTCCTCATATACGTTCTGTAGATCATCCAATTACCCAAGATATTTGGGAGGAGCGTTCTCAACCTTAGTATGTTTAGATTATTGGTTTATTATTGGGATGGGAATGAGGAAATGGCTGGAAAAATTATCTAATTGGTACTTATGTGCAGGGACTGTGAAAAGACTTGCCTTCAGGAAGTATGCCCAGTCTACAGACTCTCTCTGTAACACTGGAGGCAAAAGGCTTTTATCCTTTCTCTTGTACAACATAGGGAGCAAACTGTCATGGCTTTTACAGTAAGAGGTCAGGAAGATGCTTTGTGCACACCAAATGGACCAGGCTTTTCCCACCGTTCTTCACCATCCAATGAATACTGTGTTGGTGTCCAGGGGCCACAAAACTGGATAACAAGACATGGGATGGGGAGACAGAGGAAGATGGAGATGTGCTCTGTCCTGGCAATACTTCTCTAACTCCAGCCAATATGCTGGGAGTTAATGCCTAGGAGCTATGTCCAGAAGGAACACTCCCTTGACCATCCTGGTTTTGCCCACTTGAGTTTCAGATCCAGCGTACTGCTTGTCAGCTGTATGGGCAAGTTACTCATGTTCAGCCTTAGTTTAGTCATCTACAAATCTAGGCAAATCATAGAAAATAGAGTTCTAGCTCACACAACTGCTGTGAGAATAAGATAATGCACGAAGGAGCTAAACATAGTGCTTAATGACATGAATAAATGATGATTTGCATTGGTTTATTAGCAATTTTCTCATAACTTGCACACAAATAGCCAAGCAAAGCCCTCATCAACTCCCCACCCTGTGTTTGAGCTCCTTCTGCCACACTGAAACCGGTGTGCCTTTTCACTCTGTTCTTTTCCTTCTCTTTCTACTCTGCCACATTTAGGGCCATTATTCCCAATCCTTCCCCATACTTGGCTGTTCTTCTGTTTAACATCCTCCCTCAAAATTCATCCTTCCCAAACATCTTGACTTCCTTCTCACACTACCAACCCATACAAAACACACACAAGCCTCTCCCTCTCAAAGCAAGAGGCTTGAAAGGAAGGGAGCAAAGAGGAGGAACAAGCAAGCCCACTGCCATTCTTTGTCTAGGGCCCGCCTTCCCTGCAGTTATGTTTTATTTCCTGTTCATCTTATTTCAGGCCTACACCCAGGGGGCACCGCCAGCATTTCACTTTCTTTCCACGTGATCCTGATGGACCTTTTGTGTTTGGCAGACATTAAATAAGAATTGGCATTACAACAAAGGTAGAGACTGGCGGGAGGTAGCCCTGCTGGGCAAAGCATTCATTCAGGTGCTAAGGAAGAAAAATGTTCTCTCCCCATTTCTTCTTCCTAAGCTGAACTTTCCTTTGTGGATACTGGGGGCCCAGCTCTGGGTGTGGCCATCTCTTCTGATGCTAAAGCTGTCTGTGTGGCCCAGGCTGTGGCAGAAGATTGAAATGGTCAGGAGACACCCCTGCCCCAGCCCTGTAGGCTCAGAAACCTCTGACGGTCATTCATGAGTTGCAGTAATAATATACAATCAATAAGGAGAAATGTGGAAGAAACCTTCAGAAATAAGGGAAGAGGCAGCAGTGACAGTAGCAGAGATGTCCCAAGGAAAAGAACAGAAAAGCACGGGTCACAAAGCCCTGGCACATGACTAGAATAGAGGAGAGGGAGAAGGTGGCATCGAGCAAAGCAATCCTGCTCAGAAATGCCAGGCTTGGGGCTTCTCTGTGCCCTGGGGTCTCCTGTAGACATGCCCTTGCATTCAGTCTCATCCATTCCCAATGGTTCTTGTGTTCACCCAGCGCTCTCCATTCTCACCGGTGGTCACAACAGTGTTCTGGTCATTCCTTGCCTCCCTCTACTCACATACCTCTGCCCAAACCATTTCTCCAGACACTTTTCATAATGGATCTCCTCTGTGGAAACAACTGCTGTAGCCCCCCTTGTCTGCAGGATAAAGCCCAGTCTTCCAAGCCTGACAATCATGGTTTGGTCATTCCTGCCAACTTCTTAAATCCTATTTCCCACTAATTTCTTCAACTGCTCCATAGGTATTCTCCAGCCTTTCTGCTTTTTCTCCCATCACTATCCTTACCTGGATATCCTCATCGTTCCTCGCTCCTCCCTGTCTTCCCAAATAATACCCATCCACACTGGTTATTCTCCACTTACCTGCCCCTCCCTCACCTACTTTCCACCCTTCTCTGTTCCCTGAGATGTGAGGCCCTACAAACTGCATCACCCAGCTCCCTAGCCCTCTAGTTTCTAAGAGGTGGCACCAGAAGCATCAGTGTGGCAATTCAGGCAGGTTGAGGTCCCTCTGTGGTCACGGTCAGGCAGCCCCTCTTCCTTCCTCACCAGGCTCTAACAACCTCATTTCCTCACCTTGCTCCTTCAGGCCCAGGACTAGAAATGACATCCCACAATAGCTAATCCCCAGGGTCTAAGTATGGCTTCTCAGTCCCATATTCCTGTCCACATCCCTGAAATGGTACCATTACTAAACCCTCTTCAAAACCCAGCTGAAGTTGCCTTCCATTTCCTGCCAGGATGCTGCCTGAAACACCATCTTTCCAGCCTCATTCCTAATCTCCACCTCCTGCAGGAAACTTTCTTCTCTGTAGTTAAGAGCAATTGCTCATCTCTCGTCACTCCCCAGCATCCTTACTTAATTCCAACACTCTCATGGAGCTTTGTAGTTTTCAAAGTATTTGACATAAATGAACTCATCTTTTCCTCACAACAACCCTGAAAGATAGACAAGGTATTATTACCATTAATAATCTCATTCGCATTTTGCAGAAAGGCTGAAGCTTCTAGAGAATAAGAGCCATGGCCAGGAACGCCCAGCTCTTAGGCTGTCATAACTCAAGCAGTTCAGGCTACCGCACACGCTGGGATCGCAAGGATACAGACCAGTGGGAAGGGGAGGAAGGTGCATCCACCTAGACAGGGACTGAAAGGTACATACATGTCTATAAAACATCCAAGGAAATGAAACCTAGTGAGTGTGACAACAAAATTTAAGACGTAATCCTCAAAAAGCAACAATCTTTATTTGGTGAAAGTTTATATACACATAGCTGATAATCATAACACAAAACAGAACAGGACTAGGTAGGAGGGGCCTTAAGGACAAGAATTCTTTATTCTGTCTTTTAGAACATCCCACCCTGCTCCACTCTCACCTTGTGCTTGAATCAAAGCCCTAGGCACAAAAGTGTTCGAGATAGATTCACTCATTTATTCAACCTCTACGATGGACCATCCAGGGTGCCATATCCTGGAGACACCACAGTGAACAGGACAGACATGGCCCTGCTCTCATGGAGCTTAGGTTTAGTAGGTAGAATGGTATTAAACATTCCAAAAACAACTGGAGTGTTACAATGGTGGTAAGTATTCCAAAGAAAAATTGAAAGGGTCATGAGTGTGATTTCTGAGAGGGACTGACTTTGTTTAGGGTCAATGATCAGAGTGGATTTTCCAGAGGATATGTCCTTTACACTGAGATGGAAACAATAAGTAGGAATTAGCCCAAATGGGAGGGGCCGCCGAAGGAAGAAACCCTCATGCATGCAGGACAGCATGTCCAAAGGTTCTGAGGTTGATGGAGTCGGGTTGGGGGCTGATTCTGACACAAGCCAGCATGGGTAAAACAAGGGCAAGGCTGGAAAGGCTGGCAGAGGCCACTCGTCTTATGGATCATGTTAGCTTTGGGTCTGTATTTCAAATGAATCCAGTAAAGGGTTTTATAAAAAGGGAAGTGACATAGGACATTTGCATTGTTTAAAAATCCTTCTGGCCATGGAGTAGAGAATGGATTGAAGAGAAATAAGGAAGAAAGCTGGAAAGACAGTCAAGAGGCTGCTGCAGTCATCAGGGGCAAAGAAGATGGTGGCCAGGTCAGGGTAGATGTAATGGGGAGGGAGGACTGGGCGCAGCCGGGGATATATTTTGGAGGTAGCATCCATACGACCTGCTGTTTGATGGCAGACAGAAAACAAGAGGGTGAAGGAGTAGGGAAAAAGAAGGACAATGTGAGGTTTTTGGCTTGGGCAACTCCGTAGGTGGTAGAGCTGTTTTACTAGGACAGGCAGGTGGGAAAGAGAACAACAGAGGGATCAAGCCCTCAGTTGAAGGCTTGGTAGTCTCAGGTATTTAGAACGGTGCTAACAGTAGCTGATTAGATATGAGTCTGGAGCTCAGAAGAGAGTTCTGGGCTGGAAATAGAAATTCAACTCATTGGTGTATAGTCAAGAGACTTCAAAAAGATCTCCTAGAAGGAGAGGGAGTGAGAATAAATGAGAGCCCCAAAGGAGAAGAAGCAACCAGAAAGACGGATGGAAACAGGACGGTGTAATGGCACCAAAGTCATGAATTTTAAAGAGAGAGAAAGCAACCGTGTTGAATGCCACTGAGAGATAAAGCAGAAGAGATTGATCCATATACTGTACTGAAGGTAACATGGCTGAGTTTTAAATTCCCGAATTACCCCCAAGTTTATATCCAGCACATTAGGATAAATGTCAATGCCAAAATCTCCATCTGGACAAATACCTACCATGTAAAGCCGGAAATCTCTATATGCTGAGAAGCTCCTCAAGAAGATGACACACCCTGTACCCCATTCCCTTGACTGGCTCAGCAATTCTTCCCACCCAAAATAGCCCAGGACACTGGAACCCAGGAACTGCCTCCCAGACTCTGGGCAGTGGCAGAGGTTGCTCTGAGGGCTGCTGGGGGGTGTCAGAAATAGCTGCATAGACAATACGATTTGTGCTTGCTCCCGACCTGCTAAGAACACTGGGTGTTGATTAAATCTTCATGCCTCCTTGAATAGATTTTTTTCCCTTTCTATTTTTTTTTCCTGTGTTTCTCTTTTGGTAGTTTTTATTCCTGTTTCAAAAACACGAAGAAAAGGAAACACAATACGATACTCTTCTCGTGTGTGTTTGGCCTGAGCTTGAGCTGCCAGTGCTGCCTTGGGCATGGCTCAGGCTTACAAAAGCACCTGGAAGACAATGCACATAGGCAGAACTTCCCAGCCCCCACCTGCTTTCTCCCCCACCCCACCCTCCCCTTTTTCTTCTGCTTCTGTCTCCCCAATTGCATGTGGTCCATTCACTGCTTCTTTAGGCAGGCTTTTGTCCATGTTATGCCCCTTTCTCCCCCATCTTGGAACTCTTCCTGCTTGTTCTAATTTCTTTCTCTCTGTTTCCTCCGAAATTGCCTCCTAAGTTAAGCACGTGAATGTATGAGCATGCATGCACACACTCAAAAGCACTTTCTTTTCTCTCCCTCTCCTCCCTCACTCAATCTCTGGACAGCTCTCCTTATTTCCATTCTCAGAGAAGAGCTATCAACTAGACAGCGTGGCTTTCTGAGAGAAGACAAATAACTGCCCGTTCCTCCTCCTGACTCAGAGTGACAAATGAGGCCTCTCTCATGTCTCCCACACTGGGAATTTGGGGTCACTGTCTTCCCCATGTCCTACAAATTGGACTTAGAAAGGGATAAAAGATTCACTCTGACCTCTGTTAAGAAACTCCCCGCTAGGTTAAGCAAGGCATCCCCGGGCCAAGTTCCCACCCTATGAGGATCAGAGTGGCTCTGAGAGGCCCCCGCTCCTCCCTCATCTCCTCCTCCAGCTAAGATATGGGATCAGATCCAGTCAGAGGTTAAAATAGGGCAAAGTGTGTAGTAAGCACAGTTCTACCTCAGTCCCACAGGAATTGTGACAGGTGACCCAATTTCATCTCAAGTGACTTGGCAGCAGCTTGCCCTTGTCAATAGAAAATGGCATTAGAAGCCTAATTACATGCAGTGTGAGGCCTGGCACTGTGCAGAGGATCTCCTAGTCCAGAGGAAAATACTGCCTGCAAGGGCCAAACCCAACTGCTCCTTCTCCTCCCACTTTCCATGTCCCAGTCTCATCCTAAGGAAAGTGTAGCCAACCTGGGCTTCTCTGAAACGATCCCTCAGCTGGCCCTTTTCATGAAAAACACCATCTCAAGCTTGCCCAGAAGAAGAGGGGAAAGTTCTATGTGTTATATTGAACCCGGATATCTAAAAGTGGGGTCTGGGGGTCCTGGTTACTCCTCCAAAAGAAGGGCTGACAAGCAGGGAGGGTTCCCCAAAAGCTCACGCCCTGGTGGTGAGTGGGACCCCAGTCTGAGACAAGGTTGGGGTGGAATTAGTCATGAGCCACAGGCCAGAGAAAGCAATGGAACTTGAAGACTGGACCCCTGGGTGCCATTCATGGAGTCAACAAAGACCTTCCTTCCAAGTCAGGATGGGTGCAGCAAACACAAGAAGACTGGCCTCTCCCTTAAAACCAGCGTTTCCAGGATGAGAATGGCTGTCTAGCTCTGCCACCCACAGGGAAGGGCAAGGTACAGAGGGCAGTGGGTCACAGGGCAGTCGCCAAGCCTCATTTTCACTTAGTGGCACACTTCTCCTACCAAGTGAGCAGCTCGGCGGCAGCTGCACAGCCGCCTCCCCATCCCCCAACACCTGACGGTGAGCCAGTACATATCACCAGAGACTCAGAGCCAGGGAGACAGGCAGGCGGAGGCGAGAACAGGAGGCAACAAGACAACTGGCCCCTCTGAGAACTATAGATTAGTCCTAGGCTATCAAGAATTCCTCAGAACAGAGGATCAAAGGTGAGAAATGCTCAATAGCATCTGACCAGTCTTCATATGTCCCAAAGCCTCTAGGACTTTCATCTAAGAGATGGCCCTACTTTAACATTCTCTCCTATGGGGAAAAAAAAATGTGTCACGAGCAAAGTCTCCGGGTAGGTGCAGTGTTGGGGTGTTGGCGGGGGCGGGGGAGGGGGTTGCTTTTCTCTCTTGGAAATACTAATTACAGTGTTCACACATGCATGCCTCATGAAAAGTCCGTTTCCACACACAGCTAGCTACTCCCCACAACAATACCACACATCAAAATGTAACACATAAGTGTATTAAACATCAGTGTATCATCCTAAATGGCCCTAGAACAACACTTCTTTTGAGATGGTTGTAACATAATCAACAAGAGCAAAGACCCTGCAGACAGGCAGCCTTGGTTTTCTCAACTGTAAAATGGGAATATAATCTTTCTACCTCAAAGGGCTATTGGGAAAATTAACTGGGTTTATATCCACAGAGCGCTCTTAGAACAGCGCCTGGCATATAATATGTGCTCTGTGAATGTTTGCTATCATTCCTTACCCTCATCCTTTCACCACAGTAAATATCCCCAAGGATATAAGCAAGGGGCCTTCCAATTCTTAAGGCCAGTAGGTTTTAAGATTCATTTACCTCTGATTCATTTACAGATTCAAACCCTACCCAGAGGTGTTTAAGGCTTCTTACGGCACCTGAATGAGGTGTTTAAGGCTTGTTGAGGCTGGATGGAGGCCTCCTCATGAGGACACCCTTGGCAATTCCGATCCCCCACCTATCCCCCAGCAAGAGATCCTAGAGTAATTTTCATGCGTAAGTATGGATCTTGTGGACTCAATGAATGGTTGTTTTTATTAATACAACCTCAATGAGCTCTTTTGTGGATTCATCTAACCCTAAACCTTGGATGATCAGTTTGCCTAATAATACTAAGGACATCCCAGCAAATGGTTCAACTTGCTAAGGCCAACTGGCTTCTAGTGTGGCAATGCTATTCTGAGAACACAGCTTAGGTCCCTAATGGCATCCAACCATCTCACAAATGCAGCCCACTTGTCACCAAAGGGCCTAGTGCAAAGACTATGAGAGTAACAGTAACTAGAACAAATACAGTGCATTGACCACCCTCCCATCCCATGAACTCATGTTCTGTCATTTATTCATTCAGCAAATATTTATTAAATACAGGTTGAGCATCCCAAATCCAAAAATCTGAAATCTGAAATCTTTCAAAATCCAAAACTTTTTGAGAACCAACATGATGGCCCAAGAAATGCTCATTGGAGCATTTCAGATTTCACATTTTTGGATTTGGGATGCTCAACCAATATAATACAAATATTCCAAAATCTGAAAAAATCCTAAATCTGAAACACTTCTTGTCCCAAGCATTTCCAATGAAAAGTAACTCAATCTGTACTTACCTTCTGCCAGGTACTAACCTGAGCATCAACTGTTTGCAGCAGTGTGTGAGACAAAAGTCCTGCCCTCATGAAGCTTGTACTCTAGTGGGATCACTTAGCCAATAGACAAAATAAACAGGCAAAGTATATACTGTGGTCGCTAGTGATAAGCTCTCTGGAGAGAAATACATCTGAAAGGGAGTTAAGAGAGTACTGGGAAGGAGGAGGTTTGATTTTAAATACGATGGTCAGGAAAGAACTCACCGAGTAAAGACCAGAGGACGGGAAAGAGTGAGCCCACCCTGATAACTGGGAAGAATGTTCCAGCAAGACCCATGTTAGCAAGGTTCCATCCAAGGCAGAAGCATGCCCAACATGTCATCTGCAGCAAGAGGGCTACTGTGCTGGAGCAGATTAAGGCAAGAAGCAGAAGGGAGTGGAAGAGCAGATCATGGAGGGCCCTGTAGACCCTTGCAAGGGCTCTGGCTTTTACTCAGCAAGGGAAGAGGAGCTACTGGAGGGTTCTGTGCAGAGCGGGGACATGGTCTGATTTACACTGCCAGGATCATAAGGATGTTCTGAAGTGGGGTAATGATGCAATCAGGGAGAGACTGCACTAACTCAGGCAAGAGATGGTGGTGGCTTAGACCAGGGTGCAGCGCTGGAGGTCAGGATTGGTAGGCAGATTCTGGATAAATGTTGAATATAGAGCCAAAGGAGCTACTGATGAGTTAAATGTGGGGTGTAAGACAAAATGGGAAGACTGGTTCCAAGACTTGGTAGCTAGAACATCTAATAATGATATAAGAGGTATGAAAAATGATGGACAGGTAGATGATGTAATAGCCATCAATAAAATGAGGACCAGGTGGGAGAGAGCAGATGGCTTTGAGCAGGAAAAGAATCACGGGGAGGAGCCGTGTGTTTGGAAAGGGAGCATCCCAGCACTTAGCAGTTCTGAGCAGTGTCTAGCACATGGCAGGCCCTCAATAAAGGTTTGTAGAATGAAAAGGAGTACAGTTACAGAAATAAAAATTAAGCTTTAAAAACATCAGCTTGAGGGAAAACAATTTTCACAGGAGAAGAACAGCAGACAAAAGGAAAATGAACCAAAACAGAACAGACTCAGACTGAAGAGCTCCCTCCACACCCGAATCTCTACCTGCCCTGCACCTTCAGCTAGCCCATGGGGTGGTAGTGGGAATTCCTATTTTCATCCCCTATGGCAAAGTAGCCCCTGTCATAATAACTTCCTAAAAGGAGCAACAACACTAAATTTGGGCTCAATTCCAGAAGAAATAGCCCCAAGAGAAGATGATCAAGTTCTCAGGGCCTTAGTAATAGACCTACTGCAGTGCTAATAGACATTAAGTTGTAGTTTCTCAGAGCTAAGTCGTTGGTCCTCTTCTCTGTCTATGCCTTCTTCAAGACTAAGGGACATCAGTCCATCTCATGATTCAAAACACCATTAATAAATTAATGTTTCTCAAGTGTATATCTCTTGCTCTGACCCAGCTCCAGACTCAGATGTCCAGCTACTTACTTCTTATGACATCTCTAACTGGGCTATCTCATAGACATCAATTAGGCCACTCCAATTTAACATGCCTCCAGCTCAACTCTTGACCTTGCTCAACCATCCTGCCCCTTCTCTCGGCTCCCCTATCTTGGTAGATGGCACCGCTATTAACAGATTAATGTAGCTGAAGAGCCCTCCTTGATCTTCCCATCTCTCCTACCCCACATTCAACCCATTAACAAGTCCTGCCAGCTCCACCTTCAAAACACATCCCAATCTAATCACTGCTCAGCCCCACCAGCAGAGCCATTCCAGGCTGCACCACCACTGCCAGCTGCCCGCCTCCACTCTTGCCCTGCCATGGCCAGTTCTCCATACAGCAGGTAGAGTGATCTTTCAGCATATATCAGATCTTCTACCTCATCTGTTCAAAGCACCTCAAAGACTTCCCATCACACTCGGAGTAAAATCCAAACTCCTAATCACAGTCAACGAGGCCCAACCTGATCTGGCCCTGACCCTCTCTCTGACCTCTTGCCCCTCAGAGTGCTCAAGCCTCCCTGGCCTGTTGGACACTCCCTGAACCTGCCAAGCAACCACTTTGGGTCCCTGCACTTGCTGGCTCTCCATCTGGAATGCTCTTCCACAGATATCCCAGGGCTTTCCCTCCCACTTCTGCAGATTTCTGCTCAGATACCACCTCCTTCCCAGACCACCTCATCTGAAGCATACTGCCTCCCTGCAACACTCTCTGCCCCTTCCTTTGCTTTGTCTTCATATGACTCATCACTACCTGACAGTATACACTTATTTTTTAAATTGTTTAATAGATATCATCACACTATAATACGAATTCCAGGTGGACTGATTTTGCTTGTTCTTCACTATATCCCTGACTCCTAGCACAATGCCTAGCTATAATCGGTGCTCAACAAATATTTGTTGAATTAAAAAAATGCAATTGGAAATACCAACAAATTTGCCTCATTTAACATAGGCTTTGTGTTTTCACTGAGCATAAGAATATTCCCTGCTGATAGCTTGATCCTATATCATTCACTAATTTATTACTCCATCCATCCAGTAAATCACCAGATTTTTTACTAAGCACCTACTACATGCCACACGATATGCAAGGTTCTGGCAATAGTCATGAAATAGTAGACATCCCTGCACCTACAGAGTTTACAGTGTAGTTAACAGAGCAGAAACTTAATAAATGGTCACACAAATACACACACAAGAGGTGATAAGTGCTATGAAGGAAATAAGATTGTGATTTAAAAAATTATACCAAAAGCACTCAATTTATATTAGGATTAGGAGAGTGCTCTCTAAGGAAGTAACAATTAAGATGAAGCTTGAGGGATCAGTAGGCATTGGCCAGATGAAGAATACAAAGACATGGAATCAACCTAAATGCCCGTCAATGATAGACTGGATAAAGCAAATGTGGTACATATACACCATGGAATACTCTGCAGCCATAAAAAGGAATGAGATCATGTCCTTTGCAGAGACATGGATGGAGCTGGAGGCTGTTATCCTTAGCAAACTAACACAAGAACGGAAAACCAAATGCCCCATGTTCTCACTTATAAGTGGGAGCTAAATGATGAGAACACATGGACACATGGGAGGGGGGAACAACACACACTGGGGCCTATCGGAGGGCAAGAGTGGGGAGGGGGGAGAGGCTCAGGAAGAATAGCTAGTGGATGCTGGGCTTGGTATCTGGGTGATGGGATGAACTGTGTAGCAAATCACCATGGCATACGTTTACCTATGTAACAAACCTGCATGCACATCCTGCACATATACCCCTGAACTTAAAACAAAATTTAGAAATTTAAAAAAAAAAAAATGGCAGAAACAGTGTGGCCACAGCCAGGAAGCAGGAAAGAGCCTAGACGGCTAGCAGTCATGGTGAAGGGAACACAGTCAATGGAGGAGGCAAGGGCGTGAAGTAAGACAGAAGAGCAGTCCAGGGACAGATTATCAGGGCTATGTGGGCCACAGTAAAAGACCAAAGGAGGCATGAAAGGGATGAACTCTAGTTCATTAGACTAATTCCCACATTTGAGCCCTGGGGGCACTGAACAAGGACAGTGTCAGACAAAAAGATGTACAGATAAGTCATTGATAATTTCAAGTAATGAGATGATTTCCCTGATAGAAGGAACTCTGTAGTCATTAATGGACACTCAGTCCTTTATCACTCACCCCCAATCTCTTCCCCAGTCTCATCTCCAGGCATTTTCCACCCCAACTCCTTTATTGTGGCCACTTCCTCAACACGGCACACAAATGTCATACCTCCACCACGCTTCTGCCCAGGTCCTGATCTCCTTCTCCCCCTGGTGAAATTCTATGTCTACAAGGTTTCTCTATGAAGCCTTTCTTGGCTACCTCAGAGAGAACACCGCCACTGCCTTTATACCCCACAGCAATGGGTCCATAATGCTCAAAGGGACCATAACACTTCCTCAAGGCATCCACTGAACACAAGCATGTCTTGTCTCCCTGAGGGCAGGAGCAAAAGCTCTTCCACCATCCAATGCCTAACACGGGCCCTGGTAATCGGTCGGCACTCCAATGTTTGGTATGTCCGTTAAGTTGAAGTGAATTGCCGAAATCATTCATCCATCTCCTCTCACGTCCTCCTCTAACAGGGAGTAGTGGGGACAGCCTGGGCTTTTCTAGCTCACAAGACAAGGTTCCAGTTGGGCTTTCTACCTTAACAGCTGTATGACCTTGGGAGGATCCTTTAACCTCTGTAAGCCTTAAGCGCCTGATATAGTTTGGCTGTGTCCCCACCCAAATCTCATCTTGAATTGTAACTCCCACAGTTCCCACGTGTCGTGGGAGGAAGCCGGTGGGAGGTGATTGAATTATGGGGGCAGGTCTTTCCTGGGCTGTTCTCGTGACAGTGAATGAGTCTCACAAGATCTGATTACTTAAAAAATGGGAGTTTTTCTGTACAAGCTCTTATTTTGCCTGCTGCCATCTGCATAAAATGTGACTTGCTCCTCCATGCCTTCCGCCATGATTGTGAGGCCTCCCCAGCCATGTGGAACTGTAAGTCAAATTAAACCTCTTCCATTTGTAAATTGCCCAGTCTCAGGTATGTCTTTATAGCAGCATGAAAACGGACTAATACAGTGCCTCATTTATCAAATGAGGACCGATCCATCACCTTCGAGGCAGTCACACGTGTAGAGTGCCCAGCACTGTGCCTGGGCACACAGTAGGTGTAAGAGGAATGCTGATGGTACGTTTATCCACGTTTCCTGTCTTTCATCTGTATTTTCGGTATTATTTAACATTCAAAGAGATCCCAACGAAGTGTGTTTTGTCCTGGGAGAGGAGAGGTAACACAATGCGAAACACAAAAAATATACATGGATAGAAGAGGCTTCACTCCCTGGTGAAGAAGAGGAAGGGGCAGACTGAAGCCATTGTAAACAAGATGACTTTGACAATAATAAGGGAGCCCCTTTCTCCTCTCAAATCCACCTCTGCTCACTACAGAACTGACCATGATGGCAAAAGCTACAGAGGGTCCAAGTCCCATGGAGGTGATAAACTCCTCTGAGTGCCAGGGTGGGTCTCATAAAAGAGATTGGTTGCCACAGCAGTCGAGAACATGCAAGCTCTTCCAAATTAGAACAGAAATTTAATTAAACCAGGAAAGGAATGAGAGATAAGGAGATGATTAAGGCCCCATGATATCTCTTTCCTTCAAAGGGAGGGGAGGAGGCAGGGCAGAGCTAGAATTCACCCCCACTTGCAATCTGCACCCATTCTCCCTGCCCTCAGCCCCTTCTCCTCCACATCCCTATTTCTGCTCCTCCTGAGCATCTCCTTCCTCCTTTTTTGGACACCTAGGCCCCTACCCCAAAACCAGCCCTGTGCAAAGCTCTCCCTAAGGACATATGTACTGCTGACTCACTCTCCCAGCTTCTAACAATGTTGGAAACTTTTAATTCCCCAGTTATTATCTTTTCTTGTTCTTTCTACTTTATCTTGCTTCGTGTTATGAATTATGTACAGTACTACAGTACTTCTGGTACTCAAGAAACACCCTTTATCAAGTCTGTACAAAAGAGAATTCACGAGTGATCTGGATGGACCAAGAGTCTCTTGGCAAAGAGCTCCCTGGGCCTGCAGGGCATCTGAGCTTAAATATGTGTGTGTACACACACACACACACACACACACACACACACACACACACGTACATGGTGGGTGGAAGACTACTCTCTGGAGATGAGACTCCCTGAAACCTCATTTGGACAGGGTGACGATAAAATGCCCCAACGACGTTCTTCCTTGTACACCTGCCCTCTATTAGGCTGCACAAGTCCGACGCAGGTGGAGGGGGCACGTGACCGTGACAAGCAGGCAAAGAAGTGGGGAGCTACCCTTCCAGGTGCGGTAGGTAACTGTAGGCTTTGTGCAATCTGCACTCCTAGGCTGTGCCTTAGTTTTTTATTTATAAATTGTAAAAGCAAGATATGTCCACAGGAGGCTGCTTCCCAAAAGCCTGAGACAGAAAGCTCTTCAAGATCCCCCAGCAAAGGGGATCTCTGTCTGTGAGCCACAGCACACCATGCCTTCCACTACCAAGGGGAGGAAAATAAGCCACGTTGTGTTTCTTTTGGCCTCTTTCTCTCAATCTCCCCGGCCCAATCTCCCATCTTTCTCCCTCCTCACCGCCCACTTCTCCACTTGCTAAAGCACCCAAGATCCAGTTTAAATAACCTACTTTGCAGTTTATTTAGCTCTAAATGGAAGTCGTAAGACAAATGCAATAAATAACCTGGATATAAAAGAGAGGTCCATACCTTCCTTTTCGCTCTGTCACCCACATGCACACACAGACTAAACACTGGCAATTACTCTCTGTGGTCACCTTCCCAGGCATGGTGTGCTGATAGGTACAGCTGCCTATAGTAGCGCCAAGTGGCAGGCAGGCAAGTTTAGTGTTCCTGGGTGGACTGAGGTCCTACAGCGTGGACCAAGGCTCCTGGCTCAATGAGGCAATGGAATCTGCAGTCCCAGGAGCCCTGGATACCCTCGCCTGTGGGGAGTGTTATCTTGGTGACCTGGCCAGCCACGGATGCCTCTCTGCTATTCCTCCCCAGCTTGGGCAGGTGGCATGATCCCTGAGGGACTGTCACACCATTCCAGTGCAATCTGCCAAGGAAAAAGAACCTGTCACAGAGAGAGGAGAGTGGGAGACCCGGGAAGGGGAGGATGGTGGAGAGATACAGGCCTGCTGAAAACACTAGGAGAAAGGGAAGCTTGTGACAGAGATGTGGCAGCCTTGCTGACTACGCCAGCCCCGCCTGTGCCTGGGGAACATGTGCTGCCAAGAGCTTAAATGTGTGCAGGGGACGAGGGAGGTGTGATCACCTGGGTGTGCATGTGCCTGCTGCCCTTTGGGCCTGCCTTTCCTTCCAAATTGTTAAGGCAGCTGGTGGCAGCCACGAGAAGTACCTTCAGAGGCAGTGGGGGACACGCCTTGATCATTCATTCAAGGATGGCATCATAGAGACCCCTGGGGAAGGAATCAAGCTCCACACTCCCTTTCTTTTCTGCTTCACCTAGAAATCTGATGTTTTTATACAAACTACTCAGGCAGTGGCAGCTTTGTTTCATATCAAGAAAACACTTGAAAAGGTCATGATATCAGGATGCTTTGAGCACAAAGGAAAGAGAAATATCCTAACAATATTTTGAATATACGTTCTACCTTTCTTCTGAGGGATACCATTGACTGTATCTGTCAAAACATGTTTAAAAATGATACGTGAAAAACCTGTATTGTAAATCTCAATAATAGAAATCTTCCTAACATGAATGTTCATAACTTTAAAGGATTTTTATAATACCTTAAATTCGTAAGGCACATCTTGATGCACAAAGCACTCTCACACATACATTTTTCTTTAATTCTTACAGCCATTGTATGCACTAAGTACTGAATTGGTGTTCCTAATTAATAGAAGTTGAAAATGAGTCTCACTGAGGTCACGTGACTTGCCTAATACCATGGCAGAGTCAGGAAGAATGGATAAGAAACAAAACTTGCAGCCAGGTGCGGTGGCTCATGTCTGTAATCCCAGCACTTTGGGAGGCCATGGCAGGTGGATCACTTGCAGTCAGGAGTTCAAGACCAGTCTGGCCAACATGGCGAAACCCCGTCTCTATTAAAATACAAAAATTAGTCTGGCATGGTAGCAGGGGCCTGTGATCCTAGCTACTCAGGAGGCTAAGGCACAAGAATCACTTGAACCTGGGAGGTGGAGGTTGCAGTAAGCCAAGATCACGCCACTGCACTCCAGCCTAGGTGAAACACTTGGCCCAAATACAGGTCTTCTGAATATAACCCAATGCCTGATACTACTTTATTCTTAGAAATGGCATTCACTATACCAGCCTATGTGGTTTTCTAAAATACTCATTCTTCAATGACAGGTTACATAAATGACTACCAGTTTCTCTTAAAATTAATATAAAAATCTCAGTATCACTAGAATGGAAAAGAAAACTCAACCTGCTAATAGCAATATTATGCATTTGCAAGTAAATTATATAATTATATTAATATATTTACCTATTATATCTATTACATAGATAAAATATATATCAGCATAGATTTTTAGCCTTCACAGATCACAAAATTTTCACAAAACAAAGACAAAAATATCTATGCTCGCAATGATGTTCTTAACTTTTTATTTTGCCAGGAAAGGACACTAACATTTTCAATGTTTAAATCCAGTTTCAAGTTGAACAAATTTAGTTTCATGAAAAACTACATTGCCATTATTTTTCCATTATGCTATTCTGGTATAGACTCTCTCATGGGCTCAGCCCCAGCTCATTCAGGAACACTGCCACAGATGAATGTCAGGTCTACCCTAACACTTGCAAAGGTTAAGATGTCCTTGGCCAGGCATGGTAGCTCACACCTGTAATCCCAGCACTTTGGGAGGCTGAGGCGGGGGGATCACGAGGTCAGGAGTTCGAAACCAGCCTGGCCAATATGGTGAAACCCCGTCTCTACTAAAAATACAAAAATTAGCTGGGTGTGGTGGTGGGTGCCTGTAGTCCCAGCTACTCAGAAGGCTGAGGCAGAAGAATCGCTTGAACCCGAGCGGAGGAGGTTGCAGTGAACCGAGATCATGCCACTGCACTCCAGCCTGGGCGACAGAGCAAGACTCCACCTCAAAAAGAAAAAAAGTTCTGAAACATGTTTGAATTTGGAAGCAACTGCAACATAGGTTTCACCAGTTATTCACAGTTTATGCAAGTTAGCAAGAACTATTAAAGTGCCACTTTTGCACCAAATATAGGTATGTTTTTCAATATGTACAAAATATAAATACTGTATTTCTAACCAAGATCACAGGACCTGAGCACGCTCACAACACAGAACAAACACAGCAAACTGATGCTAAGAGACAGAAAATATGTTAGGATAATTTGTCTTACATGCTCCCGAAGCAACCAGACACCCACTCTGCATAAGCACAAAAAAACTGCTAACTTAGCAAAATTGAGTTTGTAAGTCCACAGCTCACAGCAGCAAAAAGTCATAAAAATAGTACACTCATATAGTGAGGGCTGAACGTCTTTTTCAAAGCACTTTCGTATACTTTTTCTCATGTAATTGCTATAAAACTTTCAAGGTAGAAACAGCAGGCAGCATTACCCCCATATTACTGATGAAAAGACTGATGCACATTTATTTATTCATCTATTCAATACTTACAAAGAGGAGAACAGTGTTTTGCCTGCAATCATGGGGCTTATGGCAGGAGGGGATCAAGTGACTGTTCCCCTATCCCCAGTGAAGATATCAAAGCCCAAGCTTTGATGTGAACAAAAGGTTAAAAAAAATGTACCTTGTAAAAGGTCTAAGTCGAAGGTGGATTCACTAACAGAATATGACTCAAGAAACAAAAGTGTGTTTGTGTGTGTGTGTGTGCATGCATGGGAGAGTTGGGGAAAGAAGGAACAAGGGAGTCTTCACTTTAGTGGCTGTCCTTGGTCAAGCATCATCACCAAAGACAGGGCATGACATTTTTCTTCACTCTCTTCCCAAGTCCCCAGCACCCCTCAGATTGCCTAGGTATGGGTCTCTTTAAGAGCATTTCAAAGTCAGGTTCCAAGCTGAGGAGGCCAGCTGTGTCACAGAAATAAACTGCTAATTACACGCAAACCCTCTGTAAACACTGAAATAAATTACCTTTCCCCTACTTTTCATTGTTTCCCCACCCCCCACCCCCCACCGGTCACTGGAGGAGGGAGCTGAGCTGTAGTGAGGCAGGACAAGCAGAGGCTGCAGCAGCCATAGTCCCTGCGGACAGCAGCTCACTCTGAGAGCAGAACCTGTGCTGCATCTCCCGACAGCCTGGCAGTCTGGAAGCCATGGCATCTTTGGTGGGTTCCGACAGCCACTCTGTGAAATCAATCCATCAGTGGATATTTACCGAATACTTAGCCATGTCTAGGGGACTGGGGTTGATGCCAGGAGACAGAACATTTAATAAGGAAAAGGGATGTAAACACCTAGAAGACGATGAATGATACAGGAGAATCTGGGAAGGAGTGCTAATAACATTTAGGTCTGGGGGAGAAGGCTCAGGGAAGCATCTCCTCTCTTTTGAATTTCTCAGGGATAGTCAGAGAAGGCTCTGTGGAGAAGGCGACATCAGAGTTTTGGAGGTAATTCCAAGAGTGTACACTCAAGGTTGGCAATGATGCAAATGGAAAGTGTAAAGTGGCTAGACTGAGAGACAGGAAGGACCAGTCTGAGAGGAGCAGGTTTATACAGTGGGCCAATGGAAGAAGATGCTTTGTCTATCCTAGATGGTTTTCAAAACTTTTTAACTAATAATTTCTCACATGAGTGCTATGTGCCAGACATGTGTCAAAGGCTTTATCCATGTTACCTTACTTCTTACTACAACTCAGTGAGGTGGGTACCATAATTATCCTCACATTACTGATAGAAAAATAAAGGCACAGAGATTAAGTAAGTTGCCAAAGTCACATAGATAGTAAAGTAAGACCAGGATTCCTAACCACTATGTTATAGTACCTTTGGCATCAGAAATCACTTTTTTCAAATAAAACTTTTATCAGAACATCCATGCATAAAACTTACAAAAATGAGACATCTTCTGGCATAAATATATTGTATATATTTAATATAAATATATTCATAATAAAGAACATTTATTCAATATCACTCAAAACATGAGGTTGTTTTCTGGAAGATAAAAATTTGAAACCAGGGTTATAGATGACTATTGCAGTCTTGAATCAGCTTTGGCATCCAGCTTATTTTTGTATTTTATTTTAGTTTCACAGTATTGAGAAAATCTTGAATCATACAGAAAGGTAATAGTGTGATCACTTACATCACTTTATAAAAGCAAACAAGCTGGGGCCTGATTCTTTTAAAAAGACTAACACAGAACTAGAAGCTTTCTAATCAATACCACATTTACACAAAGCTCAAATAAATGCAGAGATAGCAAAGGGAGATTGACTCCAAGGTCTCCACAAAGAAAAGAATTAAGCCAGTGTGACTGTGGGTGGTCTTCAAGTGTGAAAATTTGTATAACACATGGATTACATGTGGCTTTTAAAATCAGTTTTATTCCTTCATTTTCTATTTCCTCAATTCTACAATATACCTTTCTTTACAGTGGAAGGTTTTGTAACTCAGAATATATGAATACATAATGCATAGAAAGCAGTAGCTTTTCCCCCAACATTTAATAATGCTTAAATTTAATAACAGAATTATTCAATTTTTGATAGAGTATATAATCAATGGCATCTTAGATTCAAGAAAATGTGGTAGTTAAAAGATATATTTTAAAAACAAAACTTGCAACAAAATTTATGGATGCCATCAAAGCCCATCCACAGATACCAGCTGACAAGTCCTGGGTTCGGAGTGAAGGCCATGGCTTGGGGATGGTGAGTGGGGAGAGTGGGAGGGAGGGGTGGGAGCACCTGCAAGGCACCCTCAGGAGAACAGAAATTCAAGTGGTCCTCTCTGACTATCACAGGTGCTGTGACCCACCCACCAGCTCCTGGGGTGAGGAAGACTGCACACTGCAAGGAAGGGCCCCGCCTTGGGTCACTGCTTCTCAAGAAAAGGGGCACTAGGAGAAGCTGAGGGGACAAAAGTCAGAAGATATCCCAGGTCCTCTGGCATTGGTCCTGTCACTGTGGCTTCTTTATCTGATTTGAGTGTTGTGATTTCCCAAAACATCAAAGATATTCCAGTGCAGATGATAAACCAAAGCTGTACTCATCAGTCAAATACAATATATATATATATATATATTTTTTTTTTTTTTTTGTAATTGACTCCACTACTCTGCTGCCTCATCAGTGCACAAAATCCTGTTTCCTCTTGTGGACAGACAATGGGGCTCAAGGTGGAAGGCAGTGAAGAGTGGAGGTTCTCAGGAATCCCTTTTAAAAGAGCTCTCCAGAAGTGTAAATGGGGCCCCTAGTACCTGGCACCTTAAAGGAGAAAAGATCCTGTTCAATCCTTCCCTCTCTTTGGGAGGGAACTGAGGTGTAATTGAGGGCACACATGTCAATCAACAGGGAAAGCTGCAGCTGAAGCTTCGCTGTGGCCAAACAGCTGACATCTAACTGCAACATAGGGAACTGGAGGCAGGCAAAGGTCTGTAAATCTACGCATATTGTTTTCAACAGGCATGGAATGAGGACCAGCTAAGGAGAGGATGGTTAAGGGAAAGTTAGTACATCCAACCCTTCCCTCCCACCAAAAGGGTTGGGCAAACTAACTTTCAAGTCAGTTTCTGAGCCTTGTCCCTAAAGGAAGGTAAAAATATAAAGTAGCATCTAAGCACCCAGTGGGTAAATGATGCCTTTGATGTGTTATCAAGAGCTCTGACATCTTTGTCCAACAGGCTACAATCCAGTATCATGGGCTCCCCTTGAGTTCACCAGCTTTCACATTTCTACATGGGCTGTCCAGAAGCTCACTTTATTTTATTTTCTTTTTAGAGATGGAGTCTCACTATGTTGCCCAGGCTGACCTATGATTCATAGGTCAATCATAGCACACTGCAGCCTTGAACTCCTGGACTCAAGAGATCCTCCTGCCTCAGCCTTCCAGGTAGCTGGGACTACAGGTGTGAGCCACCAAGCCAGGCTCAGCAGTTCACTTTAAATTATCCACTCTCTCCTCAATCCTCCCAGAGATCTCTGCTTGTATATCTCCCAATTATTCGCTATATTTAGTTTGCCCTATTGTTACAAGTATATGTATGTACCCATGCACCTGACTTATTGCCCCTTCTTGACCTAAGTCCATAAATTAACTACTTCCTGAGAGCCCACTGTGTGTCAATCACTTTATGTTAGGCAAACATTGAATAACGCATGACCTCATGGAAATTCACATAGTAGGCTTGCAGCCTGAAGGCAGAAGTGTGCCTTTTTCTTCAGTACTCTCCCATTTATGTGCCATGTCACCCTCTTACTGCCTGGCAATTACATTGATGTAGAACAGTGGTTCTCAAACTTCAGCGTGGCCTCAGAATCACATGGGAGCTTGCTGAAAATACAGATTCCTTCCTCCTACCTCTAGAGATGCTGGCCCACCAGATCTGGGGCAGGGCCCGGGAATCTGCAATTACAATAATTACCCCTGGATGATTCCAAGATGGACCACACTCTGAAGGGCATGAAAAAAATTGCTCATAAGTCTTCGAGTGAATAATGAATTGAGGAACAGTGAATAAAGACTTCTTGGCTTTCCTAGTGTGCCATATACTGGCACTGTGCCATCCCCACCTGGCTGAGATTCTGTCAGCATTTGGATTCCAGAGTGAAAAGTACCTGAAACAGCCATTGAGTCACCAACGCACCACCTCCAGCTAATTTCTGCCCCTCAGTCCTAAGGCCTGGTGTTGCCTGAGAACAGGAAGATCATAGCCCAAAGCTGCATGACACATCAGGCACCTGAGGCCTTTGGCCATGGATTAGAAATTAAACCGCATATTAGAGTAAATGAAACAAAAAGGAAAGGAGCCCTGAGCCAGCCTAATGGCTATGCACAGACAAAAGACTAGGAGACTGGCCTGGTTCGTGGTGTGAAATTCAGGCACCAGATCAGGAGGCACACTTAGCACATTTGGAATAAATCCCAAACATGATGGCATCCTGGTTTGACAAACCAAGACAGAAATGCAATGAGTAGGAATAACTTCAGGGTGGAGACTGCTATGGATGGGAAAATAGTTAAGTGTGAGAAAGAAAGAAAACGCCGGTTTCTTCCCAGGGAGGGAGCGGTGGGGAGAAGGCTGTGGACCACAGGCTCCCAGCCCAGCAGACAGGGGCCAAGAAGAAGGCACTGTAGGGTTTAGAGAGGACAAGTATTAACAGAACAGGCTGCCAAAGTCAGCATCATAAGCTGCAACGTTAAGTGTGTTTAAAAAAAGAGACAGACACTCTGAGGAGGAAACCAAGATGACAGAGTACAATGCTAGTGAGGTAGGTGGGCGGGCCTGGTGGGTTTCAGTCCCCAAATGTTCCCCAAGTTCACATTCTGAATTGAGCTGAAACAGGACCAGACACCCTGGGAGTGGTGCCACAGAGGGCCCAGCGGTGCGCCGGCGCCCAGAGTCACAGCTTACTCTGCACATGTGCGGCACATGCACACACTCACTCTCCTTCCACTGGGGGCAGTGCGAGCATCAAATTAGAAATCAGAACATTTGGTTTCAAAACCCACTCCCTACTTCTATGCAGTGAGACAGGTTTCTCAACTTACTCCACAGACTGAATTTGTCCAGCAGATTCAAGAGTACATTTCTTTCTTTCTTTCTTTCTTTTTTTCTTGAGACGGAGTCTCGCTCTTTCACCCAGGCCGGACTGCAGTGGCGCTATCTCGGCTCACTGCAAGCTCCACCTCCCGGGTTCACACCATTCTCCTGCCTCAGCCTCCTGAGTAGCTGGGACTACAGGCGCCCGCCACTGCGCCCGGCTATTTTTTTATATTTTTAGTAGAGACGGGGTTTCACCGTGTTAGCCAGGATGGTCTCGATCTCCTGACCTAGTGATCCGCCCGCCTCGGCCTCCCAAAGTGCTGGGATTACAGGAGTGAGCCACCGCGCCCGGCCCTAAGAGTCACATTTTAAAAACGGTCTATAATCCACGTTCTCTCCTCCCTTTTCACGGTTTCTCCGCCACCTCTTTGCTCTTTATCCAGCTCAAATTCCATGGCTATGTTATAGTCACTCTCTTGATCTTCTCTCATTTTATTGTGCTCAACTGGCAAAACTATTCTCATAAAAGCCAAATCTCCACCTACTTCCCATATTCAGTGGCTGAATGTGACCAGAGGAAAACACACCAGGCTCACTGGTCTCACTTGAACTTCATCACAACTAACTCCAAGTGAGTCCATAAAGCTGCCCAGCAACCCAATGCATTTCCTACTCCACTTACTCCCTCAGTCTTCTGGAAAACTATGTTATACCTTCTCAAACTTTCAACATTTTCCTCCTTCCACCCTCTGCTGATGACCTTACTTCCTCTTTCATTGAGAAAATAGAAGCAATAGGAAGAGAATTTCTACAAGATTCCAACACCACATCTACCCACGTACCAGCCTTTGCAGCCACTTGTTCTTCCTCTACTCCTAGTACTATGAATGGATGATTAGAGCTCCTATCTAAGCCAATCCCTACATCTGTGGTCTAGACCTCCCCACACCACACACACACACCTGTTCAAGGAAATCACTCCACCAATTCTCCTCCCTCTCCTTCATCAACAATAATTTTTATCTCAAATGGATCATTCCCATCAGCATGTAAGTGGTATTTCTTCCACGCTGTTTCCATTGCTCTCTGAAATCCTTCCTACTCCACTCAAACTGCTCCTGGCATTCAGTGGTTCTTAGCCCTCACCTTCCTTGACCCATCTGAAGCATTTGATTCAAATGAGCAAAGCATATAGATAAGAGTTTTTGAAAGAGTAAATATGAATGTGAATTCAAGAGAATCTGTGGATGAATTTATACAAATGACCAAGAAATTATTTGCAAGATACTCTAGTAATAACCTTTTTTAACTGAATAATCATATGATAGGAAAAACACTTCTTCAGAGAACTGACTTGATCATCCTCTACTTTATCCCTCTGCAGCGCGCTCTTCACTTGGCCCCAGGACACCAGGTTTCTAATTTTCCTCTCACCTCCCTACTGCTCCTTCTCAGTCTTCTTTGCTGATAACCGTTTTCCTCTTCACCTTAACATCAGAACTCAGTCCTGGAATCTCCTCTCTTCCCTGTCTATATTCACTTCCTTGGTGGTTTTGGCCAGTCTCAATACTTTACCATCTATACACTGAAAACTCCCAAATTTATTTCTCCAGCCAAGCCTTCTACCATGAACTCATTTATTCACCCCCTTCCCTATACTACTGTATCAAATGAGCATGGCAAATTTAACACATCCAAACTCAATTCTCCTCTTCCTCCCAACATACTTTACCTGTGTTCTTCCCCAGCTTAGTTAATGGCAACTCCACTCTTCTTGCTGCTTTCTCCCAAACTCATATTCAATCCATCGAAGAATCCCATGAGCTCTACTTAAAAATATATGCAGAATCCAACCACTTTTCACCTCCTCCGCTGCTACCTCCCTGGCCCAAGCCTCTATCATTTTTTTTATATCCTTGCTATAACCTTGATTTGAATCCCTGTTTCTACTTTTGCTCTACCAAAGGAGGTGGAGTGATCCTTTTTCAAACACAAGTCAGGTCATGTCACTCCTTTCCTCAAAACCCTCCATTGCTTTCCCATCTCACTCAGAGTAAAAACCAGAGTCTGTATAATGGCCTTCAGGGCTCCACATGATCTGACTGACTATTCCATCTCCTACTTTCCGCCTCACTCACTGCAGTTCAACCCACTGTGCTCTTTGCTGTTCTTCAAATACACCCAGCCCGTCCCCATCTCAGGATCTCTGCACTTGCTGGCCCAGCTATCTGGGACTCAGGAGACTCTTCCCCCAGATAACCACATGGCCCACTCCCTCACCCACCCACTTCAAGTCTTTGTTCGAATGCCATCTTCTCAATGTGGTCCTCCTGACATCTCCATTTAAAATTGCAACCAAGTTCTCTTTTTCCCCACATTTTTTTTCTCCACAGCATCTATCACTATCTGATATACCATATGTTTTCCTTATGTTCTATATGCATTTTCCCACTAGAATATAAGTTCCATGAGGGCCGGGACTTTCCTATGTTTTACTCTCTACTGTATCACCAACATCTAGAACAGTATTTGGCACATAGTAGCCACTTAAAAATTATTTGGTGAATGAATGAGTTAGTGAATGAATCTATACTTATGTATGAATGTAAACAGAGGGGAAAAGCCTTTACTATGAGTTCAGGAAATAGTTTCCCTCTCCCTCTACTCTCTCCTCTCCATGAAAAGCCTGACAAGCAAGGTGTTCTGCCAATTAAAAAGAAGTTATCATAGCTCCTCACTAAGCACATACACCTCACCTCCCAGCCGTCATGGGAAAAAGAAAGTAACTTCCAAGATCCACTTACCAATCCCTCTATGGATAAGTAACAGATGAACAGATACTAGTATCCAATTCCAAGCATCACCTATATTACAGGATCCCAGACTCATGCAAGGACATAAGAACAGGGCAGTCCAGATGGGGTTGTTTGAGGCAGGGGGGGGGACCAGTTTATTCCAGAGCATGAGTGATCCTGGATACCAATTACAATTACAGTAACACTTACAGTATCTACAATACCAGTCACAATTACAGTGTCTACAAATTTTAGGAACTATACACCTGATCCTAGGTCAGTTGGTTCATCTTATCACTCTAGCACCATAAGATAATCATAGACTCCTGCCACCTATTTGTCAAATTAGTTTTGAGTAGTTCTACTATAATGTGGAGGAGGTGGTAGGAAAAGACTGAAGCAAAGATGGAAGCCACATTCCCTAGTCTCATGGATCTCAGAACCCAAAGCATTCTCTGTAGATACCACAAAATGAGAGGAACTTCATAAAGAGAATGGTAGTTTTTCATCAACTGCGAGATGGATGTTATGCCTCACCATGCTCATAGAGGAACATAAAGCAAAATCTCAATGAGACAGAAAGTGAATAGCTGTTAACCATTTAATAAATCCTGACTATATGCAGCTGTGAAAAGGCAACTTAAAAGACAGCCACAGTCATTGTTTATAGACCAAAAGATTTCTGAGGAGTTGGGAAGACTCTCAGAAAGCATCCAGACTTTCAGTTGCCTCTTCTTGCCAAAAGCCAATGAAGTCCATAAAACCCCTTCCACCATAGCAGCTTGGAGCATCTTAAGTAGTCACAACAGATGCGGAAAGCATACCTGCAAAGCTGCAGAAACAGTACACCTCCAAGAAATTTCTGCCTCTACATGAGTTTATCAACAGTAAGTAAGAAGAGAAATAACTCCAACTACAGAAATACAAATGAAACATACTAGACTTCAGGAGCAAAGATGTGAGTAACTGCAGACAGGGACTGGGAACCTCTGCAATCTGGGAATTAGTCCTGATACAATAAAAGAGCTAACTGAATCAGCAGATAACATAAAACTATAATGACAAAGAGAAATAAGACTCAGATCAGAATCAGAAGAAAGTCACTTCTCTCAGCCACCTCCAGCCCAGGTGAAGAGGGTTAGCGAGCCACAGTAACATTTGTTGAATGAAGAGCATTGATCAGAAGGAGAACACATTGTACTGTGGAAGACATACTTATCAGGTTACGAGAAATAAGTAAAGAAGAGAGTTTGCAAGTCGAGGAGACCTTTGGGACAGACAGTGCAAACAGGTAGCAATAGCCAGAACTGTCGACAGTTTTGCATTCCTTCCACCAGAGGAGGGAGGGAAGCCAAGAATATAGTTGGAGTTTGACCAAGCAGTTGACATTTGGATAGAGACTAAATGAAGCACAGGTGACTCCAGGTTGCCTTGACAATGGGAACCCTCCCCCTTACAATTCATTATAATGAGAAAAGCCACAAGCAAATGAAGTTAATAGTAATCATTGGCAGAGCAACACAAGGTCATAGGGAGGCATCTAGGAAGAGTCTGTGCTACAGAAAAGGGAGGCAAACATGAGGGAAGCATTTACATTGCATATAAAAAGGTTAAACTGAGCCCACATGCTTGAGAGCTTCTTCCTACTGGGTAAACCTGAAGATTCTCCTACTGGTTTGGATGTAACTAACAACAATAAATCTTACATGTTCGTTGCACCACTGAATAGAAGGTGCATAGGGCTGGGAAATAGGGGATCCCCCTCTCTTAGTGCTCTTCATGAACAAATCCAGCAGCTGGGTGAACTGGGCCTTCCCAGAATGAGGAGTGGTAGAAAGGAAAATCAATACAGTTATATTTATATTTGTATCTTATTGGTGGTGGTTGTGGTGATGCTTAGTGAGTCATTTTTCTATATGCAGAAACACACACATATATATGTATACATGTATTTATAATACTAAGCTGACTAGTCATTCATAGTTAACTTCATGGTACGCAACCAGTGTGTATAAGTGTGTGTGTGTGTGTGTGTGTGTGTGTGTGTGTGTGTGTGTAGGAACAGTCCAAACAGGTAGCAGACAGTCCAAACAGGTAGACAGTCTTTGGGTAACAGTCCCCCTAGCCCTAAATCCAGCCATCAGAATAGCAGGAGGCCTTCAGTAAACTCAAGTTCAATGACTGACAGGCTGGAAGTCAGAGTATGTGAGTCTGTGGGCCCTGGACACCCATGCAATAAAAGGTTTCAAAGTATCTGCAACTTGATCTCCTCCCCTCCCTCCTTCCCTCCTTAGTGAGCAAAACTAGAGAGAGGAGCAAAATCTCTGCCTGTGTGTAACTTCTAAACCTGTGGTTGACAGGTAACTGGGGAGAGAGGGATTTGAAGAGAGCACTATGATAGCAGGAATCATGGCACTTTTTTCTCCCTATTTCCCTAGTGCCTAGGACAGTGCTTGGCATGTAATAGATGCTCAGTTAATAAACACAGAAAGAATGAAGGAATGAACAAAGAAACTAATAAAGAAAAAATGAGTGGTTCTTCAGCTGTGCTCCTTCTCCTCTCAGTACCATCTGAATCTTGGCTAAAGAGGACCAACAATCACGCCTGTATCCTCAAATGCAACACTTCTCCTTTCAGGCTTTCAATGCATTTATCACATCACTTAGGTGAGTCTACACATATAATTGAAATGCATCACTCTCAAAGCCCTCCATGTGACACCAGCCACTGCAGGGCCAGTGCTGCAATTCCTAGAGGTGCCTGGCTAATTTGAGTGGCATGGCCTCAAGACAACCTTTACATCTCAAATGAGGAGTGACTGCACTCATCAACCTTGCCTCCCTCCCCTCCTTCCTGCTGCCTCCCACAGCTGGTGAGAACTGCAGAGTGTCCTCCAGGGCTTTCTGGGTCACACTTCATCCCTGGGCTTGCTGGGTGTAAGCTGGTCCTTGGGACTTCTTCACTGCCCTTTAGAGCTTTAGCATAATAGCCAGTGACTCTTTTCTGCAAAGCTTCAGTCCTGCCTTGCTCATCCTATGTGGGAATGGATCCAGGTTAGCAATGGACCTCTACTAAGTACTTCCTTTTACAGGCCTTACACAATCCTTGCTCTTTGGGCATTATAGTCTCGTCGAGTTTCTTCTGAGACACAGCATTTCCTTTCCCTCCAGTGTAAATTATATCCAAAGCTCTTTCTAAAGGGTGCTTTGTATAAGCCACCTTATGTTCCACCTAATAAGTTTTATACAGATAGAATCAGGCTAAAAAGATCTAGAGAAGAACTGAAGGAAACAGACGGCACCTTAAGGTAAAGGCAGACGGTGGGAGCGTGCATAAGAGGCATGATCATTCCAAAGTTACTGTTTTGGGGTGGGCTGGCTGAATGCAGGTAAGGGTACAGTCCTTCAAAAGCACCTGCCCAAACTGCTTTACCCACCTAGGATCCATGTACATCAAACCACATACCTCAAGTCACTCTCATTTTTGAGCATAGAGTCTGCACCAAGCCTTTGATAACTTATTAAAATTAGACTCTGGAAGATGGAAGAGACTTCATGATCACCCTACCTTCTGTCCCCATGCAGGAATCCCCAACATCCCTGACAGGCAGCTAGACCAACTCAGAACCTTCTCAACATGTCTGATCATGTGAATCACCAGGGCACTTGAAAAAAGCACAGCTCACTAGCTATACAAAGCTACACAAAATTAGAATCTCCAGAGAAGGGGTCTGTGAATCTGAATTTTCAACAAGCACCCCTGGTGAATCTCACAATTAAGCATGCTTTTTATGTGTGTGTAATGCAGTAGTTCTTGACAGTGGCTACATATGAGAATCAGATAGGAAGCTTTTTAGAAAAGTCAATGACTTTTCTAAAATGACCTTCACCCCTAAATATTCCTACTTAATTGGTGTGGGATGGAGCTCAGTTGGTATAATTTTTTTTTCTTTTCTTTTTGTTCTTTTTTAGTAAATTCTCCCAGATCCTGAGGGGGTGATAAAATTTTTTAAGGCTTCCAGCTAATTCTACTGGGCAGCCAGTATCATACATTAGTACCCTTCACTATACCCTACCGCCACGTCCAACCAACATATTCTGTAACTATTAAGTTGATCTGACTTAACTAATTTGTTCACCTATCCAACATAGGATGTAATTTCCTAATCGTATTAAGAAGCTGTGTACTTGTACGTAGCAACAGGCCAGACAAAAGAGGGTTATGAACTGCTAAGGCTTATCCCAGTTGAGTCTTCACCTCCCATCCCAATACACCTATATCCATAGCCCTCCCTGTCCCCGGACTAGCCAGGCCAAACAACCACAGAAGCCTCCATCCAGGGTTCTTCCCTCCTCCTTCCAGGTCCCCACCAGCTCTACTCACATTGTACAGCACAGTGGTCCACCCTTCCATGGTGATGCACTGGAAGACAGTCAGCACAGCAAAAAGGATGTTATCAAACTGGGTGATCCCATCATTGGGGCCGATCCAGTCCTTGCATTCATAACCAGCTGGGCAGCCCTGCACACCACATGGGTGAGGGGGGTCAAATCCTTCTAGAATACCTGCAGACACATTTGGAGGGTAGGAGATAAATCACATGGTGTTTCGCATGAGCTGGAAATGACCCCAGGAAGCCATAGGCAAGCAATTCCATTCCCCCACGGAAAGAGGCCTGCCCTTTTTTGTCTCAGGCTCCCTCTCCTCCCTGGCCTCTCTGCACCTCCCAGCTCACATATCATGTGTTCAATCCAATGTTTCCCAGTCTCCTGAAAAATGGAGCCTCTCCTCCACATAGTCCCCTGCTCTCTGCAAGCTTCATCCTCTACCCTCACCTGAAGTACCACAGGAATTAAGAGGACTGAATCACACGGCACACTTTGAGGAAAAGGCAAAGTGAGGTTTTCTGGCTTCAGACTCCAGGATGAGCCCTGAGTTCTTCCTGGGTTTCTTGGGGACAGTTATAAACTATGGTCCTTTTAGGGGGGTTTAACTCCTTGTTTTTCCAGCGTGGATTCCTGGTTTTGAATAAAAGATAAAAATAAAAAATAGAAATCCAAGGTGGAAAGTGTTCTTTTAAGGTTCTTTTCATAAAAAGCATGGTACTTATTTGGAATTCTTCAGCCTGCCTCCCATCTCCTTTCCTCCTAGGATACTCAACTCAACTTGAAAAGAACAAATGAAATACAAAGATATGAGAATTTGGGGTTGTGTACCCTAACAATCTCCCAAGCACACTTGCAAACCAAGCTCAGAGCTCCCTCAGTTCTTCCATACCACGTGTGGGTCAAAACAGAGAGCGAGAAGATGGTGAGAAGGATCATGAAGGGAAAATGTCTCCACAGATCCGGAGGGACCCAACTCTGACTCTGGACTCCTAGATCTCACCAGCCTGTGGGCCAGAGAGGCCACTATACAAAAAGTACTTATTTATTCAGTCAGAGGCTGCTGTACAAAGAGTAAAGGGGTATTGATTCAGATATTCAGAGAGGTTGCACTTTTTTTTTCTGTAGACAGAGAGATAGGGACAGAGAGACACTAGTTGTCCAGGCTGGCCTCAAACTCCTGGGCTTCAACAATCCTCTTGCCTAAGCCTCCAGGGAGTAGCTGGAACTACAGGTGGGTGCCACTATGCCTGGCTCAGACAGATGGCTTTTCAAGTTCATTCCCATGGCCCTTGACCATGGGATAGGGGAGCCAAGACCATCTATTTGAAATCTTCCAACTACATATTTGCTTTGCAATATTAATGTCAAGTGAGGATATCTAGTCTTGGTTGACTGTGCCTCAAAAGGCTGCTGACTAGAAGCTTCTGATTCTAATTCCAGGGTCAGAATAGGACATACTTTTCCAATGAGCCTCCAAGTGCCCTGAAATTACCCCAGTTAACAGAGGGGAGAAGGGAAAAGGAGAAGACAGAAAAGAACGACCCTACCTGAATTGTTCATGAAGCATGCTCGATGTAACTTGCCACTGTAGAACTCCAAACCAATGATAGCAAACATCAGGATGGCAAAGAAGAGCAGAAGGCCAATCTGCAGAAGAGGTACCATGGCCTTCATGATGGACTTCAACACAATCTGCAGGCCTAGAAGGAAGGACAGAGAATGACCAATGCAGCTGTCCCTCAGCACCATCTGATAGGGGAGGATTAGTTTCATTCCCTCATTGGTTTCATCCATGCTGCCGTCTGCCTCTGATAGATTAAATTTATTAGAATGTGCTCCTTTCCTAAAGGAAATTAGGCCCAGCTCTGCTAGGCTGTAAATCCTTCAAGAGCTGGGATAAAGTTCATCTTCCCATTCACTCTATCTCAGACCCAGTTCTCAGTCTCTGTTGGGGAAGCACAATTAGTACAAGCACTATTCAGAAAATGCCATATCCTTTGACCCACACATTGCATTTCTAGGATTCTAGCCAAGAAAACAGTCAGAGATTTGAATAAAGATTTAAGTAAAAAGGTGTTTGTTGCAGCACATTTATAGTTGGAGAAAAACTGGAAATAGCCTATTTTTATTTTTTATGCCATCCAGCAACATAAAACATAAAAATGGCTAAATAAATCATAACACATATAAGAATTTTTTTGTTTTGAGACAGAGTGTCGGTCTGTCGCCAAGGCTGGAGTGCAGTGGCGTGATCTTGGCTCACTGCAGCCTTGGCCTCCCAGGCCCAAGTGATCCTCCCACCTCAGCTTCCTGAGTAGCTGGGACTACAGGAGTGAGCTGCCATGCTCAGCTACATTTTTTTTACTTTTTTCTATTTTTTGTGGAGATGGGGTTTCACCATGTTGCCCAGACTGGTCTCAAACTCTTCCTGAACTCAAGCAATCCACCCACCTCAGCCTCCCAAGTGCTAGGATTACAGGTGTGAGCCACTGCACTCAGCCAAGAATTTTTAAGGTTAGGAAAATAAAATACTTATTTCAGGATATAAAACTACAATCTACATAACGATTTCAATTATATTAAAATGCACAGGGGAAAAATGAAAAATATTGAAATTTTAACAAAAGTGATTTCTGAGTGATAAGATAAAGAGCACTTTTCTTTTTTGTTGTTTACTTTCCACATTTTCTGTAAAGATTTTCTATTATCTTTTATATTTGCAAAAAGTTAAATGTAAAGTAAAATGTTACACCAGATTGCTCCATCTCCACTATTTATTACCACTGAGGCTTCCTCCCAGGAGGAATATTGTTTGTTTATCCCAAATTCCCTTAGACCTGGATCCAGCTGAGGACACATGAAGAAAGTTCTTAGCAGAGCAGAAAGAATGGCAGATGCTCACTAGGTATCCCTGACACGAGCTTCAAAGGCCGCAGGACACGCACAGCCCGGAGGGTCCTCAGGTCCACGTGAGTATTGAAGTGGGTTCCTGCAGTGGCCAGGATGCTGCAGACAGAGACACAGAAGGGTCAAGGTTACCAGTCTGGTTTTCCCCTCTTGTTCCATGCAGGAAGCGGGGCTGAGGCAAGCTCAGCCTGGAAAGCACACAGCGCTGACGCCAGCTGTATGTGGGTGCACCTGAGCTTGGGTGAATCACCAGTGGCTCCAAGTGGAATTAAATTTAGCCATCTGGGTTTTACTTTGCAAAGAAGGAAAACTTATCATCATACCAGAACCCTAGTTCCAAATCCCAAGCAAAACACAAGGGCCACAACATCTGTCCCATTCCTGTCCCCAACACTTGTCCCCTTTCTCCTCTCTGCCCTGTTTCAACTCCTTCCCCTCTTTCCAACCCACCAGGCCCTTGTATTTTTTTATTTCAAAATTTTCTTAGGTTCCCCTGTCTATCTCCTTCAGGAAATTTCTCTGGATTAACTGCAGTAAAAAAGTAACTCACTCATCTCTACCTTGACAGAATTTTTACCAAACAAATCAATTATGCTGATGCTTGCAACTGGAGAAGAATTTCAATGGTCTTCACATAGTATCAGTATTTTTATAATTGCACAAACCACTCTTTGACCCTAATTGGATTTCTTCCTATTTTTCCATGTTCCACAGCCAAATCCAGAAATACACACACATACAAATCCATAATTCTATTAGATTGTGTACACCAAGGAGACAACTTATTTCCTATAATCTCATGACATTGCAGGGACTTTGGAGAGACAAGGACATATATGTATTTATGAAAGACATAGCAGAAGATTAAGAGCAGAAGAACTGAGTTTAAGTCTGACTCACTCTGTTGAGAATGGGGTAACTCAACACAAGTCTCTCAACCTCTATGAACCCCACTTCTGTCATCTCTAAAATAAGGGGGTATCGTGGTCTAGTTATAAAAATAAAATGACATGGTATTTAATATTAAGAGTGTTCTATAAACTATAATGTACACACAGACATTGTGGCTAATGCAAAGCTTACTAATATTAATAAAATCTTAATTTAAAACTTGCTCATTTTATTCTTCTTTCTGTGAAGAATGAAAGGAAGTTTCTCACCCATAATCCCTCCAGAACAATCTCAGCTACTCAGAACCATCAGGAAATGAGGCATTCAGAAAACTGGGTTCCTCTATAGTCAAAGGGTGGCAAAAATGGCTTGTTTTGTTTATTTCTGATGGAACCTCTCTGAAATAGTTCAAGTATTAAAGAAGGTACCTGAACTTCCTTCACTATTTGACGTGTCTTCAATCTCAGAAAAAGAACTGTATGGAAAGTGCATGCCCTATGGCCCTCGGAAGCAGATATACAATCATTAGGTACAAATCATACAGACCAGGACAACAGAATCGCAAGCGGTAACTGACACAATTAGTGCTGCCAACAGCCAAGCGGACGGCTTCATGTGCTGGCACCCTTCCCAAAACTCCAAGTATCCGGGAGCTACCTGTAGAGCATCATTAGGAAGTAAAGAGGGATCCTACATGGGGTAAAGGTTATTTAAACAACCAATAGAGATTCCTGTCAACTTTAAGATTCTCTGAGTCTACGTTCATACTACCTAAAAATAAGAAGCAGAAAGAAATCCTACTCATAAAGAATCTCAAGAGCTAGACAAGGTTTCTGAATCTTCCCCATCTCTCCTGAGTCACACTTCCATGCCGTCGTCAGAAACGGGGGGACTTGGGGCAGTGGAGTCTTCCACACTCCTTTTGACTCTATCTTCCAAGGCCAAGGAAAGACATTAAGGAGGGGGTCATATAATTTCTAATAAGTAGGGAAGGACTAAAGAGAAAAAAGAACGAGAAGCAACATAGAAAATAGAACTGAAAAATATGACAGAAATAGAAAAAGAGAAAGAGCGAGATAAAGAGAAACTTCAAGGATAGGTGTGGAGATAGAGAACCACAAAAAAGAAGGAATCATTGTTTGGCTGGTTCTTGTAATAAAGGTAAGGTGCACAGCACAGTCTCCTGTGCTGCCCAGGTGGGAGACTCTCCTTTCATGATGATGTCTTTCAAACACAGTATGCAGAATATGAGTTAGAAATTAGACTTCTGTTTCCTAGGATACTCAGATACACATGAGACACTCTTTTCATATCATAAAAAGCCCTGTTGGAAATGAAAATTTCCTCTCCAACCCTGAGTTTAACAGTTATGTTTCAGAACATGGTGATAGAGGCAGAAAGATAAAATTAAAAGGCAAAGAAGGCTCAAATGTAGAGGGGAAAAATGGTAGAGGGAAAGAAGAATAAGATGATAGAAGAGTGAGCAGTAAAAGAAAATGTAGGGATATAAACAACAAAGGAAATAAATAAGAACTGGGGGGAGAAGCAAATGTCAGAGAAATGGGAAAGAGAACAAAAGCAAAGCTAACTTGAAAAAGGGAAGGAAAAAGGTGGCATTTGTTGCAGGGGTCTCACAGAGCCAGCCATGAGGTATGCGCATGTCACCAAGTTAGTCTTTGGCTGAAACTACCTGCTCCCCAAATTCTCCCAACCACACTGCAGCCAGGGCCATGCAGCCTGTGGCCTTGTGCTGTCCTGGGCCTCCAAGTGTTCTTTTCTGTCCTCCAGTGCAGGAGGGCTACCAACTGGGTCTTTAATTGATGCACATTGGCCACTGGCAGCTTCCTAACTCCCACAGTTCCAATACTCCTTGAGGCAGGAATGACAGCCGGCTCCCCGTTCACCTGTTAGAAAGTAAGCAGGGACAATGGGATTCTTTTTTTTTTTTTGAGACAGAGTCTTGCTCTGTCATCCAGGCTGGAGTGCAATGGCACGATCTCAGCTCACTGCAACCTCCGCTTCCTGAGTTCAAGCGATTCTCTTGCCTCAGCCTCCCGAGTAGCTGGGATTACAGGCATATGCCACCAAACCTGGCTGATTTTTGTATTTTTAGTAGAGACAGGGTTTCACCATGCTGTCCAGGCTGGTCTCGAACTCCTGACCTCATGATCCGCCTGCCTCGGCCTCCCAAAGTGCTGGGATTACAGGTGTGAGCCACCATACCTGGCCAACAATGGAATTCTTAGAGGAAAAAGACAATAAAGGAAAATAGCCTTATTCTGTGCTCCCATAACGTGTCCACCTCCATCACTGCCCTAACCACATCCTAGAGAAATTCTGTTTTCTCATCTGTCTCTCCCACTAAATCTGAAACACTTCTAATGGAGGCACCATTTTACTCATCTCTACCCCCAAAACCTAGCCCAGTGACTGGCAAGTAAGAGGCACTCAATAAAGGCTTGATGAATTGAACTTGAATTGCACTGATTAAATTAATAAATTTGTTGAAGCAGAGGTCAAAAGGAGAGAACATCAAGGAAATCCTAGAACTTACTGAGAATAGGGTAGCAAGCTGGGATACTATTCAAACATACATGTGTTTGAGTACACAGGAGAATACTGGGAATCTATACTCAAGCATTTAGAGTCTAATGAGGATCTTCTAATATTCTTTTTTAAAAATTTTAAATTCTGAGTTACATGTGCAGAATGTGCAGGTTTGTTACATAGGTAAATGTGTGCCATGGTGGTTTGCTGCACCTATCAACCCGTGACCTAGGTATTAAGCCCGGCACGTATTAGTTATTTCTCCTGATGCTCTCCCTTCCCCTCTCCCCACACTTACCCGTGAGAGGCCCCAGTGTGTGTTGTTCCCCTCCCTGTGTCCATGTGTTCTCATCATTCAGCTCCCACTTATGAGTGAGAACATGCAGTGTTTGGTTTTCTGTTTCTGTGTTAGTTTGCTGAGGATAATGGCTTCCAGTTCCATCCATGTCCCTACAAAGGACATGATCTCATTCCTTTTTATGGTTGCATAGTATTCCATGGTGTATATGTACCACATCTTCTTTATCCAGTCTATCATTGATGGGCATTTGGGTTGATTCCACATCTTTGCTTTTGCAAATAGTGCTGCAATGAACATACATGTGTATGTATCTTGATAACAGAATGATTTATATTCCTTTGGGTATATGCCCAGTAATGGGATTGCTGGGTCAAATGGTATTTCTGGTTCTAGGTCCTTGAGGAATCACCACATTGTCTTCCACAGTGGTTGAACTAATTTACATTCCCACCAACAGTGTAAAAGCATTCCTATTTCTCTACCATCTGTTTTTCCTTGACTTTTTAATAATCACCATTCTGACTGGTGTTGAGATGGTAATATTCTTGAAAGACTCTTACTGAGGACTGGACAGATCCTGTCCCGTGGGATCTTCCCAGTTCTCAGTAAGAGAGCTAGAGAGACAGAGGAAAGAATGGAAACTCAGAAGTTAAAGACTTGCCTCCTAGCAAAGCTTAAGTATTGAAGTACACACAGCTCAGCAAAACTATGGGCCTTGTAAGTACCAGGGCTTAATCAGGAGGCTACTGGAAAAGTAAAGAGTTGAAAATGGCCCTTGATTCTCAGTCTAGTGGAAGTAGACAGACACATAAAAGAAATAATTATAACACACCATGAAGCATTATAACAGAGTTAGTTACAAAGTGCTATGAGAATGGGAAACACCGCAGTGACAAATACAAGGTGCTTGCTGTCAGTTAGCATTTTCAAGTGGTATGTCATTAAATCTTCAAAATTTTCCTCATATTGCTATTGTCTCCATCTCATAAAAGAGCAAGCCAAAGCTCAGAAAAAATTAAATTGCTAATAAATGGTAAGATCAGGAGTTAAAGTCAGTTCTCTTCTGATGTCAAATCCAGTCCTTTCCCCACCCTGCCATTACGCTGTGTAATGTTTGCCCAGTGCTGGGAGGGTCCACTGTTCCTTAGTCCAGTGTGTTGCTAAAAAATATCAAGATTTTTTAGTTTTCATCCCCAAACAGGCAAGTGAGCATTCTTCCCTTCATTCTAAGGCCACAAATTACCAAGCGCCACAGATCACTTGCCATATCTCACTCTCAGGACCAGACTCCATGCACCTCTCCTAATTACTATGTACAAAAGTAGCTTAATGGCAGGTGATGATTGCTGCAATATTTCTATATACACACATGGAGAGACACACACACCACAAAATCAGAGTGGGGCCACTGAGAATAACTCCAATTTTGAGTTAATAAAAGCCTAAGCTCTCTGCTGTCCCAAGAGGCATATATCTGTGCTCCTCAAGAGCACAAGCGTGTTTTCCATTTGTTTTGTCACTATAGGCACACAGCCCGGTGGAAAGCTCTGTATACAGGGGGGTGCTTAATGCCCACTTTGCCCCCACAACAGAGGACAGTTGGAGAGTACACTCAGCCCTCTGACCACCACCAGCACAGGTATCATGTTCTGCACACAGTCAAGTTCAATAACTATTTCCTGTTAGAGATCATGGCTCAACCCTACCTTGAATGTTTTTACTTTTAGGTGTCAGCAAATAGGAAGAGAATGGAGATTGATACAATCCTGATGATGCAGCACAAGTCTTTCTCATTGTGGCCATAGCACAGTGGCACAGCAGAACAGAAGACAGAGGCAATGCTCTGGGCAATGAGAACCAAATCATCTCTCCCCAAGTTAGTCGCCCAAAGAATTCTCCAACCTTGCATTCCCTTTGAACTTGGGGTTCTTTCCTAGCCTCCTTGTCAATCCAGGTCTATAATATCTTTTCACAGGCACATTCACTGTACAAGTCTATGCCTGAAAATACCCTGAAACAGTGGTCATAGGTTCAGGGTTGCCAGCCAAAATGCAGGACACCCAGTTAAGTTTGAATTTCAGATAAATAATTTTTAGTGCAATGTTTGTACAATGCATGGAATATTCATTGTTTATCTGAAACCTAAAATTCAAATTTAACTGGATGTCTTATATTTTCATTTGCTAAATCTATCAGTTACACTTAAGTAGTAACCAGAAAACACCAGATAAAGAGCTCCCTTCTTAGTCATTGTCCCAGCCCTAGAAAAAAATTTCCAATTTCTCTTCTGAAAGGAGACACAAGCCAGAGATCTTACACCATTAGGTCCAGGATGTCTCCCAAGCTCCAGAAATTACCCATATCGATACCAACAAAGAACCTTGTTAAGTTTTTGAAAGACAGGCTGTTCATCAGCATCTGTGAGAAAAGGCTAACACTAGCAAAGGATGTTAGATGTTTAACCAGCCCATGTGATGAGGAGGCCATGAGGAGGCAGCAAGGGACCTAATACAAGCTGAATTTCCAACACAAAGTTGAGTCAGAATATCATTCCCATGGGTAGTTGACATAAATGAGTTGCTGTGTCCATTCAAAAGCATTCCATACGTGGTTGGTTCCTTTATCTGTCATTCCACTTTACCTGTCATGTCCCTTCCTTTAAATCTCTTGGATTCACTTCTTAGTCTCCAGCCTCTCTCCTACCTGGAATGCTTCTCCCTTGCCTTCTCTCCCCTGCCTAAACAATTTGATTCAGACCTCAGGGCCCAGATGACATTCTACTTCCTCCTTGGAAAAGGTCTAAGACCAAAAGCTAGTTGAACTAGGATTCTGAGAAAGGGATAAGGCACACGCTCTTCAGTCACACTGGCTAGTTTCAAATCCCAGTTCCATCACCTATACTAGCTGTCAGGCTTTTTGAAATTGCCACTCTGAGCTACAGTTTTCTTACCTGGAAAAAGGAGATAGTGCCTTCCTAAGAAAGTTAAAACAAGGATTAAAAAAAAATAATGCTTGTAAAGTTCTGCACATAGCACTGATTTACCATGGAGGTTCCTGGTCATAAACAACAGAAACAGATTTCAACTGTCTTAAACTGCAGACCCATCAGCTCCCTCCCTCCAAAAAGGTATACTGAGAAGATACCAGGAACTCACAGAATTGAGGGGATATTGGAAGACCAGGCTGGGAAAAGAGGAAAGCAGAAACCTTGTTGGGGCAGGGATATCCAGGTCCTAATTGAGAAATCTGTGAACGTTACCTGTTATGGCAAAAGGGACTTTGCAGATGGGATTAAGGATCTGGTGGTGGAAAGAATAACCTGGATTATCCAGGTGGACTCGAGGCACAATCACAGGTGCCCTTACAAGAAAAAGGCAGAAGATTGACTAGAGAGAGAGAAGGCAATGTAAGGACAGAAGCAAGTTATTCTGCATCTGACTCTGAAGATAGAGGAAGGGCCCAAGGGCCAAAGAACACAAGAATGTAGCTCTAGAAGCTGGGAGAGGCAAAGAAACGAACTAAAGCCTCTGGGGAGGAGAGATGGGAAGCACAACCCTGGATTTTAGCCTAGTGAAAGTGATTTTAGACTTCTGACTTCCAGAACTGTAAGAAAATACACGTGTTGCTTTAAGCCACCAAATTTGTGGTCATTTGTTACAGAAGCTATAGGAAACTAATACACTTGGCAAAGGTCAGAGATTCTGGGAAATCTGATTCTTAGGCCACTGTGGCTATTGGTATGATTATAAACATCAACTGTCTTGCTGTTGTTGCATCATCAGCTTAAGAGTAAAGTCAGAAGAAGCGTGTGGTCAAGGTTAAGTCCCCCTGCACCCAAATCCCCTACCACTTCCAAGGTGAGCAAGACTCCCCCCGAGGAACACACAATAAGATCTTCCCAAAAGGGAAAACTGGTGCCACTGGGGAAGCTGAATGAGGAAGAACTTTAAAAAAAAAAAAAGTCTACTACAGTTTGGCTCATAGAAAATAATTAGGTGTTACAGAGGAAGAAGAGAAATAATATATCAGTTTCCTTATCTATAAAATGAAATGATCAGATAAACGGACCTCTCAGACCCCTCCTGGCTCTAACTCTGTGAGCCAACACCTGCCCTGATGGTGCTATGCTTCTGTAGCTCACACCAATCTCCCTTCCTCTCAACATCCAGAGAGCTGCTCTATGTTTAACTCCCAATTACATACAGTTCTTATATCTTAGAACATGGGTCTGATCATTAATGAGTTAGATCCTCGTAACTCAGTTCAAAACCAGCTCCCTGATGGCAGAAACCATCTTTCCCATTTCCACACACTATGGCTCCTTCTGGAACAATATGCAACAGTAATGCTCTAGAAATGCCCTTCGCTCAAGGAGAAGTGGGTGTTAATACATTTCCAATTGCAGATTAGTTGGACTCATCCACAGACGCATCCACGGAGCTGTGACTGGGCCCATGACACCTAATAATTGGATATCCAAATTAAAGGGGGTGTAGCCACATGTGTAAGTAATTATGATCTATCAAAAATCTACTGAATTACACATGATGTTTTGCTCTCTATTTCTTTTAAATTACTGAAGTGTGATTTGATTTGGGAATCAATTTCTGGAGACTTTACTTCATTTTATTTTTTAAAAAGTCCCTGTGTATTAAACTGTTCACATAGAGATAAGCCAAAGAAAATCAACTTGACCAAGGAAATATATCTGAGGGAAGAGGACGAGGCTGGGAAAGGTGTAAAAGATGTCAAGCCCAGCCCAGATGGCTGCAAGCTGCCTCTTCCTCCCCACCTACTCTGCCGGGGCCCCTTGATGCCATCAGGCTTAGCTCCATCCCAGAGCCCAAGACTTACTCTACAATCGAGATACTTCTGACCATATGCCATGCAGCAGGCCCTGGCATTACAGTAGAGAAGATGGTGATCATGGCTGTCCTTGCGATACTTAATGAAAGAGACATACATTAAATAGGTCTCAATTATGATAAGCGAAAGGTCAGGGAAGGAAGCTTCACTGTGGAAGTGGCAGATGAGCTAAAAAGTGAAGCTGGAGTAGGTCAGAGGAAACAATGTGGGAAGAACATCCCAGATGCAGAAAAAGGCCTGCACAGAAAGTCTTGAGGCACAAAAGAAACCAGCATATCTGAAAAACTGAAACAAGGCTGGTGTGGCTGAAACCTAATGAATCAGGGGAGAGTAGACAGTAAGGAGTCCGAAGAGGGCCAGGCACAGTGGCTCACGCCTGTAATCCCAGCACTTAATGGAGGCCAAGTTGGAGGAATTGCTTGGGCCCAGGACTTCAAGGCCAGCGTGGACAACATGACAAGAACCTATCTCTACGAATCTCTATGAAAATAAATAAAAATAAGCTGGGCATGGTGGCATGTGTCTGTAGTCCCTGCTACTTGGGAGGCTGAGGTGGGAGAATCACAACCCCAGGAGATAGAGGCTGCAGTGAATCACGATCATGCCACTGCACTCCAGTCTGGGCAGCAGAGAAAGACTCTGTCTCAAAAATAAATGAATGAATGAATGAATGAACAGATCTGAAGAGACTGGGAAATGTCACAGAAGGAAAATTTTATAGGCTGTATTAATGTTTTGGACCAAGCCTGGCAGTGTTCAAAGAACTCCAGGCTTAAATTTGGCAATGGAACACCAGGTTAACCACACTGCTACTCTAAGCTCAAAAGAATTTTCCTGATTAACTATTGGTCTTTTACCTTCTCCCCAAGCCCCAGCCCCAGTTGCCATAACTGGGTGTTTACCTTGGTCTCTGTACCTAAACTAATGCTACTTTCTCTATCCCCACAGGCCATTCCTGGGGCGGCTGTGCTGGCTGCCTTCTCTGCAGCAGCCTTCCCTGACAACATGCATGCTGGGGAGGCCAGGCAGCTCTCCAGACTCCCCTGTGGGTGAATGTAGATTCGTATAAGCAAATCATCCACTGTCCTGGGTAGTGACTGGTTTAGGAATGAGCAGGTAAGCAGGTAATGAAACTCAGGCCCCTGAGTTAGAACAGAAAATACACTTTGGGCTTCAATTGACCTATGTTCTAGAACAAAGGTAAAAGCATATAAAGTGGTGATTTTCAAGCCTTTTTGATCATAGCCTACATTAAGCAATGTATTTTACATCACAAGCCAGATGTGTGTGTGTGTATATATATGTGTGTATATATATATACACACATACATAAAATTACATAATGTTTCATAAAACAGTACTCTTTATTTGTGTGATGTACTCATGTTTTCTCTTCAATTCTTCCTTACTTAAGGTTTTAATCAACTAAATGCATTTCATGACCCTCCAAAGGAGCTGATCCACAGTTTAAAAAACCCACCTCTACAGAAGACAAGGCAGACCAACATGAATGGCTGCTTTAATAGCACCATGCAGCTTCTTGGTGTTATCCCAGAATGATGAAACAGTTTGCCTTGAAAGGTTTTGCTGTGCTTTTCCAAGAACCACAAACATGGCATTGTAGAAGAGAATCTGTTCCCTCTTATGCTACCTGAAGCAACAACATCTTGCTGCCCTCCAGAATGGACAGTCTTAAAGCTCTTTCTCCTCTTTCACACACACTTCAAAACTGTCATGGGGCAGTGACCTGTTTCTGATTGGTTGGTTGGTTTGGAGTTTCTTTTGTTGTTTTCCATTTGTTCATTTGTTTTACAGCTTGGTGGGGTATATTGCTCAATACATATGGCTCTGAGTTAATTTATGGCCAAACTGGAGCACAGACTTTCTTCTAAGACCACAGACAATATATAACAGATAAGAAGCCATGATATTTCTTAAGAGGATGAGAAGGGGAGTAGAGTCACCTTGCCCTCTCCAAGAGAGATCTGTGCCATTTCTAGGAGGGAATAAAGAGTACTGTATTTAACAAAAGTAAGGCAACCCCTTCTGGAATTTAAAATGGCATTCATAATTAAATTTCAGAAAAATCCTAGCGGGTATGAAGTGGTCTCAATATATGCCTTTTGATGAGAATAAAAATCATGGCCTAAAAATCCTTTCTCCTTCTCCACCAAAAGAAAGCTCAACAATCAAAACCACCACACTAAGAAGAAGATGTTGTATTGATGTTTGGGGACAGACAATTGGTGGTGGGGAGCTGCCTTATGCATGGTAGTAGTGTATTTAGCAGCATCTCTGGCCTCTAACCACTAGATACCTGTGGCAACCCCTCCTGCCAACCCCCTCCCACCTCACCCAGCAATGACAACCAACAACATCTCCAGACATTGTCAAATGTCCTCTGGGAAGCAAAAATCACCCCTAGTTGAGAACCACTGCTATAGGTGAACCTCTCAGATAGAGGTTCCATCAAAACTGAGAAATGCTTAATAGCCTGATTAAAGGCAATGGCATATGTTTCACATTAGTCCCTATTCACACTGGGAGAACATACACATAGCTCCTCTCTCTTTCTTCCTGAAACAACTCCTCAGAGCATGAAGCTTGGCCTGAACGTGTCTCCAAAGGAAGCCTTCATCTCACCTTAACCTCAAGAAGAGGTTCCCCAAAGGATGCCAGACGAAGAATACAGAAATAAAGAGTTTGCTTAACCTCAGTATGATAGAAACAAAGGTCAAGTTCCTACCAATGGTCCTGCATTTCCTTCTCTTTTCTGAGAAAGTCCCTGATTATTCACTCAGACACAGCTAGGAGAAATGCCAAGAGATGGAGAAAAACTCTGTCATTCAGGCCCAGGTGATAACAAAAAGAAAAAGAAACATTTCTTATTGTTGTTTCACAGTTTATATAGCCCTGTTCCATACAGGTACCACTATCCCAATTTTATAAGTTTGAGAATTAAGGTTCAGAGAGAGAAACTAGCTAGCTCCAGGTCACTGAGATAATACGTGATCAAGCTGAGACTCAAACCCAGAAATTTAGATTCCAAATTTGGAGTGCTTTCAAAAGCTACGAAAGATAATGGCTAATAGCTAGTAATATATCCCAAAGGCACATATATTTGACAAATGCATTCTCTAGGACAACCAGAGTTGCCTCTCTGCAGAGCTTTATGGTATCCTATGATTGCAGCATCATATGAATGTTACCAAAACTGTGCTTCAGAGAGTTGGCAAAGGAAAATTGCTGGAGAGGGAAATCCCACATTATAAGAAATCATCTACATAAATACATGTTCTTTGAGTTGTTTTTCTAGCAGTGGCGAGGGATTTCTGTTGATCTACCACCCACACACTTTCTCTCCGCAGGTACCCCCCAGGACCAGGAACAAGCAGTTGTGAGATGGCTAGTCAGGGATAGAGCAGGACACAGCTGAAGACCAGGATCCAGCTAATTATCCATGTGGGAGCCACACCCCCAAAAGTGGCCTTGTTACAAGATGCACTAATGAACTCCAGTATCCAAGCCCCATGATTAGCTATATAATCCAGCACTGCCCACAAAGAATGTACACCTATTGTTTTTACTACCAGTCCCTCCTCTTCCTCTGACAACAATACTTCATCCCTAAGGTCTTTCCAAAAATTTCAGTGCTCTTACATGGCACTACTGGCCACAGTTAACAGGATCAGGGGCAGGAAGTTCCTTCCCTGGATGTTTGGAGTTAGGACCAATAGAGTTTGGTTGATCTCTTCTGAAGCAGCTGAAGCCATAAGCTAAAAGGCTCAAGAGCTGTCACTATCCATGTTTTCTCTTCCAGAAGAAAACTGGCTACAGTGAGAGAGAAAAATAAAGCCAATCTTACAGGGCCAAGAGGGAATGAAAAGAGGAAATAATTCTGGTGGACCTGGAGCCCTATTTCTGCAATTCCCAAGGCCTATTTTCTAATTCTGCCTGCAGCGTGGCAGTTTTGTGAAACATCATTTCCCTGAAAAGTACCTCCTTGCTCAAACTAGTCCAAGTTAGGTTTCTGTCACTCACAATAACCCACTTGCCTATTCCATATAGATAATACCATCTAGATAAGAAACCAAAGTGAAAGATGGTAAAACTGGTGTGGCCAGACTTATAAGAGCCTCAAAAGACAGGCTGACTCTCTTGTTATGGGTAAATGCAGTTAGTGACTTAAGGTGACACCAATGCTCACTGACCATTCCAAAAATCCTAGGGCCCTTAAAAATTATGCTAAATCTACTCTGCCTGTGCTCTATAAATGGAACAGCAAAGCCTGTGTGACAGCACATCTCTTTACAGCATGGTTTCCTGAATATTTTAAGCCCACTGTTGAGACCTGCTCAGAAAAAAAAAAAAAGATTCCTTTCAAAATATTACAGCTCATTGACAGTGTACCAAGAGCACTGATGGAAACAAAGATTAATGTGGTTTTCATACCTGCTAACACAACATCCACTCTGCAGTCCATGGATCAAGAAGTAATTTCGACTTTCAAGTCATACTATTTAAGAAATAACATCTCAGAAGACTACAGCTGCCATAGATCATGATTCCTCTGATGGATCTGGTCACAGTCAATTGGAACCTTCTGGAAAGGACTCACCATTCTACATGCCATTAAGAACATTCATGATTCATAGGAAGAGGTCAAAAGACCAACATAAACAAGAATTTGGAAGAAGTTGATTCCAACTCTTATGTATGACTTTGAGGAGTTGAAAACTTCAGTGGAGGAAGTAACTGAAGATGTGGTAAGAATAGCAAGAGAACTAGAATCAGAAATGGATCCTGAAGATGTGACTGAATTGCTGCAATCTCATAAAACTTTCACAGTAAGAACTGCTTCTTATGAATAAGCAAAGAAAGTAGTTTCTTGAGGTAAAATCTACTCCTGATGAAGATGCTGTGAACATTGTTAAAATGACAACAAAGGATTTATAATATTACATGAAATTAGTTGATAAAGCAGCAGCAGAGTTTGAGAGAATTGACTCCAATTTTGAAAGAAATTCTACTGTGAGACAAATGCTATAAACCAGTATCACAAGCAACAGAAAAATATTTCATGAAAGGAAGAGTCAACGGATACAGCAAAGTTTGTTCTTGTCTTATTTTAAGAAATTTCCACAGCCACTCCACCCTTTAGCAACCAGCACCCTAATCAGTCAGCAGCTATTAACATCCAGGTAAGATCTACCAGGAGCAAAAAGATTACAACTCACTGAATGCTTAGATAATCATGAGCATTTCTTAGCAATAAAGTATTTTTAAGAGATGTACATTGTTTTTCACATAATGCTACTGCACACTTAATAGACTACACTATATGTATAAGTTACACTATAGTGTAAACATAACTCTTATATGCACTGGAAAACCAAAGAATTTATGTGACTTTCTTGAGATATTTGTTTCACTGCAGTGGTCTGGAGCCAAACAACCATTCTCTGAGGTATCCTTGTACATGAAAAACAAGGAAAAACCCAAAACTATGTAACTGGCATGGAGCCAGTATACCAATTGGAGAGTGTGCAAGCTTTTTTCTTGATATCATGTTAGCAAGTGTCTTAATCCCTAAGATACCAAAATGATGCTTCCTTTTCCCCTTCTGGAAGACTGAAAAATTTACTCACTCATGATCCTTGAGCAAGCCAGAGTCCTCTTCTCATGACATCAAACACTGACGAGTGTGGGTTAACACTGAATGGAAAGCTGGCCAAAGAGATCTTTCAAAGTATGAGGAAAAGAAAAACCCAAGCAATAAAATTCTACTTTCTCATAGTGTTGTGTGGTATTGGGGGACAGGGGCCCTTTTTTGGGCAGTCTGGGAAATATCTAGTTTAAAGGATCTGTTTGAGTTTATAAAAACCTTCTCAAATAACTCTTTCAGGCAAGTCACAGATCCATAAATTTTAGACAAAAATATATATTTTTCCATTGTTCTACTTTCCTAGTTCTGCCTATGATGCCTGAAAAGTTGATTTGCATGACAGGCATAGGCAATCCGCCTCCTAGGATGACAAGTATTTAAAAGAAAATACCCAGTTCCCCATACTTGCAAAGAAGACAAACCTACAATTACAGTGCTTGATGAAGAGGCAATCATAAAGTTTTATAAAATATCAGCTGTCTGTCGAGCATCAAAATGAACGAGAGCTATTTGTCAGAGAAAACAAAATGCTTTTTATTTTTAGAGTTATTAAGTCAAAATTCATTCTAGTACTTCTGAGTCATATCACATCCCATACCATCTATTTGGAATAAAATAAAAGATAAGCAATTTTAATAATTAAAAAAGAATTGTGCCTATATACAGGAACTGTTTGCTGCCTGAATCTATTTGATAGAGCTATGCAAGCATGAAGTAAGTGATTTTAATTGTACTTTCATTGTGAACACATAAAATGCTGAGTTGTTAGAGGAATCAAGAGGTTACTCTCACAACAGGGAAACTAAGTGGCATGGCCATTTTCTCAGAGAGGAATTTAAAAGAACACTTTTTCTATTTATTAGGAACAACAGAGAGATGTCTGCCTCTCACAGAAGTGCTGACACCCAGTGTCCAAGTTTAACTTGAGGGCAAAAATCTTTCTCTTCAACTCTTATTTTTACCTTGCCAGCTACGCAAATTAACTCGTGACCTCCGAAAGTGAAAGAAACGAGGCTAAGACCAAGTTAAGATTTTATGAAAATACTGTAAACTGCTGATCCTGGCATGGAGCATCACATACTGTAGAACTAATCCTGTAGAGATACAGCCATGGCAAATTTCTATGTCAATCCAGTATCAAAAAAGGCAAGGGATGATGACTCACAAAAGAAGAAACACAGACTGTTTAATAATCATATGAAAAAAAGTTCCATAGCATTATAATCAAACAAATTCCAATTAAGACAACACAATGGCCTGTCATGCCTATTAAACTGCCACCAGTAGGACAGTGAATTGGTGCAATGGTTTTGAAGAGCTGTTGGACTATGGGCATATAAGGATGGTGAAGATGTTCACTCTCTTTGATTTAGTAGCTTTAGGAAATTATTATAAGTATAGACCCAAAGTGAGGGCAATATTTTCACATACAATGTTGTTCATTGAAGCATTATCTATAATAGCAAAAAATTTAAAAATCATCTACAACTAAATAATAAAACAAGCAACCTAATTAAAAAATGGCCAAAAGAAGTGAACAGGTCACTTCAGCAATGAGAGATAAGGAGAATAAATAAGCACATGAAAAGATGGGACATTATTAATCATTAGAGAAATGCAAATTAAAACCACAATAGTTATTACTACACACTTATTAGAAGGCTAAAAACAAACCAAACCAAAACAATAAAAAGCCTGATAATATTAAATGCTGCTTAGAACGTGGAGCAACTGTAACTCTCATATATTGCTGACGGGAATGCAAAATAATACACCCATTTTGGAAAACAGTTTGGCAGCTCCTTACAGAGTTATACATATACTTACCATTTGACCCAGCAATGAATAGTTATTTATCACAGCTACATTCATAATTGCCCCAAACTGAAAACAACTGAAATGTCCCTCGATTGGTGAATAAACAAATTGTGATCATCCATACAACTGAATACTAGGCAGAAATAAAGAGAAATGAACTACAGATATATGCAGCAACATGGATGAATCTCAAAAGCATTATGCAAAGTGCAAGAAGCCAAAAAGGCTGTAGACTCCTCTTCCCATTTATGACATTCTAGAAAAGGCAAAACTATAAGAACAAAAAATCAGCAGTTACTAGAGGCTGAGGATGAAGAGAAAAGATTAACTAGAAAGAGGCTGGAAGGAATTTGGGGGGTGATAGAAATATTCTATATCTTGATTATGGTAGTAGTTAGCCAACTATATACATTTGTCAAAACACAGAGTTGTATATCTAAGAAGAATGGATTTTGCTAAATGCAAATTATACCCCAATAAACCCAACTTCAAAAAAATGTCAGTATTAAGATTTTTAATTGTGGTAAACTATACATAACATGAAATTTGCCATTTTAAACCATTTTTAGTGTAGAGTTCTGCGGCATTAAGTACATTCCTATTGTTGTACAACCATCACTACCACTCATCTCCAGAACTTTTTCATCTGCCCTAACTGAAACTCTGTACCATTAAACAATAACTCTCCCCTCCTGCTAGCCCCCTGGCAACCATCTTCTGCTTTCTGCCTGTGAATCTGACCACTCTAAGTACCTAATATGAGTGGAATCACATAGTATTTGTCCTTTTGTGCCTGGCTTATTTCACTTGGCATCATGTTTCCAAGGTTCATCCATGCTGTAGCATGTGTCAGGCCTACCTTCGTTTCTAAGGCTGAATACTGTTCCATTGTATGTTCAGACCACATTTTGTTTATCCATTCCTCCATCAGTGAACACTTGGGTTGCTTCTGAAACCTTTTGGTTATTGTGAATAATGCTGCTGTGAACATGGGTGTACAAATCTGTTCAAGTCCCTGCTTTCAATTCCTTTGGGTACATACCCAGAAGTGGAATTGCTGAATCATATGGTTTAATTTTTATGGTTCAATTTGGTTTATATGGTTAATCATATTATGTTTAATTTTTTGAGGAACTGCCATACTGGTTTTCCACAGAAAGACTTTAGTGTTTTAACAGTAGGGGAATGGTTGAGCAAAGTATGGTGCACTCAATGGAATATTACACAGCCTTTTAAATGCTATTAAATGTTATTTCTACAGAACTTTTAATACAATGGAAAAGGCATCATATAGTCTTAAGAGGAAAAGCAGTATAACTTTAAAGGGAAAATATTTTATCTAAAATATTAATTCAACAGTGTAAAATACATTCAAAAGGAAAAAAAAGACTAGAAGGAAATATACCAAAATGGTAACAGTGATTGTCTTTAGGTAGTGGAATTACAAGTTATCTGTATTATCTTTATGCTTATCTGTATTTTCTTGATTTTTTTTCCAATGGAAATATATTCCTTATAATCACACACACAAAAAAAAACTTAAAAAAAAAAGCAAGGTTGTTTGCAGTATCTTCCTAACCTTCTGAAGTTGGCAAAAATATTGAGAGCTCTTCACAAAAGCAACTCTTTGTGACCCTGTCTAGGTGGGCCTGGATGGTGAGTTTACATTCAAATTAAGAGCTGTAGTACATGTTCTGATTGCTAAACTTCAAATATGACTAAAGGTCAACAAATACAGAAAAAAAAAATAGCTCTTCCATAATCATTAGAGATCCTTATTTTAAACAATCAAAACTTTCTAATACCAATGTGGACTGAAGTCTCCTAAAAGCTGGTGACCCTTTTTCTCACATTGCAGAAGAATGTCGATGCTCTGCATCCCACGCCTTCAGCAGCTCTGTGATGACCCCCTCTCCTGTTTCCTCAACTTTTTGTGTGCTCTCTTCTGACACAGCTCTTCCCTGCATCTCTGTGGCCCCTCCTTAGCCTCCTCACTTCCCTGGTCCAGCTTCTGAAGCTGGTGCACATTTGTACCCTCTACCTACCCAGCCTGCTGCCCCTGGCTGCTGTCCTCCTCACTCCGTGAAAATGACTCATTACAGGGCATCAGAGGCCCGCAGGTCTCCAAATTCAAGATGTACTTGTCGGTATTGTATTGCAGCACTTTATAATAACTCTGTAGTGTTTAGTACCCTCTCCTTGAAATTCCTCCCTTTCCTTCTGAGTTATCCTTTTCTCCTTTGGCTACTCCTCTTCCTCCACTTCCCTTTAAAAGCCACATTTCCTAAAGTTTCATACTTGCCTTTCCCCACTTTTATTTTCAATCCACACTCACTCCCTAAAAGGCCTTACTGAAACGAAGTGCCCAACTATCACTTGGATGCAAATGACTCCCAGTCTTTATCTCCAGGACAGACCTCTCTCCTTGCATACCTGGTACTCTGCTGGGCATTTCCACTCTCCAACAGCTCCCTACAAGGCCTCCAGCCTGCACATATTCTGTGCAATCCATTCTTTACACAGTGGAGTGAAATTTCTAGGGTGTAAGTCAGACCAATTTGCTTATAGCTCCCTAGCTTCTCATTACACTTGCAGTAACAGCCCAAACCTTTCCCAGGAACAAACCTCTCCCAGGCCCTGCAAGATTCAGGCTGTCTCCACTGATCTCTGTGATCTGGGCACAACAGCCTTCTCTGTTTCTTGAATGCTCCAGGCTTAATTCTGTTTCAAGGGCTTCGCTAGTCCTTCAATTTGGAGCTCTCTTGGTCTCACATCTACACGTGACTGTTTTATTCTCATCTTCCAGGTCTCAACTTAAATGTCACCTCTTCTGTCTTTCCCAAAAGACCGTCTTGTAGGAACTCCATAGCTTTTTCTCTATTAACAGTTTCATTTCTCTATCCCTACTGCCAACGTCCTCATAATTTTTCACAAGAATACCTACTGGTTTCTCTCTGCCTCCCTACCCTTTCCTCCCGTATTCTTCTCTCCAGACCATTACTAGAGTGATCTTTCTAAAATCCAAGTCTGGCTTATAGCTTCTCATTTAAAATCCTCCAATCCTTCCATGCTGACTTTAGAATAATGTCATGATCTGTCTTCCACCTTGTCTTCCAGCCTCTTGCCACGCCTCCGCCTGCCACCCTCCAGTCACCTGAACTAATTTTGGTTTCCTGCAGGTGCCCAGCTTTCACATTTCAGGGCTCTCGCATGCACCTCACCCTGGCTAGGTTTAAACTGCTCCTCCTCAACACTGTTCAGCATGCACTTGCTTCAGGAAGGTTTCCCAAACCACCCTTTCCCTCAGTCTTCTATCTTATAATTCAGTTTTCTTATCTGTTTTTCCCTACTAGACTGAGTTCTCTGAGGGCAAAGCCTGTGCTGCCTTTCCAGTATAACACAAACTAAGGTGCTTGGCATGTAGTAGGTACTCGATAAATGTATGTGGCAGGAAAGGGTGAACTGATAAACTTCAAGTTGGATATGATCTTAGAAAATCAAGCCCAAACTCCAGGAACACAGTGTTCCTGGGCGAAGCTCATCCCAGCATCTATATGAACTCTTGCAGTGAGGGCAGCACAGCCCATCCCTGAACTTGGAGCTACACAAAGTAACCCTCTCTTAGTGTAGCTTCAAGACTGCCCTTCAAGTGTTCCAAGACAAATGTCACTTGCTTCTGGAATTATTCTCTTCTCCAGGCCTATGTCCTCACTCCTTCTCTCATTTCCTGGTAACTCACTCTTTAGATTAAACCCTAGTTATTCTGGACAATTGTATCTGAGACTACTCCTTTTTGCTCTTCTAAGGTAGCACCCATTTCAAAAACACTGCAGAGGCAGTCTAGCCAGAGCTGAATTTAAAAATGGGACTGTCTGAATCTTATTCAAGGCCTGGAATCCCAGTCACAGCAGGTCCAGAGGGTGGGATCCCTTTTGGCAGCAATCTCACTTTCTTAACATAACCCGAGTCCTTTCCCCACAGAGTGCCGCTGAGCCAGCTCTGCCCCCTCCTCTCATGAGCACTGAGACCCATGGATGGTTTCTGCCCAGCGGATAACATGAGCAAAGCTATGCTTTAGGAAGGTCTCCCAGCAGTGGTTGAGAAAGTAGACAGGAAGGGGAGAGATGCTGGGCCAAGGGAGCAAAGCAAGTTGGAGGCTCAGCCACAGCCTGATGCGAGGGCACAGAGTTCTGAACTCGGAGGCAATCACTGGGGTGAAAAGGAAGTTCATTATCTCTGTCTTCCCAGAGTCTGAGTACTTGGCATGCGAACAGGACACTCCTGCTCCACACAGCTGTCAGCAAGAGGACTGTTCAAATATCTAAAGCTGTCAGATGGAATGGAGGCAGGCACTGAATGGCAAAGGGTGATCACAGTAAGGTTAGAGCTCCTGGTGGCATTTTCCAGAGGGCAAAACAAAGGCTGTACAGAAAACTCAGTAGGTGCTCCTGAGTAATACGCAGAGGCTCCACAGCAGCCCTTTCTATGGATCCCACCACATCTGTCACTGGCTCCTCCCCATGCCCTTCCAAGCAATCTCATCGTCAGGTACTTTGTACGGCACAGCCAGGAAAGTCCTGCTATGGACCTGCAGGGCTGAGCCTTCCAGAAGCCAGCACCCAGGTGACAGGGAGGAAGGTGGTGGGAATGTTGATCCCACACACTCCCCAACATGCTCCCCAAGATGACACCCAAACACTCCCCCAGCTCCCACCAAAATCCCTTCTCCCAGGGCCAAGGAGACAGAGACCCATGCCTCAGCTCCCCTTTCCCACACTGCACGATGTTCACAGCCTGCTGATCTCACACCTTCTCTGAAACAGTTACAAAAAAGGGAGGGAGAGAAAGTACTAAAAATTCTGTGTGAACTCTAGGAAAGGCTATAAACTAGCAAATTATCCTCGGTTCTCTTTCCAAACCCACATTTCACACCTCTTTGTAGCAGCAGCAGCAGCCACACTGAACACACTTTGATCTTCACTCTGTTGAGAAACCTGAGCCCCTCAGAACTGGAAGCTTTAGCAGTCCATGACCTCATTATGACCACAGTGCCCTCCTGCCCCAACTTCTTCCCATCAGCCCCAAAATGTGGTCTGAGGCCATGCACCCTCTAAGCAAATGCAATATAAGAAGGAGATCCTCAATACAAAGTGACCCCTCTTTAGGGGAGAAGGTCCTGCTGGGTAGCACGGAAGGGGCACAATCAAAGATCAATGCTCAGAGGATTCTTTGGGGATGTGCTACCCAGGGAGACAGGCTGGCCTGCTCCACCCTCTGCCTCCCCCTCCCACAGGGGCCCCTCTCTGAGTCCCTTTCAGCAGTTAACAGCTACTGTGATTGTAAAGGGAGCCTGAAATTTTGCTTTCTTATTTATATCCTTGCTCTAGAGGGGGTTGTTGTGGAAACATGAGGAAGCAAAAGTACCTTTCAGGAATACTTTGGAATAAAAATGTATGAGAAATTGCTGTCCTGGGGTCAGCAGTATTTAGTGTAAACCCCTCACCAAGGTGTGCTGCACCCCATCCACCCCAGAGGGACCAGGGGTGTTGCTGCCATGATGCAAGACATCTAGTAAGAAGATGCCCTGGGCTACTCTAGTCTATAACGAATTTGAAGCCAGAAAACCCATCCTGCATCCTTACACTGCAGCATCCTTCACTTTGGCTGTATCCTCCAGTGAAGGAGGACACATGGTAACCACCACTGGCACAACAAAGGAGGTGACAATAGCTAGAGAACTAGGCTCATCTTTGTTATTCCAAAATCATTTGCTGGTCTAGGCCCATGTTTTCGTCAGTCTCAGAACATTTCATGCCTTTATATAGAGTTTAAAGAATAAAGATGGGGGAAGCTTTTCTGAACTTCTTTCTAGCCTTCCTCTTCATAAAGCTTAAGAAAGGCTGCATGCCTTTCAGACTAGCAGGAGCCACAGTTCAGGTAGAAAAGAATTCTCCCTTCACTTATTCAGTCATTCATTCCTGCATGCACATATGATTACAACATAGTACATTATATTTACATAAATACATCATCTTGTATTTCCTGCCCCTTAGACCTTACAACATAGTGGATCACATCTTCCAAATGCCAAGACCAGGGATGGAAGAATGACTGCTGGCTCTGAGTTTATGCACCATTAAGTCCTAACCTATTCCTTCATACCTTGGTTTTCCCAATGAGAAAATGGGGCTGCAGGTGCCACAGGAGAAAACCTGGTTATTCTCTTTATGTAACCCTCCCTTCCACAGTAACATCAGAAGAAATCGCAGGTGGCACTGGATTAGCCTTCTGAGGCTGGGGGAGGGTGGAAAGAAAAAGAAGAAAACAGAACTCTATGTATATGGTGCCCTCAGACCAGGATCGATATGTCTTGTTCCTGTAATGATTTCTGCTGATTAGGAGAAGGTGGGAAAGATTCGCTCTAGATGAAAGACCTCTAGAAGCATACCTTTTCCTCCTGGAGTCTGCAATTCTGTTTCTTCCACCTCAAGCACAACTCAGTGGGCAAGAGCTGGTAGGTATACCCCTTTCTGGGTCTAGTGACCAACATTCAGTCATACCTCTGAGTGTCTTATGAATATTTTTTAAAAATCTAAAAGGGGGAGGATAAATTCTGTTAAAAGTGAAACTTGGATAGGAGATAATACTAGTAGGAACACTTAACCATTTTAAATAACAAAAATGGCTCAAGTGTGTCTGCAACTGAAGTCTGAGAAGCACTTTTACACAAACATTCTCCTGTATGAGCATCTCAGCATCTGTGGAAATACTCTGCATAGGGATTATAATCTCCATTTGGAAGAGGAGAAGACCAAAGCTCAAGGTTGAGTGATTTGCTGTTGGTCTCATTGATAAAAAGCTGTCATAGAGCCAGACTTGAACCCAGCCTGCAGCTCCAAATTAAATGCTCACTTAGATCCAGCACTGATAAGACATCCAAACAAGCAGCTTGTGAGAAACTGGGGATAAAAACAGAGGCCTTAAAACCTGAGCAAATGTCTTGATTCCAAACAGAAGACTCTACAGTGATAACCAGTAAGCTCATTGTCAATCCCAGGAGAATTCAGCCGTACGTCAGTACACAGTGTGTGAGCAACGAGAAAGCAGGATGATCAAACAGTGCATGGGACAAGCTTAGCTCAGTGCCTGGCACAGGCTGGGACTCAGCAAATGTGAGGACCATTAGTATCACTATTGGCATTGTTTCTTATTATTAGGAATTAGCATGAGATTTCTTGGAATAAACCGATCCAAGCTAATCTTGTTTCTTTTTTTAAACAGGGTTATTGGACAAACAGACTAGGAAAATGCTAAAGATATGGTACCCTGGATTTCAGCAAGCCCCTTGACAAAAATCTCATCTGCTACACTGACACAATGGTAGATTGAACCCCTGTCAGAGTCTGTGCCATTTGAACAATCATTCCCAAATTATATGGATTACTGAATAACAACTAAATTCAGGCTGGGCGCAGTGGCTCACATCTTTAATCCCAAGCACTTTGGGAAGCGGAGGTGAGAGGATCACTTGAGCTCAGGAGTTCGAGACCAGCCTGGGCAACATGGCAAAACCTCATCTATACAAGAAATAAAACTAAAAAAATTAGCTGGGCATAGTGGAATGTGCCTGTATTCCCAGCTACTAGGGAGGCTGGGGTGGATCCCTGGAGTCCAGGAGGTCAAGGCTGCAGTGGGCTGTGATCTCACCACTGCACTCCAGCCTGCATGACAGAGTGAAACCCTAGCTCAACAAAAAACACTAAATTCAAATACTGACTTTGCTATTTAGAGCCTGTGTGACCTTGAGCAACTTATTTTACCTCTCTGTGGCTCTGCTTTCTTATTAGTAAGATCATGATAATGATAGCAATCACCTCAAAATACCAGTGACTATATCAAAAAACTTATCCACCACGATCAAGTCGGCTTTATCCCTGGGATGCCAGGCTGGTTCAACATACGCAAATGAATAAACATAATCCATCACAAAAACAGAACCAATGACAAAAACCACATGATTATCTCAATAGATGCAGAAAAGGCCTTTGATAAATTCTACATCCCTTCATGCTAAAAACTCTCAATAAACTAGGTATTGATGGAACGCATCTCAAAATAATAAGAGCTATTTATGTCAAACCCATAGCCAATATCACACTGAATGGGCAAAAACTGGAAGCATTCCCTTTGAAAACTGGCACGAGACAAGGATGCTCTCTCTCACTACTCCTATTCAACATAGTATTGGAAGTTCTGGCCAGGGCAATCAGGCAAGAGAAAGAAATAAAGGGTATTCACATAGGAAGAGAGGAAGCCAAGTTGTCTCTGTTTGCAGATGACATAATTGTATATTTAGAAAACCCCATCATCGCAGCCCAAAAACTCCTTAAACTGATAAGCAACTTCAGTAAAGTCTCAGAATACAAAATCAATGTGCAAAAATCACAAGCATTCCTATACACCAATAATAGACAAGCAGAGAGCCGAATCATGAATGAACTCCCAATTCACAATCGCTACAAAAAGAATAAGATACCTAGGAATACAGCTAACAAGGGATGTGAAGGACCTCTTCAAGGAGAACTACAAACCACTGCTCAAGGAAATAAGAAAGTACACGAACAAATGGAAAAAACATTCCATCTTCATGGATAGGAAGAATCAATATCGTAAAAATGGCCATACTGCCCAAAGTAATTTCTAGATTCAATGCTATTCCCAATGCTATACCATTGACATTCTTCACAGAATTAGAAAAAAACTACTTTAAATTTCATATGGAATTAAAGAAGACCCTGTATAGCCAAGACAATCCTAAGCAAAAAGAACAAAGCTGGAGGCATCATGCTACCTGATTTCAAACTATACTACAAGGCTACAGTAACCGAAACACCATGGTACTGGGTATCGAAACAGATATACAGACCAATGGAACAGAACAGAGACCTCAGAAATAACACCAAAATATCCATGTCCCTGCAAAGGGGCCTGTTAGGGGGTGGGGGCGAGGGGAGGGAATTTAGAGGATGGGTCAATAGGTGCAGCAAGCCACCATGGCACACGTATACCTATGTAACAAACCTGCACGTTCTGCACATGTATCCCAGAACTTAAAGTAAAATAATAAATATATAATGATTTTAAAAAATGTTTAGAGCAGCTTTATTCATAATCACCCCAAACTGGAAAACATCAAATGTCCTTCCATTGCTGAATAAATAAACAAACTGTAGCACATCCATACAATGGAATGGAACACTCTAAGGAAAAAAAAAAAGATCAGTGATTAATTGGTTAGACAAGTAGATAGTTGGATATAAAAACAGAAAAAAAAAGCTATGAATACTATTATAATTTCCACCTGCAGGGAGGCCTCTAGAGTTTTGCCACGGCATTCCATCATCATTTCTGTCCATTTCAACGTGTTTCTCAACAGCTTAGATGACAAAATCAAAAAAGTACAAATGTAGAGCCCAGCATCAGCTGCTCATATGTAAAAGATCTGGGAACGACAGAGAATCACAGCCTTTGTATCAGCCAAGGGTGTGAGGAGGGGGCTACAAAATCATCTCAGACTGTTCACAAACATGGGTGTCACCCTAAAGTCCTCTGCATTGGTCAGACCAGTCGAGTACTGTGGTTCATTCTGGGTGTTATATTTTAAGAGCAATATGGAGAAATATAGGGGATGGGGAAATAACAAGGGGTCTTGAAATAATGTCAGAAGTAGCTGAGAAAAGTATGAATGTTTTGTTGGGTGGCAAGTGGTTGTCACTTTGATGAAAGCTTACACTGCTTTCCTTCTTGGCATAACTTGAGTCAGTGAATCAAATTAGAAGGGGCCAGAATTTTGCCAAAAAAATGAAAGGATGCAAGGAAAGGAGGGGGGAAGGAAAGATGGAGAGAATGAGGGAGGAACGAAAGAAGTGAGGGAGAGAGGAGAAAATGTAAAACCTATTCAACAATGGAGTGGTGTGCCTTGCCCGGTAGTGAGCTCCCCATCACAAGGAGAGTCCAAGCAGAAGCTTGGTGACCAGCTGTCAGGGATGTTGTTGAAGGTGTTGATGAACTGGACGATCTGAAGGGCCTCTGGCCTTCTGTTGTCCTCAGAGTCTATTATCCCAGCCACTCTCCCCTGCACAGAGCTTTTTCGCACACCCCTTCCCCCACCAAGGTTGCTGTGGAGCTCCTAATCCCATGAGCGCCTGCCAAAATTTGGCCTGTGAGATGCATATTCAACAATGAAGGTTTCAGCTGGCTGAGCTGGCGGGTCTGTCTGAAGATTTCAACACCGCAGCAAGTGACCCTCTGGAATCCTAAACAAACTGTCAAAAGCTTCAGCAGCCTGGGCTCCAAGCAGCCTGCATTGAGGACCTCAGCTGCACAGGCCAAACGCTGCATCACCACCCCACCAACCACCCACCATCACCATGGCAACCACTGAGTCTGACTGCCTAGGCGAGGCTCTTCAATCCAAGCAGGGGGAGGCCCAGTTTTTCCTGCAATTTCCCAAAGTAGTGGGCCCTAAGGGGATGCAGGTGGGAGGACCAGAGAGGGAGAGTTTACCTTGTCCTTCCCCAACAGGATGCCCTGACACCACCTGGAGACACAGCCTGTCATCTATAACTTGACCTTGGCATCCTCTAACTCTAAGCAAAACACAGGAGAACGAGCCACTGGGGAATCTCATTATTTTTAGAAGCAAGCACAATCACTTAGCAACCTAAATGTCCCGTTTCTTCCCCACCCCTCCAAAAGCCCAGAGAAATAAATACAGTATTGAGGACTCCAGTGTTTGGCGCTGATACAGCGTAAGGATGTAATAATAATAATACTTTCAATCTATGTAGAAATAAAGCTTGCCTTCCAAGGGGCTCAGAGCCTTGCTAAAATTAAGGCACCGATCCTTTACACTCGGCCTCCCCTCCCTCTCAGTACAAACTGCCCAAAGATGACTGTTTCCCTGCTATCTGACAAGGGACTTTACATATGGATTCTGAGACACGGAACAATCATGATTCCATTCCAGTACATTACTGTCTGCTACCAAAAAAAAAAAGCATTTATTTCTAGCAAGGGAACAGAAAAAGGTCAGGGCTTCTCAAACAAATGCCAGCAGTGAATTCCTCCCTCACATTTGAACCTGGTAACCATTCCCTTCTGGAAACTCTTTCTCCCTCATTTCCCTGCTAATGGTCTCAACCAATCTGCCCCCACCCCTCCTGCCAGCTCCCTCTCAGCCTCCATCCCAGGCCCTCCATATTTTCCATACCCATTTGATTCAGGGCCTCTTGGAGTCTGTCCTTGCCCTCTTCTCTGCCATTTCACTGGGACAATCTGACCCATGTCTATGGTTTCAACTACCAACCATGCAGTGATGAATCGAGGTGTCCACACAGACCTGTCCCAAGCTCCAGCCTTTCTATAGGGCACCACACCCAGTCCAAAAGACACACCCAACCGCCAAAGCCAGAGCCACCCTCATCCCCTCTCCATACCAGACTGCTCCTCATCCAGGGTGAAAAAAGCCACCCTCCCCTACACTTGGGATTCATCTTGGATTCTTCCCTCTCATCCCCCAAGTTTAAAGACCCCTAAGTATTTTTTGTATCTGTCCCCTCCTCTGGTCCCACTGACACAGCCCAGGTCACAGCCCTCAGTATATTCTAGACAGTAAAGATGGTGTCCTAACTAGTCATCCTAGCTCAGCCTCACCCCTTCCTCCCTAATTACCCCCAACACACACATGTACCACCATGGCAAGATTCCAAGGCTCTGAGTGCTGGGAGGTCTATGTAGCCAGGATTCTACCACCCCCTCACTTTAAGCCTCTTAATGGCCCTCTATTGTCTTCACAGTAGAATCCAGAAGTGTCACCGCAGTACACAGACCTAGAGCTCCTGCCTGCCTGTTCACCCCCACTCTCCGCCATGCTCCACTCCACGCCCACTCCAGTGGTTGCCGTGACATGCATGCCGTTCTCCACGGACACTGTGCTTGCTCTGGTCTCCATGCCTGCACCTGTTGCCTCACTGTGGCTTTCTTCCCAGCCCCACCCCACTGCTGACAACCTCCTTCTGAAGAAATCTGCCAACACCCATTGCTCCAGCAAGCACGATGGGAACCCATGGGCAACTCCCCTTCTCCCATCATCCCCCTTTAGACAGTCACTTCTCAGAAGTTTCCAGAAAGTTCTAAAAACTGGAGGCAGCATCATCATTATAAGGGAAAGAGATGAATGAATGTGAAAGCAGCCTGAAGGTGAGCTGTTGTGTCTACACCCAACCACCCCTGCCAGTCTGTGGCATGATTTTAGCCTTCTATTCTCTTACTTCTCTTTCCAAAAAGGGAAACTATTCAGAAACAGAAGCAAATACGACTGATCCCTCTCTCTTCAGCCCTTCTTCCTCATTCTCACTCTGGCCCCTTGGTACCCTACCTGTCCATTCTAATCCATCCACTTCTGTCCCTTTCTTAATGCCCTCAAAGCCCTTTTGACAACCTGGTTGTGTGACATTTTTCCTAAGAACCTGATGGAGCTGTGGTGTTAAGAAAACCCACACCAGGTGGTTGTAGCAGCAGCCCAAGAGTCCAGAGCTCTTTCTGCCCATCCTGACGCCACTCCTTCACCATCCCTGTGGCTTTAGGCTACTTTCCTTTATGGGGCTTTGACTTTTTTATTTGTAAAATGCAGTCAGACCTTCCAGCTCTCAGAGGCTTGGGATCGATTAAGAATGATTCCCCTTTCCGGCTGGCTTTTCCTTTCTGTTTCTCCTAGACGTGCCTGTTCTTCTCAGACCATCTCAGTTTCGGGGCTTGAAAGATGCTGCTGTGCCTTGTTACCTGGGAACTTGCTTTATTCTCTGTGCCACAGAGAAAACAATAAAAATCCCATCTCTTCATTATCTGGGCTGATAGAGGAAGAGGCTTAGCCAACTAAACATGATGGATAAGACGAAAGTCATTTATCATATTTGGTTTTGAGATGTGGTTAGAGACACATTCTGAGACACAAAACTATCTTTGCCCATCTGGAAACCATCCCAAACCCTCCTAGCCTGGCCTTAGTCCCAGTCTGGGGTTTGGCCACACTGTGGAAGAAAGCCCTGGGCTGTGTAGATAAACCACATGAGGGTAAGCTACTGTTAACTCTGTCATTATTCATAATATTCAATTCAACAACCATGTATGAGCACAACCATGTGCAAGACATTGTGTGGACAAAGCAGCCTACGGGCCATACAAAGAAAGACTTCTTATTGTCCCCAGAAACATAGGAGGAGGCAGGAGTCTGTTCATAATTATCCATATGACATGAGCAACAATAAAGATACTAATAAAGTGTTATGGAGGCTGGGCACGGTGGCTCACATCTGTAATCCCAGCACTTTGGGAGGCCAACGCAGGTGGATCATTTGAGGTCAGGAGTTCAAGACTAGCCTAGCCAACCTGGTGAAACCCCGTATCTACTAAAAACACAAAAATTAGCTGGGTGGTAGTGGCACGCACCTGTAATCCCAGCTACTCAAGAGGTTGAGGCAGGAGAATCGCTTGAGCCCGGGAGGCAGAGGTTGCGGTGAGCTGAGATCGCACCACTGCACTCCAGCCTGGGTGACAGAATGAGACCCTGACTCAAAAAAAAAAAAAGAAAAAAAAAGTGTTATGGGAACAGAGGGGAAAGTATACCTACCTCTAACCAGGAGGCTCTAAGAAGCCTCAGATAGAAAATTAAGGCAAAGCTGACAATGCTGTTAGTGGACAGGTCTTCATCACAACTAATGGCTCAAATGTGAGCCTTGCCTGGAATTGTCCTTGAAACCCAGTGAATTAACAAGTAGATAGTAAGTTCTCCTCTATGCCTAGAACTTCAGGAGATGCTGTGGGCTACAAAAGATATTTAAGACAGTTTTTACTTCTATGTATGAGGTAATTAGCAAACGAGGCAGTGTTATATTCTGATAAAATAAAGGGCTCAATGTGTGGAACTGACAATAAGAATGAGAACAAGCTATAATAAAGTGCTAATTGCATCGCAAATGCAATGAATAAGAAGGCCTCCACAAACATTGTTATTTACTCCCACTGCATCTCCGCCGCTGTTGATGACAACATCCCAGTCAGCTGTGGGCGAGAATGCTTCCTCTACATCTTTGGGCAGCATGGTGTGGTGGAAGGAGCGCTGGACTAGGAGTGAGAGGTCTGGTCCTGGAATAACCTAGTGTGTAGTCAGTGGCAAGTTACTGCCCCTTGCGGGGACTCTGGAAAGAAGCTGGACTCAAGGACCTCCAAGGTCCCTTCCATTTCTAGTGAACAGAGGATCTGAATGCAAATGCACCAGCCCGTGTCATCGTGAAAGGCTTTGAAAGATGCACAGGAAAGAGGAGAGGATAGAGGATTCCAGAGGAGGGCAGATCATGAACAGGGGTGAGAAATCCAAAGCGACAGGCATGAGCACCACTGGAGTTAGGGTGGCATCGGTGGCCAGAGTCAGGGGCAAGCATCAGCACTGCTGGAGTTAAGGTGGCATCGGTGGCCAGAGTCGGGGGCAGGCATGAGCACTGCTGGAGTTCAGGTGGCATCAGTGCTGAGGAAGGCTTCAAAAGCCACAGAGAACAGGGCAGAGGGGGCAATGGGAAAGAGGGAGATGTTTTGGGTTCCCATTTAGGCATGTGCCTTGCTGTAGAAGGGCTTTAGTGAGATTTTCATGGCCGTTAACAGACTGAAGCTGGGGAGAAAATGACGGCAAGAAGCCAACCAGTGAGGCTTTAAATCATCTAAGTTATCAGGTAATGAGGATGTAGGCTGGTGGCCAGGAGGACGACATCAAAGGGAAGAACAGATCGCTTGATTTAAAAGGACAGGCACGACTTGAGAAACTGTCAGGCATAAAGAATGCAGGAAAGGGGTGAGCCCAGTGCCTGGGTCACTACTTCTTACCCCAGGCTAACACCAGACACCAAATCCCCTGGGTTTGAAATGGCCCGACACTGATATTCAGAGCACATCATGTCCTGAGAGGTGGACAGTTGTCATGAAGAGGCAGAACAGGAGCTGATGAATGTGCACTGTCTGCACGGCTTTTTTGTGTAGAGAAGAGGGTGTGTTTATCACCGCAGCAGCTGGCCCCAAGCTTGGCACAGAATGGGTGAGTGGTGGTGTCTACTAAGAGCCCCCTTCCACCCTAGCCCCAAACAGTCCCTCACATAACTTTAGAAACTTTCAACATAGAGGACAACAGGTCTGGGAAGGGAAAGGGGACAATTTGAGATAGAAAACAGAAGGCAGGGCCCCAGCAGGGACTTTTATGAAGAGCTCAAGGGCAGCAGGAAAATTGAGGGGGTGAGGAAGAAAGTCAAGGGGGCTGAGGCCTGGTGGCAACTAAAGGATTAGAAATCAGCATCTTCCAAGTGCCCTAATTCCTTCTCATCACTCCATAAGGCAGAGGAAGGGCACTACCTGCTCTCACACAGCAGGGCAGAGGTTCGAAGAAGGAAGAAGCTAGCAAGAGCCCAGGGCTCCTAACTTTCAGACCACAGTCCTCTCTTCCAGCCTCCCTCTTGCTCAGGGATGGCACACGCTGCCAGGCTTCCCAACTGGCCTGAGACTGCTGTGAAACTTGACGACCTGGCACACATCCCCTTCCAAACCATGCCTTACATCTGCTAGAGGTGAACACTCCATTTACAAGACTGTCGGGGCAGCTTCTGCTTCCCCACGGCGTGTCTGTCAACACAGGCCAGTCATCCCGCTCTCCTGCAGCACCCCAACCCTCTCCCCACATCTCAGGATGGCTCTCTAGGTTCCTTAGGCTCCTCCCCAACCCCCTAGAGGCACACGTGATGCTCCATCTGCATATATTTCAATATAATGGGATCACAGAAAGAACACTCCTGAAGGAACAGCAAAGAAAGTGTTTGGACTTGGGGCCCCTGGGGGAGCCTTGGGCCAAGAAAAAAATAAATCATCTTTCCTGGAGACAGAGGGACATGAAAGGGGTCTTGAAAGCTATGAGGGAAAAGAAAGGCAGGCGACAACTATTGTGATCAAAATGTGGAATTCACCCAAACTCCCTGAACAGAAGTCCATCAGGGTAAAGCAGACAGACTGTGGTTTCCTCGTGCCTCCTCTCTTTCCTGTTCTCAGGGGAGAAATTCTATCCTCCAGCTTCTTGAGCTCCTGCCCCCTGCCCTAAGGGACAGCCTGTGTGGAGCCAGGAGTAGTCAAGACCACACCCTCACGTGGGAGGAGGAAATCTCCCACCTCAGTGTGGGGGGATTCCAAGCTGGGAGCACTGCCATCCCCCCACAGCCCTGCAGGACACAGGGAGCCCACCAACTGGACCACTGTCTTCCCTGCCTCAGTGCGCTGAGTCCCTGGAATGGACGAACATCTAAAATGCCAAGTATGACAAAATACTTTGAGATACTGCATTTCAAATAGTCAAAAAATAAGGCAAAAGATACAACAAACATGGTATTATATGTAACAGGGGTTAATATTTTCTGTTATTTCTTTCAAATCATGTTTTAAAAAACCTAGACATTTCAGACACAGGCAAGGCTCCACCCAACCTGTTTTCATCCCCTCCTTCTGGGAGTAACTACTGTCCTGGGGTTGGTTAGATCAGCCCCATGCTTATTTATGTACACCCCCAACATAGCAAGACTTTTTTTTTTGGAGCTGAAATGTTTTTACCGTGGTCCATGAGCCACCTGCATCAGAATGATCTGAGTGCTTGCTAAACAGGCAGATTCCTTACCCTCTGGGGGTAGGGCCAAATTTTTCATTTTAAACAAGAACCTCAGAAGATTTTGATGCACGCTGAAGTTTGGAGAGCCACTGTGCTAGCTTAAGGCTCCAAACATTCTTAAAATGCAAAACAACCAACCACAATGACCAAAACAAACAGCCATACCCTGGGAAAGGTGACCCTTTAAATTGCTATCTGTCATTTGCTGCCCCATGTAAATGACAGATTCTGAAACAGGTTTTACACTCTCTCTGATTAGCAAACCCTCCGGGGTCAGCCTGCTGCTTCCCCACCATGTCCACAGCTCACTTGGGGCCACAATAGAACAACAATAAACATTTATTATCTGCACGGGAATGAAGGAGGGGGAGAAGGGTGCTAAAACGCCAGCTACATCTAAATTTTCAGCTTGCACCAACCCACCACTGCCACCATTTGTAGTATGCCTCTGGCACCTTATAGGTTACAATAAAGTTAAAACGTATACTGCAATTGGATATTTGTACTTTTGTTGCCATCCTAATTTAGAAGCTATATGCATTTTTATAGCAGCTTTATTGAGTTATAATTTACAACCACATAATTTACCCTTCTAAAGCGTACAATTCAGTGGGGTTTTTTTTTTTAGTATATTCAGGATTGTGCAACCATCACCACTATCTAATTTTAGGACATTTTCAACGCTCCAAAAAAACTCCAAACCCATTACCAGTCAACTCCCCACCTCACTTCTACCAGCCTTTCGTAACAACTATCGTACGCCCTTTATGGATTTGCTCATTCTGAACTTTTTAATATAAATGGAGTCATAAAATATGTAGCCTGTTGTGAGGAACTTCTTTATGTTTTCCAGGTCCACCCACATTATAGCAAGTATCAGTACTTTGTTGCTTTTCATTGTCGAGTAGTATTCCATTGTCTGACATGCCACATTTTGTCTACCCATTCATCAGCTGATGTACACTTGGGATACTTTTTGTCTATTGTGAATGATGCTGCTATGGACATTAATGCACAACTTTTTGTATGGGTATATGTTATGCCTCTTAAAATTTCTAGAGGTGAAATAGCTGGGTCATATGGTCCATGTTTAACATTTTAAGGAGCTTAAAAGAGGCTGTGCCATTTCACATTCTCAACAGCAATGTGTGAGGATCCAAATTTCTCCATATTCCTGCTCAATATTTGTTATTGTCTGTCTCTTTTATTGTAACCACCCTAATGGGTGTGAGGTGGTATCTTATCGTGGTTTTTATTTGCATTTCCCTAATGGCTAATGATGTTGCCTTGCTCAGTTCCAGCTGCTTTAAAAAATACCATACACTGGGTGGCCTCAACAACAGAAATTTATTTCTCAAAGTTTTGGAGGCTGGGATGTCCAAGATCAAGGTGCTGGCCAGTTAGATTCCTGGCGAGGACCCTCTTCTCAGTCTGCAGAGAACCATCTTCTTACTGTGTTCTCACATGACAGAGAGAGATGAAGCAAGCTCTCTTACGGCTGTTCTGAAAGCACTATTCCCATCATAAAGGCTGTACCCTTATGAACTAATTAGCTCCCCCAAACCCTACCTCCAAATATCATTACATTGGGGACTGGGGTTTCAACATATGAATTTGTGGACAGGAACATTCAGTCCATAGCAGATGAACATCAGTTCCTGTGCTTATTGGCCATTTGCATGTTCATTCTTTAAGCTCTTACTCAGGAACCTGAAACCCTAGTGAACAGTGGTTCCCAAAATGTGGTCCCCTCCCGACACACGCACCCATCAGCAGCATCAGCATCAGCAGGGATCTTATTAGAAATGCAAATTTTCAAGCCCTACCCCAGGTTATCTGAATTAGAAACACAGGGAGTGGGGCCCAACAATCTCGTTTTAAGCTTTCCAGACAATTCTGATGTAGGCATAAGTCTGAGAATCAGTGTTATAAGACAACATTTCTTACAGAGTATTCTCTAATATTTTAATATGTGACATTTGACTTTAAAAATTCCTTGGTTATATGAGTTTAGGAAACAATGGACTACGCAAACAAACAAAAAATCCTTAAGACTTGTTTATATTCTTTAATATGCTTATGAGCAACGTGTATTTCCAAGAAGGAGATCTAGTATGCAGCATTTCCCAAACTAATAAACACATCAAACCCCTTATATATGGAGCATCTTGCAGGACTACTGTTCCACAAAAGTTACTTTAGGTAACATTACTTTAAAGGTATTCCATAAATCAAGAAATTAAAAGGCATGCCACTGTATTAGTCCGATTTCATACTGCTATAAAGAACTGCTCGGGACTGGGTAATTTATAAGGGAAAGAGTTTTAACTGACTCACAGTTCAGCGTGGCTGGGGAGGCCTCAGGAAACTTAGAATCATGGCAAAGGGGAAGTAAGACACTTTCTTCACAAGGCAGCAGGAAGGAGAAGTGCTGAGCCAATGGGGAAGAGCCCCTTATAAAACCATCAGATCTCGTGAGAACTCACTCACTATCATGAGAACAGCATGGGGGAAACCACCCCCATGATTCAATTACCTCCACCTGATCTCCCCCTTGACATGTGGGGACTGTGGAGATTACAATTCAAGATGAGATTTGGGTGGAGACACAAAGCCAAACAATATCAGCCACTATTTCTTCATCAAGTCAAGTCTGTTGTTAAGAACATCCTTTAAACTAGTTCTTTACAAAGTTTTTTGCTTTAATTATCTATTAACACTTCTGAAAAGCAAGCTTCGTGGCTTAAAACAGTAATTAGCAATGTGGGGAATCTGAGAGTGTTTTTGTGGGGATCTTTTGCTCAAGATCTCTCATGAGGTTGCAGTCAAGAAACCAACCACAGTTGGAGTCAAGCTGTCAGCTGGGGTTTGCAGTTATCTGAACACTTGACTAATCTGGGTTTCCAGGACGGCTTACTCATGGCTTTGGCAGGAGTCTCCAGTTCCTGATCATGTGACTTTCCATAGGGCTCCTTGAGTGTCCTCATGATATGGTAACCTGCTTCCCCACCAAGCAAGTGATCCAAGAGAGCAAGGAAGATATGGCAATGTCTGCTAGGACCTAGCCTCAAAAGCCACACCCTCACTTCTGCCGTGTTCTCTTGGTCACCCAGACCAAACCTGATACAATGGTGGGGAGCAAGGGCCTACATGAGGACATAGAGACCAAGCAGCAGTGATCACTGTGTTAGTAAGTGACAAAGCTGAGATTTGAACCCAGGCAGTCTGGCTCCAGAGTTCATGCCACTGAGACTGCTACTTCTCTATTATACGAAGAAACAAGATCTCTAATACTCCTTGAAGAATGTGTGACTCAAAAAGACGAGTCTTTGCAGGTCAAAACATAACATGTGCTCCTCTGCTTGGTGTTAGCATGTCCACATGGTTTAGCAGCTGCTGCTAAGCACTGCGGCTTGCCCAGAAACAGAGCCTTTCAGAACATAGGACTGGAACTGTTCATTAGCTAATTAGGCCGTTCTCAACTAATCTGGGAGATGAGCATCAATTTACTTCTGTTTTGCTGCTCTCAACGATCCTGTTACCATCAAACTGCAAATCATCCCCTTCCCCCTTTTTTTTTTCATTGTCTACCTATCTAATGGGGAGATTCATAACTCCTAGTACCTCTAGCTCCTGAAATCCTATTCCTTGAAAATTCTCTCCATCTTTTTTTAAGTGTATCTTTAACTGTTATTATGTTAAACATATATAATGTTGGATATAAAGCTTCAACTTCTTTCTAAATGGAAAGTACAACATTTCTGCCTAAAAACCTGTTAAATCTTAAGATTTTTTAGGACCTTAAGAACATCCTTGCAATATTTTGCCCGCGTAGTGGAGGAAAAAACCTTTTCCTTTTACCCTTCCAGGTTCTCAGCTGTGGTTCTATAACAAAAGACAAATTAACAAAAGAAAAACATACAGATTTATTTAATTCAGGTTAAATATCCTTTATCCAAAATGCATGGGAGCAGAGGTGTTTTGGATTTCTTTGATTTGGGAATATTCATGTTATACTCACCAGTTGAGCATCTCTAATCCAAAACTCCAAAATCTGAAATGCTCCAATGAGCATTTGAATACCACGTTACAAGAAGTTACAGATTTTGGAGCATTTCCTGATTTTGGATTTTTGGATTAGGGATGCTTAACCTGTATAACTTTTATAAGACACAGGAGCCTTTATAAGGAAATGAGGACTCCAAGAAATGATTATACCTGACTGTTTTAATACCAGGTTTGATGAAGAGTGGAAAATTATGGAAAAATACAATAAGACAAAATGGTGTGGGCTAAGTACAGTAAACTAGGGGAGACTTTGCGAGGTCCATTTGTTCATATCCCTGTCAGTGTCCCTCTGTCTTCAGGGATCACGATGCTCCTTTCCTCCAGGGATGGGAGGGCACCTCTCACATGAGCGTTCTATGAGCTCTTTCAGGGGAAGACCAGAGAGTCTTTCCTGCACACGTTGTTTTTCAAATTCCTTTAGCTTAAAACATTGAGTACGCCAAGGTGACATATTTTGGGGAGCATATTCTAAACCCCATCATCTGCCTTCCTAATTCTCTCACTTTCATATGTGTCATTCATTTGTTAATTTGTTCAATATTTATCAAATATTGCTGAATAACTACTAAGTGCCAGGCACACAAGGAGTACACACTACCATATAAAAGCCATATAAAACACCATGTTGCCATAGAGCACAGAGATTAGGGTAGTAAACACAGGGGAATCAGCCCTGTGCCACGGTTTGGGAGATGAGGATACAGGGCATTCCTGATGATGAGGCACCTACTCGAAGCCCTCTGATGTTTATTGTGTGCATGTATAGAATTACAATAAATTCCACAAGGGATCTAGGAAATGCGTTTACATCGGGGGATTTTGTGAAGGTTCTCCATCTCCCTTATTATAAACAATCTGAAGGGTCTAACTGTGCATCACAAGCACACAACAGGATGTCACACCCAAATAGGAGGTGTTCATTGAGCATCTGCTGATGGTGATGATAAGGAGGAGAGAGACCAAAGAGGACCTAAATAGGAAGCATGTTTATTTGTTGTAAGACTGGGGACCTGAAATCTGGCATCCTGGTTTCTAATTTTACCTTTGTCCTATTTTAACACAAGACCTATAATAAGTAATACAGCTCCACTGTACACCACTTTTACATGTGGCCACTAAAAGCAAAGACTAAACTCTGGGTCTATCTTCTGTGGAGACAAGGTGAATTTTAACATGAGTCTTATCCATTAAGTAATGTAATGGTTTTATACATAATATTCAGAGGTTACTGCTCAGAGGAAGGATTTCTACTAAGAAAAATGCTTATCAGTTTTTTCAGGTTACTTTTACTCAACTTAAGAAAAGCTTCAGTGGGACTCAGACCTTGCGGGACACCTGGATTGAGAGGCTCATACAGAGCATTAGTAGTGGTAAAAGGACCATTAGAGAAGGGGTAAGCAGACCGGGAATAATATATTCTTCCTCCCATGAAGGTGATCATGTGACAAGGATTGGCTGGATCAACCTTCCATTTCTTCATTTGGCCTTAAAGGTATCCTTGAAATATTTTGCCTGTCTTCCTGAATTCTTCCCCCTTTCATATCTGCCATTCATTCATTCATTAATTCATTAATTAGCTTGTTCAGTCATTATCTGTTCATTTGGTAATATTTGCTGAATGACTACTAAGTGCCAGGCACACAAGGAGTTCAAATAGAATACAATACAACCCCTGCCTTCAAGCCCTTGGTGAGAAGCTATGTAGTGGAGGAGATACTAATGTCAACTGGGTGAGTGAAGTTTAGGGTGAGCCTAGTCAACGAGTAACGGAAAATAGAAGGAAATGGGGAGGAAGCACAGTCAGGGAATAGTCACTTAGCTGAATAGATACCAGCCAGAGGGATGGCAGGGTTGGTGTTACAGCATGCAAAAGAGCACATTCAAAAGGAAGGAGGCATGAAATAGCACACAATTCAAGGAACCACAAGTAGTCCAGTATAGCTGGAGGGCAGGCTGCATGTGGTCAGGTCAGGAGGGATCTTGTATTCTGCTGCAGAAAACAGCAAACCACTGAAAGCCTTTAGGCAAAGAATTGCAGAATTATATTACATTTTGTGAAACCATGCTTATCATCTTCTGCATGATCTTTTTCAAAATTCAACAGAAGCCTTTTCAGATTAACACTATATCACTGAACAGATTTTCACTTTGTAGATTCTCAGGACTTTGCTAGTCAGTTTGCTTTCCTCCACTTTCCCTGACTGAATGCCCTTTCCCATGTTCTCCTTGGCAATCTCCTACCCACCTTCAACATCCAGCTTAAATAAATATCACCTCTCTGTGTTTTTTTTTTCCCAAACACAGTCACCTTCTCCTTCTTCCATACTCCCAGAATACATTCAACAGAGCATTAGTGCGGTGATGTATTGCAATTGCTTCTTGTCACTCTCTTCCACTAGACTATGGGTCCCAGGAAGGCACAGATTTGCATTCCAATTTACATATACATGCACATTTACGTATAACACATGAAAAAGATTCCATTGAATCAGCAGTACTTTATTGAACACCTGCTCTGTGCCAGACAATGTGCTGGATGCTGGTATTCAATACAGAACCACCATATAAAGGACATCTTTCTCATGCAGCATGTATAAAAATGCATGTAATATATATGTGTATGGAAATTAGAATGTAAGTTCCCTTAAAGCAGATATATTTTTCAGTTCTCTGAACCTGAAAGATTAACCACAACTGATTTTTTAAAACTCATTACCTAATTTATTTGCAATCATATCATATGAGAAAGCAGAAAGATTTAAAATGGTTTCAAGCACCAATAACTCAATATGTAAAAATTTTAAATATTGAGCTGGTAGGGTAAGAATCAAATGGCCAGAAACACACAGCTTTTATATTACATAAAAACACTAAGACAGAAAACACTAGAACAGGGCACCCTGTCCAACTAACTTCTACAAGATCTTCTGCAAACTGCATGGAATATAAATATTTGGTGACTTTTCATTCACTCAGTATATATTTATTAGTGCCATTTTTGTTGTTCCAATATATTTCAGGTACTATGCTAAGTGCTTTACATGTGTTAGCTTAATAATTCTCAAACTAATCCTACATAGTAGGTAGCCCCTTATCTGGGTAAATTATTTAATCTCACTGTACCTCTGTTTCTTCATCTATAAAATGGCAATAGTAATAGAATAGACATCATAGGGTTGTTGAGGCATTAGATGTGTTTGCACAGGTAAAGTACTTAGAACAGTGCCTGACATACACTCCAATTTCAAATATTAACTGAGAATCACCACTACCACCCTCATGCTTCATCATCATCACCACCTCATTTTGAATGTGAAGTAACTGAGACTCAGAGAGGTTAGAAGAAAATATTGCCTCAACTTCTCTCTCAGACAGGTAGACTGAACACACACTGTGACCTCTCCCCCCTTCCACCAAATTCCTAGAAATCATTTTCTATATACATACAGTAACCACACTGGACAGAAAAAAGAGAAACAAACCCTCACTAGGCTAGATGTTGTGATGAATCCCCTCTGGACAGAAAGTAGCTACAATCTGATTTTTAAAAAGAAACCACAGGCCAGGTGTGGTGGCTCACACCTGTAATCCCAGCACTTTGGGAGGCCAAGGTGGGTGGATCGCCTGAGGTTAGGAGTTCAAGACCAGCCTGGCCAACAAGGTGAAACCCTGTCTCTACTAAAAACACAAAATTAGCCAGGTGTGGTGGTTCATGCCTGTAATCCCAGTTACTTGGGAAGCTGAGGCAGGAGAATCACTTGAATCTTGGAGGTGGAGGGTGCAGTGAGCCGAGATCGTGCCACTGCACTCCAGCCTGGGCAACAAGAGCAAAACTCCATCTCAAAAAAAAAAAAAAAAAAAAAGAAAAGAAAAAGAAACCACGGCCCCCAGCCCTCAGAAGAGAATATGACCACTCTAAATGTAGGCATGTCACCACAAGTGCTCCCACCTACAGAGGGTGGCCACTGGGATCTGATGGGATCCAGGTGACCAACAGGGTGATGGTTTGAATACAGTAGCAGGAAGATCAAGCACTCACTTTAACCCTCCTCCTTAACCCACCTTATCCCTCAGACCAGGCAGCAAAAAGGAAAATATGCCCACAAGCAGGGGCAATGGGCATGAAAGTTGGGTGAGAAAGATGGGGAAGTGCTCTCATGCCTTTCCATGCCTGAGAGGAACAGGAAGTGCTCTCTCCCAGGGGACTGGTCATCAAAGTGACCCATCCAGCAGCAGGTCTCACCACTTCTATACCCTTGCCAGACTATTAGCTTCATAGGTATTCTCCTTCCAAGAAGTTTGCACAAACAGACATGGTAGAAAGAAGATAATATTACAATCAAGAATCACCAAAAACTTGAGGAATTTCAATACCACGGAGAGAGAGAGAACAAACTCAACAATCAAAGAACTTATACTCAATGAGAATGAAGACATATAATTATCAGCTTAGAGAAAAGTGTGAGAATATTGCAAGCATTTTACAAAATTACCTAGAGATGGTGCAATTGAACATTTCGATAACTGAAAACTTTTAAAATGATTAAGTAGATTGAGTGGCAAAATAGACAGGTGAATTTGAGATGTGAAAAACTGAACTGAGCAGTGTTCCCAGAAATCAACACAAGAGTAAGAAAAAGATGAAAAATATAAAGAAAAGATTAAAAATAGAGGGAAGAAATTCCAACATCATTTAAAACAAGTGCTACAAATAAAGAATAGATAAAATGGAGAGAAGCAAAATTAAGAAGTGGAGAAGCAGAGAATTTGAAAGTAAAAGAATCAATTCAAAAGTACTTCCCAGCATTGAATAAAAATAGAAATCTTAAAATGCCATAAAAATAAAAATAAATAGAAACCATCATATAAGACACATATTAGTGAAATTTTACAGCACCAAAAGTAAGGAAAAAATGCTAATGCTTCCAATGAAAGAGGAAACAAAAGTTATCTGTAAAGAAATAATCATGTTGGCCAGGCATGGTGGCTCATGCCTGTAATCCCAGCACTTTGGGAGGCCAAGGTCGGTGGACCACCTGAGGTCAGGAGTTTAAGACCAGCCTGGCCAACATGGTGAAACCCCATCTCTACTAAAAATACAAAAATTAGCCGGGGTGATAGTGCATGCCTGTAATCCCAGCTACTTGGGAGGCTGAGGCAGGAAAATCGCTGGAACCCGGGAGGCAGAGGTTGCAGTGAACTGAGATTGCACTGTTGCACTCCAGCCTGGGCAACAGAGAGAGAATCTGTCTCGAAAAAAAAAAAAAAAGAAATAATCATGTTGATATTGGAAGCACTATCAGCCACAAAGGATAAAAGACAACAATCGAGTGGTTAAAAATTTAAAGGTAATCATCTATATGTGCATGGGTATGGGTGTATTACATATGTATGTATGTGTGTGTATATATGGCAGAAATGTAATTTACATTTATACATATATACATAAAAATATATTTATATACACACATTATAGTTTTATCAAAAATTTCAAATACACAGAGTAACTGAACTACAAAAGTTTTGTGATGATGTTGGTGGTGAATTTTTAAAAGTCAGAATTGCAGCATACATTTTTTCTCTTTGCTGCCCATTACCTTGTTCAAAACTTAGTTCAGGACCTCTAATGCCTAAGATTAGCCAATTTTAAAGACAAATGGGGGAGGGGAAACATTTTATAAATGTTTAAGCCTCTGAGGACCTGCTTTGTAAATCAACCTAAGTGCCCAAAATGATACTGAACTTTTTTATGAAGACCCCTAAATTTTTGTTGCATTTTGTTCAAAACCAGTTGGAAATCTCCTTACCTAATAGTTACCTTTACGTTTTTAACAGACATTTATTCTGACGGTGCATAAGTTTTAAATGTCCTTCAATTATTTTCTTTTTATCACAGTGAAATAGTCACTATTGTTTCCTTTGATATTTTCACCTTGAATTTTTTTAATGTTATGTTCACTTACTTTTGGTTGGCATTTGTCTAGAACACCTTTTGCCACCTCCTCTATTTTCAATTTTCTAGTGTCATTTTACTTAGCTTAGTCATTTAAACATAAGATCAAAAAATTAAATAAAGTCACAGGGCCTCTGACTTTTAAAAAATAAGTTTAATCTGTTACATTTGTTTCAATTGCTATTAAGTCAGGACTTACTTCTACTTTCACACATTCTGCTTGCCTCACTTTAAAATCGCTTCCTTTCTCTGCTTTCTTGCTTTTTGATGAACTTGCTAAATTTTCTTGTTACTTTTTCTTTTTTACTCATTCTTTTTGCCTACTACTTCTTTTCTTATTTTTTATTTTTATTTCAATAGTTTTGGGGGTACAGGTAGTTTTGGTTACATGGATAAATTCTTTAGTGGGGATTTCTGAGATTTTAGTGTAGCCGTCACCCAAGCAGTGTATACTGTACCCAATACATAGTCTTTATTTCAAAATGCGGAATACCATACTTTGTGTGGCTGTGATAATGAATTCTTTGTCCATACAATTCATCCTATATGTTTCTGTTCCATAGGTTTCTTAATTTAGTAAAAACTTTGTTTATACAATAACATCATGTTTCATCAAAATTGTATGTATATTATCACTCCAAAAATAAGCTTATTGCTAGTACTAAACTTTTAACTCAGTTTTCAATAGCACCCACAATAATGTCAATGTTTAATCTTCTACAGAATGAACTTCCAAAACCTTTGAGTTTATGAATTAGATGAAAATATTGAGCTATTATTGACATTAGTTTAACAATCATTCTTTACTTCCTTTATAAAGAGTATTCACCATAACATTATAAGGAACATCTGTCTTCATTGTTAAACTTTAAATAAGGAACAAAATAAGACAGCCTTCTATTACTGTCATTACCCAACATTTTCCTGGAAGTCCTGTTTAGGGCAATAAGATAAGAAAAAGAAACATATACTAGGTGAATTAGAAAGAAACAAATACAATAACACTTGTTTGTAGTTAATACAGTTTTCTACCTATATAATCTAAAAAAAAATCTACCAACATGATTTTAACTAACAAACTTTTACACGATTGCTGGATATAACATCAACGAATAAAAACTAACATTCCTATACATTAGCAACATTCTATTAGAAATAAAAAAATTAAATCATTCACAAGAGTAATAAAATTACAAGATACAGAAGAAAAATTATAACAAAGATGCGCAAGTCATAAGTGGAAAAAATCTCCAAAACTATAATAGGGTATAAAATATATCCCAAATAAGTGGAGAAATATTGGTAAGATTCAACATTGTGAAAATGTTAATTTTCCCCAAAAGTAGTCAATAAATCCACTGCATTTCCAAACAAAACCTGAAGATTTTGACAAGTTAGTTCTAATTCATATGAAATTATAATGGCTAAGATTAGCCAGTTTTAAAGACAAATGGAGGGGAAGATTGGCACTATCAGTTATCAAAAAGTTTTATAAAAATATAGTCATTAATCATTGCCAATGGGATAGAAAAGACAGCCTAAAAACAGACCACATATATATGGGAATTTGGTATACAAACAGAAGTGACATTACAAATCAGTGGGCAAAAGTTGTACTGTTAGTATTCACTCAGTGGAGTTGGGAAGTGACGGAAAAACATATAGGTATAGTCATACCTCACATACTAGATGCAAAGAAACACCATATGGATTAGGGACCTAAACATGATAATCATAACTTATGCTAGAAAATAAATTTTTATGCAATATTTTTATGATCTTACTAAAAAAACCCCAAATGATCAATCACCAAACTGCCACATCTTCATCAGAGTCTTGGATTTTATTCATATCCTGTCTCTGTCTCGATTCCCTATTTAAAAATGTGGGATCTGACTGCCTAAGAGACAAAAAACTTGGTTCAGGACTTAATGTAACCAACTTATTTTTCCTAACTCAGCTTCTAAAGACCAGGACACATTAAGAAGTCTCAAATACTGAGAGGTTTTGTAGATAGGGAATGCCACTCTTCCACAAGCTAGGCAACAGTCCCATTGCCTCATGCAAGCAAGTATGTAATAATAGTCTTCAAAGACAAGGGAGACCTATAAAGCGAATGGTAACCAGGTGTTCTCCATCTCCAGTAAAGGAGATAGACAAGGAAATAAAATTAGCGTAGTAGCAGGGAGTGTTTAGGAGAAGATCCAAAGAAAAAAGTATCCCCTGCTTGGGAAGGTTTGAAGTACTGTAATGTAAAGGAAGACAGGCAAGAGATCTCCTTTCCTCAAATGCTTTGAAAATCAAATCAGCTATTCAGCTTGGGGAGAGTGAAGTGTTGGCTTAAAGGGGAAAGCTTCAGTTCACTGACAAATCCAACCCAAACCAGAATCACTGGTCTGGAAGTCATACACCCATAGAGAACCTTGCTTTTCTGGAAGAAGCTCCAACACTCTCTCTTTGAGAGAACATGAGAGAAAGATCAGGTGCAACGTGCTCTGCCCCTGGAGGTGGCCTGCACAGCCCCTGCACCAAGCTTGGGAGAAGCTTGACCTTTGTAATGAGGTGCTGCTGCCACACACCCATACACCACATCATGCTGCCCCAGCATATGGGCCATGAATCATTCACAAAGCTTCTGAATCAATTATTCATCCAAACCAAAGACCAAACACTTTGCTAATTGTCCAGGAAGAGTGGGGAGAGGGGAAAAGAGACTGATTGAAAAGAAATCTGTGTCATGCAAACAACTGACTGTATTAACACATCATTTATTTTAAACAAAAAACAACAAACACTCAAACAGAAAATAGAGTCCTCCAACTTAATTGGCTAAATGATGTGGGCTGCCTCTGAAACAGGAAGGGAGAAACACACCAGCCTCCTCAGAGTCCTGATCAAAGGACCCCACTCCATGTCACCCAGTTTTCTTTTCTTTTCTTTTCTTTTTTTTGAGATGAAGTTTCACTCTGTTGCCCAGGCTGGAGTGCAACGGTGCAATGGCGGCTCACTGCAACCTCTGTCTCACAGGTTCAAGTGATTCTACTGCCTCAGCCTCCTGAGTAGCTGGGATTACAGGTACGTGCCATCACACCGGGGTAATTTTTTGTATTTTTGGTAGAGACGGGGTTTCACCATGTTGGCCAGGCTGGTCTCAAACTCCTGACCTCAGGTGATGGACCCGCCTTGGCCTCCCAAAGTGCTGGGATTGCAGGCGTGAGCCACCATGCCTGGCAATTTTTCTACCTTCAGCCTCAGTCCCACAGCTGGACTATGAGCTTAGAACCCACACTCTTACTGCTCCTGGGCCTAAGGTTTGGTTATAGCTTAGATTTTTACACCTGCTACCTGGGCTCAGGAGCAGTAAACACACCCTGGGCAAAGTATGAGTGAACATGGACGATAAGGCGTAAGCTGGGCTCATGATTTCCATACCTCCCGCCCTGCCCAGCTCCATGGACAGGTTTGCACAGAACCCTGCTTTTCACCTCTCACTCATCTTGCATTTGTTGGGCATCTATTGTGGGTCTAAGAATATATACACAAGTCACCCTAGAGAACAGGGAAAGGAGAACATGACCCCCGCCCTCAATCTCAGTGAAGAAACAAGAGGGCCACGAGAATAACACAGAGGGGACACAAATGCCTGCTGATGGAGGGAAAATGCAGATAAGTGCTAAGTGGGCACAGAGGAAGGGGGCTATCCCCCTAGGAAGCCAGGTCTTAGACTGGTTCCCACACAACAGAACATCATGGCATGGATTGGTAAAAGGCAGAAAAGATACAAACAGAAAAGACAGGGGAATCCCATTCTGGAGCAATTTATCCAAATAAGTTATGGTTTCTCCAAAGGAAGGAAAAGGCTTTTAAATTCTTTCAACAAAATCATTCATAAAGCAAGCAAGCTGCAAAGGAAACACCACTGCCACACAGTTCACATTCAAGAGTTCTCCTTAGGAGAATATATGGTATAGAGGATGAATATGAAATATAGATGTAGATGTACTTTGATGTAATCTCAGGCAGGAATAAATACAACCCATAGGCAGGCATGCATACAAGCAGATCATAAACCATAAGCCTGTGCCTTCCTTCTTCAAAAGCTGCAAAATTTCTGACTATTCTTATTTCTTATTCTTTCTCTTCTCTTCCATTTTACCTCTCCAGCCCAGCAGCTCCTGGGAACACCATCAAATTTTAATGGGCTCTCTTCTCTGCAGCACCCATAGCCTGAATATAGATAACTGCATATGGTGCCCCTCATGACTCATGCTACTGGCCAGCAGAAGGGATGGGAGGAAGGTAGACAGGTAAAGGTACCAGCAACAATAAAGTTACCAGACATTTTCACATATGCCATTCCATTTAGTCTCTTCGATGGTTCTGTAAGCTAGTATTGCTATCTCATTTTAAATTAAGATTCAAGAAGATAAAACAACTAGTGCTGCAGTCATACCACCAATAAGGACCACTACCAGGATTCTACTAATTTGGGTCTAGGTGGGCTTTCCACTACAACACACCATTTTTCACTGGAATCAACTGAGTTTCACAGTCAAACTGTCAGCTACACATAAGTATTAAAAATCTGCTATATTCTCAGCATCAAATTTAGTGCTGTATGTATATGGATGCTTATAAGCCTGCAAAAAAGTTATATTAGTTCATTTTCATGCTGCTGATAAAGACATACCTGAAACTGGAAACAAAAAGAGGTTTAATTAGACTTACAGTTCCACATGGCTGGGGAGGCCTCAGAATCATGATGGGAGGTGAAAGGCACTTCTTAACATGGCGGCGGCAAGAGAAAAATAAGGAAGAAGCAAAAGTGGAAACCCCGATAAACCCATCAGATCTTGTGAGATTTATTCACTATCATGAGAATACCACAGCAAAGACTAGCCCTCGTGATTCAGTTACCTCCCCCTGGGTCCCTCCCACAACATGTGGGAATTATGGGAGATACAACTGAAGTTGAGATTTGGGTGGGGACACAGCCAAACCATATCATTCCACCCCTGGCCCCTCCAAATCTCATGTCCTCACATTTCAAAACTAATGATGCCTTCCCAACAGTCCCCCAAAGTCTTAGTTCATTTCAGCATTAACCCAAAAGTCCACAGTCCAAAGTCTTATCTGAGGCAAGGCAAGTCCCTTCCACCTATGAGCCTGTAAAATCAAAATCAAGCTAGTTACTTCCCAGATACAATGGAGGTACAGGTATTGGGGGAATACAGCCATTCCAAATGGGAAAAATTGGCCAAAACAAAGGTGTTGCAGGGCCCATGCAAATCCGAAATCCAGTGGGGCAGTCAAATTTTAAAGCTCCAAAATGATCTCCTTTGACTCCAGATCTCACATCCAGGACATGCCAATGCCAAAGGTAGGTTCCCATGGTCTTGGGCAGCCCCACCCCTGTGGCTTTGTGAAGTACAGCCTTCCTCCTGGCTGCTTTCATGGGCTGGTGTTGAGTGTCTGCGGCTTTTCCAGGTGCACAGTGCAAGCTGCCAATGGATCTACCATTCTGGGGTCTGGAGGACAGTGGCCCTCTTCTCAAAATTCCACTAGGCAGTGCCCCCGTAGGGACTCCATGTGGGGGCTCCAACCCCACATTTCCCTTCCACACTGCCCTAGCAGAGGTTCTCCATGAGGGCCCTGCCCCTGCAGCAAACTTCTGCCTGGGAATCCAGGCATTTCCATACAACTTCTGAAATCTAGGTGGAGGTTCCCAAACCTCAATTCTTGACTTCTGTGCACCTCAGACTCAACACCATGTGGAAGCTGCCAAGACTTGGGGCTTCCACCCTCTGAAGCCACAGCCTGAGCTGTACATTGGCTCCTTTCAGCCACAGCTGGAACAGCTGGGACACAGGGCACCAAGTCCCTAAACTGCATACAGCACAGGGACCCTGGGCCCAGCCCACAAAACCACTTTTTCCTCCTGGGCCTCTGGGCCTGTGATGGGAGGGGCTGCCATGAAGGTCTCTGACATGGCCTGGAGATATTTTCCCCATCGTCTTGGGGATTAACATTAGGCTCCTTGCTACTTATGCAAATTTCTGCAGCCAGCATGAATTTCTCCTCAAAAAATGGGTTTTTCTTCTCTACTGCATTGTCAGGTTGCCAATTTTCTGAACTTTTATGCTCTGTTTCCCTTTTAAAATAGAATGCTTTTAACAGCACCCAACTCACCTTTTGAATGCTTTGCTGCTAAGAAATTTCCTCCACCAGACACCCTAAATCATCTCTCTCAAGTTCAAAGTTCCACAAATCTCTAGGGCAGGGGCAATAGGCCACCAGTCTCTTTGCAAAAACATAACAAGAGCCACCTCTGCTCCAGTTCCCAACAAGTTCCTCATCTCCACCTGAGACAACCACAGCCTGGACCTTATTGTTCCTATCACTATCAGCATTTTTGTCAAAGCCATTCAACAAGTCTCTAAGAGATTCCAAACTTTCTCACATTTTCCTTTCTTCTTCTGAGCCCTCCAAACTGTTCCAACCTCTGCCTGTTATCCAGTTCCAAAGTCACTTCCACATTTTCAGGTATCTTTTCAGCAACACCCCTCTCCTGGTACCAATTTACTGCATTAGTTTGTTTTCATGCTGCTGATAAAAACATACCTGAAACTGGGAACAAAAAGAGGTTTAATGAGACTTCCAGTTCCACTTGGCTGGGGAGGCCTCAGAATAATGGCAGGAGGTGAAACATACTTCTTACATGGCAGCAGGAAGAGAAAAATGAGGAAGAAGCAAAAGTGGAAACCCCTGATAAACCCAGCAGATCTCATGAGACTTATTCACTATCATGAGAATAGCATGGGAAAGTCCAGCCCCCATGATTCAATTACTGCCCCCCCCACCCCGGGCCCCTCCCACAACATGTGGGAATTGTGGGAGATACAACAAGTTGAGATTTGGGTAGGGACACAACCAAACCATATCAGAAGTGGAAAGATGGGGAGTAAAATGAAACAGATAAAAAATGGTCTTCACCACAAGAGTTTGATAATCCAGTAGATAATTATAAAAAACTGGTTTAAAAGATGCTGATCAATACAGAAAGAAGTAAGAAGAAAAATGAAGAAACAGTAATAAAGTCTAATAAATAGCAAATAAAATAAAGGAAAAGAATAAAAACAAACCATTTATTACAATAAATATTAAGGTGTTATATTCTCTCAAAAGAGGAAGACTCAGATAAGTAATTGGAAAGCAACAAAAACAACATAGAACTATCATGAGATTTTGATTATATAAGTAGGAAGGCATGGGAAGTAAGTAATGAACTAGAAGGGAAATAAAGAGGATCTATTTACTGAAGGTACATTTAAAACCAGAACTGGAATGAGAATTCAAAAAAGAATACAGAGAGAAAAAGAAGACCATATATATCAGCCAGCATTTTGTTCACAGCCAGCTGATACTGTGCCTTAAAGATATAGCCCTACTTTAATATTATCAAGTGAGTGTAGCTATTCAATTATATTTTGAAACCTGTATCAAGATAAATTAAGCTATAAATACAGATCAAAGATGAAGTGATTCCAGGACTCTAAAGCCCACTGTAATAGACTGAATGTTTGTGTATCCCCAAAATCCATATGTTGAAACCTAATCCCCAATGTGATATTTGGAGGTTCAGCCTTTAGAAGGTATTAGGTCATGAGGACTCTGCTCTTATATGGGATTAGTGTCCTTACAAAAGAGACACCAGAGAGCTCCCTCACCCCTTCTACCATGTGAGGACACAGACAGCTGTCCAGCAGCCAGGAAAGGGGCCTTTGCCAGGCACTGAATCTGCTTTGATCATGGACTTCCCAGTCTCCAGAATGTTGAGAAATAAATTTCTGTTGTTTATAAGCCACCTGGTCTATGATACTTTTGATATAGCTGTCCAAATGGACTAAGAAATTAACTCAAGATTTAGTATGTTCTAGAAGCTAGCATAATCCAGCACAAGTAGCAACAGATTGAAAATACAAGGACAACAACTTCATCCCAGCTAGGGCAAGTTTTTTGTGGGGGCTAGAGTAACCCAGAGAATATATTTGTTCATTATATGCTTCCCTTTCCTCATCAATAAACTATAAAATAGTAGCAGGTACTATTGTTGAAAATCTACTATGTGCAGAGCACTGTTTCAAATGCTCAACATATATCATACCAGTTTAGTCTCATAAAATACTCAGAAATACCCTAAATCCTTCATTTCCCAGTAAGGAAATTGAGGATGAGAGGTTAAATAACTTGCTCAGTGTCACAAAGCCAGAAGCAGACTTCAAATACAGAACTATGTCATGCCAGAGCCTTTGTTCCTTGCATCTTGCCAGGCTGTCCTGTGTTATAACTCTAACCTATTGTTAACAGGCTAAATGGACAATATTTCTAAATTGATTTCAAGATCAAAATGATATAGAAAAACCAATAATCTATTGTTCTCTTAATTCCCTTCAATAGAAGCCATTTTTCCAGTAACTAAAACCAAGTAGTGAGTTTTATATTCCCTTGGATGGATTTTGACATCCAGACCAACAGATACACCCTTTCACTTTTGTTAATTAAGATGCATCAGGAGTAAAAAAAAAAAAAAAAATTCAGACCATGCAGCCACTAGATACATAAATTAGGAAGGCAGTGTAGCATCACGGTCAGAAACCTAAGCTCTGGAGTCAGGCTTCCTCATTGGAATCCTGACCCCACCAACTAACTATTAGCAGCATGATATGGGGGAATTACTGAACCACCTAAGCCCTGGTTTCCTCATCTAGTAGTGATTATAATAGTACCTACCTCACAGGGATGTTGCCAAGAATTTTTTAAAAATCCTTTGAAATGTTTAATGCAGTGATTAGCACTGAACACCAGCTATTAATTAGGTCCACAGTCCTGAATAACTAGGTAATCTCTGCTCTCCTTTCCATTCTTCCCCTCCCTGCCTCCTGACCTAGCATCCCTGCAACAAAGGCCAATTTCTGAATTAAGGAGCCCTTTTCCAGAATTGTGCACTGGAAATATCAAGGAGGCTGAAAAATTTGGGCAACTGCTTTCTGAAACTCCTTTCCTTAGGGCTATAAACCTGAGACCAAACTGGCCTTTTTCCATGGAAAAGGATAGCTCCCCTAGATCCAATTACCCCACATAGAAGCCATGTCATAAACTGCAACAAGCAGCAACATAATTAACATCCTCAAGGACCACTCCAATCTATGGCCACAATAATAAATCCTTCTCCAAAGACTCGTGACAACCATTTATTTACTACTGACTCTATTTGTTGTAGTTGCACACAGTTCATAACTAAAATTCTGACTTCTCAACCTTCTTTGTGCAGGCTAAGGATAGAAAAGAAATTAGTAAATGGAAAGGTTGGTTTTCCCTCTGAAACTGGCTCCTGATCCTCTGTTTTACTAGACTACAGAGTTTAGAGTTTGACAAATGTTAACCAGTAGTGATATCCAGGCCAACATGGACATTTTATAAATAGCCTCAGCTGGCTGACTACCCCTAGGCTTTGCTATCTTGAAGAGGACAAAAATAAGCATGACAACAAAAATAAAAAAAATATGAAATACACTAATTGTTTCTCATGCTTATCTTCAAAGCTTGATCAAGAGAGGTGGCAACAACAGTTCAATGGCTAGTTACACCAGCATGTAGTGTGTCAACAGCTGCTGCATTAGGGCAAAGTGAAACCACATTCCCAGTGATCTTCCATCTCTTCCCTATTTAACTCTACTGCTGTCCCTCCTACTGCTCACCGCTAGGCCTTACACATGGGACCCATTCAATGAAAGGAGGATAGATGGACAGATAGAAAGCTGATTGCACAGAGTAGAGCACATTTATTCCCAGTTTTTTCTTCTGATCAAATGTTGTCAAGCTCAAATGAAAATCATCTACCTATATATACTATCTACACATCAGACTTAAAGTTCCTTGGGGGCAGGTATCTTATTATTTATCTTTCTAGCCTCAATACTTAGCAAAATGTTTTGTACACACATAGCAAATATTTCTTGACTCAATGGATGTTACTAATAATTAGAAGAAAACATTTATTATATATCTCCTATGCATCTGACAATTTATACTCACATAGATAATGAAGAGATCATTACTGTCCTCCAAAATTGATGCTCTCCTTCCCACAGGGCAAGGTTGTTGCTAGAAGGCAGCTGCCCAATTAGGGATTAGATCTCCCAGTCTCACCTGCAACTAGGCTGAGCCACATGGCTGTTCCTTGTCAATGGGATGTGACTAGAAGTAATGTGTATCAGTTCTATACCAATACATTTAAGGAGTATGCCTTATTCTTACTCTCTCTTTCCACTTCTCTTGAAGGGACATAAACCACGAGATCATAGAGGACAGCAGAGCTACCAGATAGAAGGAGCCTGGGTCTCTACCTCACCAAGTGGAGGGAAGCCAGGAGCACTGTTCAGGACACACTGGCCTGTTCAAGGAGCAAGAGAGAACCTACTATGTTAACCCATTGAAATTTGGGGGGTTATTTGTTAGAGCATCTAGCCCTGCTTAATCTAGTACATAAATCTTGCAAGAGAGGTATTTTAGATTTTAAAAATGAGACTCCTATAGCCTGGACCAGCCAACCTGGAACAAGCTCTGTACGGGTCACATTGTTCCCAGCTGCCTTAGGACCACACATACATTCTATTCCAATTAGATTGCTCTTTTTTAAAAAAGGAAACATACCATTTATTTATAATTATTTCACTTTATCCACAATTTCCCATACAAACATAAAATATAAAAAAATAAAACCACCACTTGGGAATGTGAGTGTCTCTTTCATAGTCTGGTTGAGGGATGAGCATAAGCCCTCTCACTTTATGAAAAGGAAAAGAGTTAGGAATAATGCCTGAGAAATGGCTCTGCATGAGCAACCTAACTCATACTAGTGTGGGGTGGTGGGGCCTCACTGGCAAAGAGACTTGGGGTGTCACCTGCTGGGGACAGCATGGCTTCCCAAAAGGATGACAGCTGCTTGCTCCCAACTCCCAGACCTCCACTACCAAATACCAAAAATCAAACACGGGCCATATATCTCGTGAACTCCAATTAGACTGTTCTGTTCACGAGTGAAGCATTGTATCTAACTTCTACTTCTACTTTCCCCATCACCTCTACACAAGACTGAAGACCAGCTTGACTAAAATCAGGCTTTAGCCACAGGCAAAATGGGGCATACATTGCAGTTCTGGGCCTCATCTCCTTCTTTCATATCAATGGGTTAGTTACACTGAACTAGCAATTCTCATTCTTTCAAGTGTGAGGCTCTCTTTTTAATGTCACAAATTCAAGACCAACCCCATCCCTTGGAGGAGTTATTTCAATTACTATAGCCCCTTAACAACATGGTTAAATAATTGTTATTACCCAGAGCCATTCCTTTTTCTATGCAGATGGAGACATTGAGACTTAACAGAAGCTGGGTCACTTGCCCACAACCACAGTACTAGAAAACAGTAGAGCAAAGATATGAATTCAGGTTTGCTTGTCTATGAAGCCCAAATTCTTAATCACTATGCTATATTGAATAAATTAAAAAAGAAAACAATACTACTCATTCAACAATACTTTTAGATGTATTTATATTTTATAAATCACAACAGCATCCACACACTACAAAATATACTATGTTACATATTTGAGGGAAACTTTATTCAGGAAACAGCCAGTGCTTGTAGGTGACTTCTTGTTGCTTAGAGTTCAGACCAGTCACAGCTGGGGGGAGTGGAAATCATTGGAAGTTCCTCCTCCTTTATTTGCAGTACTAGCTAGTCAAACTTTGACCTGATCAGATTCCCAGTAGGGAGATCCCACCCCAAACTTGAATTTGCTTATTGGAGAAGAAGGACTGGAGGTCAGAGTCTAATAGACAAAGTTCTAAGAAGGTCTTGGTCAGAATGAGTCTCTCATACACACCACAACCACAACACCACGTACTACCCTCTGTGGCATCTACCTCAAACTCCCCAAGTCTTGTATTTCAGAACAGAATGTAAAATGAAAACAGGGAAGGATTAGGGAGACTAAGAAAAGGACAACAGAAGAGCAGGGAGGAAGAAGCTAACACGTTAAAGAGCTGGCTGCACTCATCTGAAGAGGGGATGTGGGATGGAAGTGGGCAGGAGAAAAGACCGGGGTGAGCATTTACTCCCTTCCCGTCTCTATCACCAGAGTCCATATGTGAAGGATCCATCTGGGTGACCTGTCTCCAGAACAGAGAATACGACACTTACTTGGAAAGGGAACTGGGATTCTCTATTTCCCTCTTCCAAATGAGTGGGTAGAATGTAACTCACAGAGCACTTTGAGCTCCCCACTGGAAGGATGTAAGGGCCCCTAAATCACAAAATGTTATATTTACAGTGGTTATTAACCAGAGTTCAGTTAGGATCCAGATTCAGCATCATGATGTGTCATGGGCTTTGGGAACAGGGAAAAGAGAAACATCCCATAAACAAGCATGTGGGTTGGCTTGATCTTTTGACCATTGTTCTATCAGAAAAATAAAAATCATAATAATCATATAGCAATGTTCTCAGCAAAGCATTTTTAAAATAATTTCTGTGCTGAATATAAAAAATAAAAGCCCACACACTCATCAATTCTTACCCATTATTTGAATCAGTAGGAGATGCTCAGAGTATAATCTCAGAGGGCCAGGGACTATGTCTCTACTCTGGGCAGGTTAACAAATCTTTAACATGTGCTCAGCTAGATTATAAGGTCTGTAGACTGGGTTTTGGTACAGCTCCAATAGGTTAAACAAAATTATAGTTGAGGGCTGATGTTGGAAGGAGGGGGCAAGAAGGAAGAAAGGGACACTGAGGACTTTAATCCTATTTCCCTAATTCTGAGGAGACATGGAGTCATTTGGGCAACTTGTTCTATCTTCTTCTCTGCAAACATCGTGCCTCTCCTGCAAATCTGTTCACTTTCCTGTTTCAAACCATTCAATGGCCTCCCACTGAACATGCCTGGACATGCCAACGAGGCCCTGAATGATGTGAATGATGTGGTCCCTGCCTACTTTCCAACCCCTCTTAGATTACAATCACTGTGGTCCCCTCCAGCCTTCTTTTTGTTTCTCACACCTGCCATGGCCTCCCCCACCTCTAGCCCTGCACAACTGTCCTACCCTCTGCCTGGAACTCTCCTCATCCTGTCCCCTTCCCTCTTCTCGTCTCATCCTAGCTAAGTATAACTCAGTCTTCAGGTCTCAAGTTAGGTTAGGGTCCCAGTGAAAAGTTATCCTAGCACCCTAAGTCTTCTCCTATGCAGCATGTTATACACTATTAAATTAAAGTAAATATCTGTCTTCTCTGCTGGACAGCAAGGTATGAATAGAGGCTATATCTCCATCCAGTGCTGCGTCCCTAGCAGTCAGCACAATGTTTGAACACAGGATGTGCTCAACTAATACCGGCTGCCTCTATACTTCCTTCCCTCCTGTCTTCTCCTGACTCTGTCCATTTTCCCCCACACCATAGTTCAGAGCTCATATATGGGTATTAGGGATGCTTAGCCCTGAGTGGGCTTCTTTCTGGTTTTCTCTCCCTCACCCAGAGTTTTGACTAAGATTCAACAGCAAAGATACCCCAAACCAGGTCAGTTTCAGTTCCATTTCAGATTGAGCTCTCCCATGGCTAGTCATGCCAACCTGGACTAGGTAAGGACTCTCCAAGGCCAGCTGGGCCCCAGAGGGCTGGTGGAGAGGAGGTGAGATGCAGGGACCCCCACAGTGATGTAAATTGTTTCCAATGCATCTGACATGTGAAGCAGCCACCCTTGTCACTCTGCCTCCTAGTCACTGTTCCAGTGCTGGAGGCCAGGGAGAAAAGCCATGGCCCTGATCCCCCTTCCTAAATGTTCTGTCACCAAGGTCCAGGCAACTGACAGAAGAGTGGCAGTCAAGAAGGAAGGAAATGAAAGACAAGAGGGAAGAAGTCAGACCTCAGGCTTCTTTTCAGCCCCTCCTTTGTGCAAGGGCTCTGCCTGGACATTCTTCCTGGAGGAGAGAGGGCATTGTCAGCCTTCCTGGGTCACATCCAGATGTGGGCGGACAGGGGCTGACCCCTCTGGCCTGTGTATGTTTTGTGAGAAGTGGGGAGGATAGAAGACAAAGAAAGGGAAGACCAAAAAAATGGAAATCTAGAAAATGTAACATTTTCCTTGTTAGAAAAATTTAAAATAAAGGCCTTTGTTTCAACTTTTACTCTTGGAACTTCTTTGTTGTTCTTATGGGTAATGACTGTAGCAGGATTTGACTAATTTTGATAAAATTAGATATGCTGCTGATAGGAAATAAGATACATCCTATGTGCGATATGTAGTAAACTTCTCTCTTGAGGCAAAATTATAACTAATGGAAAATTTTAAATTTACCATAGTTTTAAAATTTGCAATAGGTTTCAGTGAAATTTGTTTCTGTGGTTGCAAGTTTTATAGAGATAAATGACCATTCTTAATGAGGTCTACAGAACCATAGTATTTTGAGTACTTTCAATTTTTATATGCTGGTTTTTTTCAAGGCACTCATGGTGCTTTATGTGTATTTTAACATTTATCTTTATAATATCACTGTCCTGGAGGGAAGGTATTATTGTTCACTGATTTGGTATTTTGCTTTATTGTTTTGCAAAACACTTTGGCAGTGGAGGCTGTGCTGTACACTAGATATAGCAAGGGCTTTAGAATTGTTGATAATAGAATTAAAGGGCCAATCTCTCCCCTTAGTAACTATTTGACCTTGAGCAAGTGACTTTGCCTCTTTAAGTTTTGGTTTCCTCATCCGTAAAATGGAGATAATATCACTATTGCCTTACATTTCTATATTTAAAATAATATGTGCAAGTGCCAATATAGAATATGAAGCCTTCTGCATTTAAAATAAGACATGAGCTCCTGGTTAAATGGGAGCTGTCATTATCAACATCATCACTATCCTCTTTGCTTGTCATGAAACCTGGTGGAGGTAGCTACAGCAGGTTTTACCTTCACTTCATAAATGAAGTTTCATAAAGGAAAGCCAAGCTGAGATGGGTTACATCATCACCAGTATGACAGAGAGAATGTATGTCAGGATCAGGACCAGAACCCAGAGCCGCCAGGTCATTCAGTCCATGAGATTAAACTCTGTTTCCATGTAAGTTGCACATGTATATTCCAGCCAAATAACAGAAAATCTTATTTCTTAATACCTCCAGCTTCATGGCCTAAATACAACCAAGAAGCAGCAGATTCTCATCGCCAGGGGTAGTAAGGCATCGCTGCAACAGAGTCCTAGATTTGGAATTACACAGGATCCAAGCCCCAGCTCACCACACCCCATCTAAAAGACCCTGGACAAGTTACTTAGCAACATGCACTTTAGTCTTCTCTTCTGTGAAAAAAATAATAAGTAAGGGAAAGTTAGGCAAATTTATTATTCTCCTAGATCTAAAATTCAGTGATTGAGCTTTAGTAACCTTAGCCTTACCTTGTCTTCATACGTTCTTTCTTAAACCAGCATGCCCTCATTTTCCTCTCAACATCGGCTCTGCCCCACCTTGCCCCTTCCCTTTGGTAACCACTCTGCACTCATTATATCTGCTATTTCCTGACTTCAGTGACACATACATTAAATAGTGCTGCTGCATTTTCACATTTCACACCAACACATTTATACTTAACTGTGGACTACATTTACAACATAGACACAAGTGCACAAATCTCTACCCAAAGGAGGAGACATATTTCAACCACAGAATGGAAATGTAAACAGTTCCTTTAATTCTCAATTCTTGTAAATCTATAGAGTTCGCATTTATGCCATATCCACCTCTGCTTTGAAAACATACCTGGGGATTTTCACCCCACCTCCCTCTTCCACATACACTCATGCACAAGCACAAGAATGCACGAGTTTAACTGCCTTCAAATGAGAGCTCCAGGCCCAGGAGAACGGTCTGACTTAGAAAGCACCTTGCCATAATTTCTTTCCCTGTATCACCCTGAGTGAATGCAATGCCAGGAGACAAATAAAGTCCCAAACCAAACCACCCAGGGATTTCGAAGCTTTCTTCACTCCCTCTGGCTTTTCCTCCTCTTTGGTGATATCAAAGCCAATTCAGGCCCCACTCAGTTCTGTCCATATGGAGCTTCTGTCAATGGGTGGGGGTGGCAAGAAGAAGCCTTTCAGGAAACAGAAACCATCCCAACACCAATGTCTTACATCTGGAACACAGTGTATATTCAATATATATCTGTTGAGTGAACCAATGGTGCATCTCAATATAGAAAAAAGACAGAGTGCATACATGAGAAAAAATTCCCTCCCACCCAAGGCACAATCCCAACTCAGCTGCCCATCAACTACTAACTGGCACTCTCACTAGGAGTCTCCCTGAAGTAACTGGATTTATCAGCAGCACAGAGCTAAGAAGAGACCTTTAAGCTTCACATTTTGTCTTTTGCCCACCTCTCCCTGGAATCGAAATCCTATATTCTAACCTTATCTTTTCCATCATTTGCCCATCTGGGGGGAAATGCAATTGGAACAGAAATAATGTTCTGATAAAAGGAGATGCTGCAAGTGGCAGCTGTGCTCCCCAGTGTGGAGCTAGAAATGCACAAAAAGCCAGGGAGGAGGTGGAGATCTGTCAGAGGAGCAGCCAGCAACGATGCTGAGAGGAAGAACTGAAAAGTGGTAAGGCTTACAGGCTTGCAGACCTCCCCAACATCAGCATTAATAATGCTGATGCCAGGTTTAGTGCCTAGCATTAAGGCACTAAATAAATATCTGTTCATCTAGCAGCTCAGCTAAGTATCTCTGAGTCCCTTGCCTTGCTCCACTCAGCCTCGGTTTCCCCATCTCCTAAATAACAAGTTCTCATGTCTCCTCCCTCTACCCATTCTGCCCTTGCTCCCCATCTGCATCCTTCACCTGCCCAGAACAGTAAGGACAAGTAAAAGACAGGTCTCTGAGGTCCCGCCAGGCTCACTGGCCTGGTGATGCTATATAAATACCCACTGATATCATACTATTACCACAGGGATTCAAATTGGGCTGGGGGCCTGAGGACTGCATTCACAACTCTTCCCCCACATTCTCAGCCTCAGAGAGACAGTGCTGAGGAAAACTCTGCTTTCCTCGATCTTTAGCTGCTCAGGAAACTCTTGTATTAGGGCAGCCTCTTTACAGAAAACCCTCTAAAAATACCTATCAATATATATTTAGCTCTAGATAGCATCCTCCTACCAACAGGCTTCAGGCTAAATCGTTCTGCATGTGCCACTGGCGAGAAGCTGGGGATGAGGACGGCAGCTCCCAGCTTTACTGCAGCACTCCCTGGCTCTCCTCTCCCCTGCTCCCTTTTCCTCTGCCTCCCCTCTTTCTGCTTGGCTCTGCACATTCTCCCAAACTGCAGCTAAGGATGTGGAGATGGCTCCAACTTTTTTCCATGGCTTTCCTCAGAGTTGATTCCAGGGTAAAAAAGAAAAAAGAGTTGTGCCACATCCAGAGCAGACTCAGAGTGAAACAGTGAAATAGTGAACCCCCTGCTCAAAGCCTTCCGTGGCTCCCCACTGCCCTCTGGTTAAAGTACAGACTACTCAGAATGGCCTAGACTGGCCCCTGCTGACCTCTGCAGGTCTCTCCCCATGCCACCTGCCAGGCTTCCAGAAGTGTCCTGTGGTCTGTCTGTGTGCCTCTCTCCATGTGCCACCCCCACAGGGCATTTGTACATAGCATTCTTTCTCCCAGAAGGGCTCTTCTCCTTCCCTGCCCAGCTAAGTTCCATCTGTCCATCCTTTCCACTTGTTTAAATGTGACTTCTTTCAAGAAGCTTTCCCCAGTGCCCCAGGGCCAGGCTGGACACCCTTTCACGTTCTCATGTTGCGTGGCTCCAGCCCCCACCACCATGGAAGACACTAGGCCCCATTCCACCCACACCAAACACAGTACCTGGCACACAGTGGGTATTCAGCAATAGCTCTTGAGGGGCCTCCTAGGCCCTGGGGTGATGACCTTGGCAGAGGAAGGAGGAAGAGCCAGGCACAGACACACCTGCCCCTCCCCAGAGTCTACACCATGTGCTCCGCAGTAAAGGGAAGAGCCAACGCAGGTCACCTCCCACGCAAGGCTGACAAAACTCAGGAAAGAGCATATTTTGAGCTGATTTGGGGGTTTTCTTAGGAAAATAGACAATATTACCAACACTCAAGACTAGCTCTGTAATGTCACCAATACTTTAACATACAATGGAAAACAAAGACTTCCTAGATGGAAAGGGATAACACACTTTTCTCCATTTGGCCTGAACCCAAAGAGACACAAGGGAAATAGGGAAAGGAGACTAAATTGCTCCAGCAGCACAGGAACAGCTGGTGCTGTCGCTGAGTCTGAGGCAGTGACATCACTTGGCCTAGGGAAGGTGCCCAGGTGCTAAAGGCAAACTGGCCTGGGTTCAAATTCTGACTTTACCTTATACCAACCATTTGGATTTGGACAAGTTAAATTGTCTGTGCCTTGGCTTCTTCATCTGTAAAATGGGACTGGGTAATAGTCAAGCCTAATGATTCTCAACTCCTGGTACATTTTTAGGATTAGAAATTGTGTGTGTGTGTGTGTGTGTGTGTGTGTGTGTGTGTGTGTGGTCTTTGGCACATGGTTCAATAAATGACCATTTTTATTATATGGTAAACGCTAGGTGATGTGATACCCCTGCTTTCTCCTTATCCACCCCTCCAACCCCCACCCCATCCACAGCCACTTCAATGAGGTTAGGTCTTCAATATGCAGTGCTGACTCTGCCCTTATCACCCAGGAAGCAATTCTCAGGAGATAACACTGACAACCTGGTAAATAACCACAGGTGACTGGAAGCCCAATATTGCTTAATGGCCTAGAAATTGAGCTCCCAGCTTTCATTTTCCTAATAGAATGACCAGAATATGAGCAGCCTGGCAGAGGTAGATAGAGATGAGAGAGACATAGACACTGCCTGGCTCAGCCAGGCCAAGGGGGAAGGCTGGGAACAGACAATCCCTCTTTACCCCAGCCCCAGCCTTCCCCCAGCACTCATTTTTGTATCCTATAGACAAGAGAATCTGGGGATAGGCAAGCAATTCAATTCAATCAGCATTTACTGAGTACCAACTATATGCCAGGCACTGGGCATATAGAGATGAGTGGGCATCTAAGACACAGTCCTCGCCTTCATTTCCCTGTTGTTACCCATGATTTAGGAGTACCCTTGACTCTCATCCTCCCATCTCATCTGTCCATCTGCTCCAGGTACTATATTTTTATAACTCACTCTTGACTAATGTGTAATAGTGACTTCAACTAATTTGGAATTCTCCAGGTGGCCTGACAAGTGTTTAAAAATTGCCTGAGTTGTTCCCAATGCAAGAGAGATCCCAAGTTCTGTAAGATAAGAATGTGTTAAAAGAATGGCAAATTCCACTGTCTTTTAGCAGGTGGGAAAATATAATAACGTCCACATTTCTCGGTCCCAGCATTGCCTTCTGCCTTCACCAACACAATACTAGTTTCACTGAATTAATGAATTGGTGAGTGAATGAGTGAACAAACAAGCCATTTAAGGAAGAAATCAGCTGGAACTCTGATCCACTCTCTACACATCAAACCATGCTATGCTGACAGTTAAAGTGACATGCCTTCTTTACCACAGAGCAGGGAGTCTCATCCCAAGCCCACAGAGAGAAGTCTCAGGATGGACACATTGGGCCCCTGTCCCCTTCAACTCACATGTGAAGCCCCACCTTTGAGAGTGAACATTTGCCTGATCATACCTCCCTGAGCTCATCCCACACTGCCTCACGGGGACTAAAGGAACCTGCAACCACAGAGCCTTAGAACCATGGGGCCCTTGGGGTTGTGAAGTAACTGCCAGTATGGGGAAAAGTCAGTGAAAGAAGGAACTTGGAGCCAGGAGATGTGGTCTCAAGTCCTGGATCTAGTGCCTGCTAGCAATTCATGTGCCCTCTCTGATCCTCGGTTTCTTCATCTGTAAAATGAGGCTAGCAAGGTCTTTTCTATGGCATTATGAGGACAAGATGAAGCAATGTACATAAATGCGCTTTCTAAACCATGCACACCCTCAACTTATAGGCCAAAGAACACTAAAGTTTAGGAGGTCAGAGGTCACAGGCAGAATGTGGTAGCCCAGGCCCCTCAACTAGTCATCTCTCAGCAAAGATCAATAAGAGCAGGTCTTACACTGAGCCAGCTGACTGACACCTCAGCACCCACTTCCCTCCTGTCAGCACCGAGAGCTGAGAAGTTGTGCAGCCTCAGCCCTGAGGCACTGTGTCATGCTCCAGCACCTGTCATTCCTCCTGTGCAGAGGGGAAAATGGGAGGTGACACCTGGAGATGAGGTGGGAAGGAAGAGCTGTCAGCAGGGACTGCTGTGGGTGCAGGTGTCAGGAAGACAAAGGGGGACACCAGGTGGCCTGGTAAGGAGGCTGCACAGGGCAGGGGTCAAAACACCAGCCCTGGATCAAAAGGCACAATTCTGACTCCTGCATCTGCCATTAAGAGGCAGGTGTGATCTTGGGTGAATAACTTACCCTCTTTGAGTACCAGATGACTCATCTCTAAAGTCCACTTTGCCTGCCTCCCTGGTTGGTATCACATGTCATTGAATCTACAACCCCAACAATTGTAAGATGCCCCGTAATTTTATGTAGCACTAAGAAAGAAAAACATGCTGTCAATTAAACTATATCATGCCATTATTGTAAGACACAGGCTGATTTCAGCAATGTTCCAGCATGAAAAACGTGCATCTTAGAGCCACACAATGTGGTAGATGAGAGCATCATGTGACTGTAAGACTAAATATGATCATGCATTCCTGTGGGATAGAACCGCAACCCTCAGCCCCTCAGCAGGGATCTCAAGAGGACCAAGCTCTTTGCCTGGAGCACATTCACCCATGAATTGAGGAGAAAGGGAACGGTCCATGCTGAGAAGAGGGCTAAGCAGCAGGTCTGGAGGAGGAGCAGGAGCAAAGTCCTGTGAGTTCATATGGAAATCAGGGGCCTGTGAAGGCAATTCACAAAGCCAGGGACATCTGAAGAGCCACTAAGAAGGGAAGATGTGAGGGATGGGAAAGAGAGCACAGAGAGGACAACTGACTCAGCCAAGCTCAGCACCTGCACTGACTCTTGAACACCCCCTGGACATGCAGGCAAGGACCCAGGGGCCCTTCTTGGCTTCGCTGACAAAAGAACCCTATGGGTCCCTATGAATCTGCTTCTTCAACAACCATGTAGCAACCCTTATTTGCAGAGAGATTAACATCTACTGGAAGTCTTCTCTCATGCAGTCAAACAGACCAGTTTCTCTACCTCCTCTCAGCCATTAGTTCCCAGACCCCACACCAGAACAGCCGTATACTCCTCCAGAAGTACTTCTTCAACCTTGTAAAATGTCTCATAAAATGTGATATCCAAAAGACGTACGTTGGAGCATCTTTAATAATTATTTATCAGAGCCAAAAAACAGAAAGAATCCAAGTGTCAAGTAACTGCAAAAATGAGAAGCAAGATGTGTACATCTACTTAACAAACTGCTGATCAGTCATTACAGATTTTTACCAAAATATGCAATAACATGTAATATGCTCATACTATATTGGGAAGAAAGCAGCAAAATTACAAGCATTTAAAAGACAGCTTGCTTAGCATCGAAGGCCTGGAAGGAAATACCACAAAACAATCAGGAATTTTTCTGAATCAGTGAATTTTTTTTTCTTCTTTTGACTTTTCTGTATTTTCCATATTTCTTTAATGAACATATAATCATTTAAAACAAAAATAAATGGACTAGACAAGAAATTTCAAATGGATTCTGCCACATATAGAGCTGAGCAGGACCAAGAATTTACACAAACTTATTATATACACATTACAATACTTTTCTTTTTTTGTTGTTCTTCTGTAGTGACTTATACAACACTTTTCTTCTAGATAGAATCATAACATTTCTAAATGATTCAGATTCTCATACAGGCCTCTTCTAATACAGCACATATTATTTATTTTAGGGACATTTGCAACATTACCCAATATAGTTCTGTAATACTATGTAAAAACTATATCTTCATATACTAATTCATATTTAAAATGTAGTAGAATTTTCTTTTAGAAAACTAACCTCCAGAAAATCCTTTTGTAAGGCAACAGATATTTTTAAACATGAATAGTCATCCCAGTCTATTTATCCATTTCCCATATTGAGGGGCTGGCTGCTTACGTGCTTCCATTTACATATTCCAGTCCATTACATCTTCAGTGTTTTCTCTTTCATGTAATCCCAATGGTGTAAAGATTAAAAAATAAGAGTATTTTGTCTATTCCACATGACAACAAATAGATGCAATCATTCCCAAGCCCTTACCCTTCCTTCTAAGACTTTATCTACCTTCACCCCTCCTCTGACTCCTCCCTGGAAAACAATTCCTCTTTTCTCTCCTTTCCTGTTGGTCAATCACAGTAGTAGCTAATATTTCGCCTTCCCTGCCATTCTAAGTCACTCTCTTCTTTTCTTCATGGGTTTGAACCCTGTCTGCCAAGCAGTTGGGTAAGGGAATTTCCAGACCACATCACTTGCTGCCACATCCACACAGGACCACTCCTCAGTGCCCAGCTTTGCAGGTACCAAGAGCCACCTGACACAAAGACCAATAGGAAGCCACAAAAGCCCAGGAAGGCCTGCCCGTCACACCATTCCCAAGGCCAACACATTTGCTGCCAAGGGCACTGGGTCAACCCAGCTTCCTCATACTATATTCATTTCCAAAAGAATGATTTATCAAATATTTAACTAAATGTACTGCCATCATATATGCTGCTGTGACACTGGGTCAGCCCCAATGTCGTATGGCTATATTAATTTCCACAGAATGATTTATCCAACATTTTAATATGATTCGATTTTATACTATTAACAAATCTGCAAATGATAAAAACTTCTGTTGTCAGAACACAAGTCTCAATGATCAGTTCAGAAAATATGGCTGAGGTCTTCTCCAACGCCCAAAAGAAGCTGCATTTGACTACATCTTTTGGCCCGTCTTGGAGGTGCCTCCCAGGCGGGGGTAAGCTGCTTGCTTTGGTGAAAAGGCTCATTGGGAAATGTCACCCTCCCCAGAGAAGTGGGTGTTTAGCCACTGAGCCAAGCACAGAATGGAAAACCAGAAGTGGCAGCTTCCAGACCTGGCTGAGAGTCCCATGGCCTCTGCCTAACACCACACGCATCTCCACACAGTACTCATCCTCCTCTTGAGGTGGCTGACCTATGGTCCAGCACCCTGGGGAATCTTAGCCTTGAACTTTTTCTTCTGCCCCTACTCTACAGATTGCTGTCTTTCCACCCCAGGTTCCCTGCCCCCAGCCACCTCATGATACCAACCCCCTTCATACACACACACAGACAGAGAGAGAAAATGGACTTACCCACTGAGGACCACGATGAAGTCCATGACATTCCAGCCATTGCGGAGGTAAGAGCCCTTATGGAAGATGAACCCCAGGGCCACAATTTTGATCCCAGCTTCAAAGCAAAAGATCCCAATGAAATAAGGTTCTGTCTTCTCCTGTGGGGATGAGGAGCAGAAGCACCAGTGAGAAGAGGACTGTGCTTTATGAGACACAGGCAAAAGCACAGCCTGGCCCTTCCTGGATGTCTGTGCTGGGCCTGCCCATGTGTAGGTGGGAAGCAAGGGTGCTAAGGGACCCTTGCAGGCTGTCTGTGACTCAGGAGTGCACAGGGCAAGGGAGACCCAGGGGAGCCAGCTGTAGAAATGGACAATGTGAGGGTCACACCCAGGGGCTAGACTTCCTTCCCAGGAAGGTCCCTGATGGCCCTGGCTTTGCCCTGAAGGAGTTTGCTGCTCTTCACATAAGTTAGAAGCTTGAAGGTCATCATCTCAAGTACACACGTGAATTTTAGGCAGTTTGTCTGCTCTTTTTAGGGGGAATACGTTAGATGTGTGACTCATTTCTTTAAGGAGAATAAGGACGTAAGCATTGGGAAGTTCATAACCACAAATACACACAAGCACTGAGCATCCTTCATCCTCTCCCCTCTACTCCCCACCTCTTCCTCTCGTATCAGAAGTCCCTTAGGAAAGAGGAGGGAAGAAAATGGGCCTGTGCCTGCCCTTTCTTCTTCCCTGGCTGCCACGCAGCACAGACACAGTGTTTGTAATCTCTTCTTTTCCGTGTGAATCCCCATGGGGTCTGTCATTAGCTTGTCCCCCAGCAAAGAGCAAACTCCTCCCAGAACTCACAGGCAGGAAGGGAATGGGAGAGTGATAAAGCAGAGGAGAAGAAACCAAGAAAGACAAAAGGGGCAAAGGGGAGAAGGAGGGGAATCACATACCAGTCTTCGGGACATGGGGGTCTTGTCATCCTCAGGAAGATGCTGCTCCAGGGCCAGGACGATGCAGTTGGCAATGATGGTGGCCAGGATCATGTACTCAAATGGCGTGGGAAAGCGGAGTTAAGGAACAAATTCACCAGAGAGGGACACAGCCTCCAAGATGGCCGTGCCCATAAACACACAACTCTATCAACCCGCATTGTGTCTGTGCAGTTTGCATGATTTTTATTTGTAAACAGGCAGGCAGGCAAGACAGTGGATGGTCCTTAGCATCCACTTTTGGTTTTGTGAAACCAAAAACATTTGTGCCTGGTCTCTGAACACAAAGCATCTTCTCCAAAAAAGGAACGTATATAGCCAATACATAATATAGTTGGGCATATGGCAGACACTCCAGCTACTGAGTGAATTCAATAACAAATCCAATAACCAAGGCTGAAAATAGAAGGGGGAAGAAAGGAGGAAGAAACATAATTAATGCCATCGCAGACCCCTTGTTCTCCCCAGTCTTCAAACCACTGAACTGGGTAACGATGCTTGTGCACAGATCCAGCTGCTGCAATCCATTGCTCTCCTGGGCTCACAACTGGAGTCCTCTCTTCTAGAATCTCTGCACCACTGAGTAACAGAAGAACATCTGGAAAATAAACAATTCTCTCCATGTGAGCTTCCTTCTATTTTAAAATTCCACTCAGCAATGTACTTCTGGGGGAAGGAGAGGCTTGCTTTGTCCCACCTTATTTTCTTCTAAGTGTCTGCATCTATATGAAACAGAGACTGATCACGAGTCTGGAATCCTGGACAGCAAAGTCCAGTCCTGTAAGAACCACACTACAATGAATGAATGCAGGCTTTTTTCTGTTAGATGTTTTTGAAAACAGGTGAGGTGCTCCCTGTGCCTTTTCAAAAACAGGACTATGACCCCTGCAGGAAGGTTTTGCCACATGCTCCGAGGGAGGTGGGAAGGACTCTCAGAAGAGAAAGAGGGAATCACCAGCTCCCAGTGCTGTCATTCTGCATGTTGGAATTTCATTCTGTGATTACTGTTACGACAAACACAAGTTAGCTACTGCAGCTGGTCTTGCTGAGCAACCTGTGCTCCAGAAGATTCTGGAATCCAGGCAGAAGAGAGGAGCCGTAGATCTGGCAAAGTGGAGGGAAGGAAAGGGACTGTTCTTATCTCCCCACATACCCAGACAGGCTGTGTAGGGTGCAGGGCCTGGAACCCTGTCGTGGAGTTCAGGAGGGCAAATCACAGCTATCCCTGCAATGCCCCCATCCTGCCAGGCTACCTGTGGCAATAACACAATGTTAAGTTAGCACCCAGGGCATCTCTGGGGAGGGCAAGGCAGTGTGTGCAATGAGATGTGAGCTGCTCACCAGTTGCTCTGGTCTTGGTGCTGGCATCAGGGGCTGCAGGGCTGAGATGCTGGCTGTGTGTGAGCCCCTAGTCCTTCTCTTAATCCTCATTTGGCAGTGCCTTCTCCTCCCCCACCACCATGCATCTCTGAGTCACACTGGAGAGTCACACTCACTCGCCAGCAGCTGACCACCATCGTTCCTTCCCACGCACCTCTAGCACTCACACAGCACACAGACCCCAGAGACCATTCCACGGGCCTCTGCTGCCCTGAGGTTCAGCCACCGGAACTAAAAACAGACCTGGCCTCAGGGGACTTCAGAGCCTGTCCATTGCCTCCACACCCCACTGTGCCTGCTTAAACCCTCCCACTCAGAGGGGAGCCTCCCCACATGGAAAGTCCCTCAGCACCCATGGGCATTCCTCTTCCTTCAAACACTCCGGGTGTGAAGCCCCTGAGAGCCAAACATGCCAGCAGACACACACCACAGACGCCCACCCAGCTAGCATGACCACCTTCTAAGGACTGGCCCCCAACATACAGCCTGCCAAGGGCCACCCATGCCCACTGATCGCAGGAGGAGTGCTCCTCCCCTCCCATCATGGCTGTAACCCAGACCTCTGAAAAAATGCAGAGCAACCAGGAACCACACAAGGACCCAGTGTCCCATAAGCCTTCTGAACAGCCTAGGTTGCCCTGGGCCTGGCATAGGCACCCGGAATCCCAGACTCATCCTGCAAATTAAAGATGGGAACCCAGCAGCAATGGTGGCCAAGGAATCCATACCCTTTCCTGAAAACATGCTTGGGCGATGGATCCAGAAAGAGAACTGGCAACACGCATACAAGTCACTGACAAAAGACAACAGAAGTTGAGAGCGTTGAGAGTGGTATTCCTAAGATGCAGGCCATGAAATACTGGTGCTATAGGAACTTGCAATCAACCAATGAGAGAAAGCCTGGGTTGGGCAAAGTTAAGCAGGTTTCTCCCCAGCAGGACTTCTTGGGGCCTTTAATACTTTTGCATACAGTGGGCACACACCCCATCACACACACACACACACACACACACACAAGGCGTTTGGGACAGCACACAACATTTCCCAAACTTGCTTCACCTTGTAACTCTTTTTTTCAGAGCATCTCTTTTGAACGGTGTTCCCAGGAACATACCTGGGCAGCCTGACACAAAGTGGGGGTCTGTCTGCCAGTCCCCAAGAGCTGGGGCAGGAGGGATGATGGATCTGACTGGAGTGAAACCAGGGCCTCTTCCATGTCATCCCCTGTCCTGGTTCCTAACAAAAGTGTTCACAACAGTGTGGGGCTCACCTGGTCACTCCTCACAGCTGGAAACGTCTCATGCAATTTCAGACACCTGCTCAGCAGATCCAAGAAGCCCAGTGCCTGCCCTGGAAGGTAGGACTGGGCACAAGTACTTTCTCGTTCAAGCTGCAGACCTCTCGCATTCTAATGGGTCTATGTGGGGTCTATGATTGTTTTGGGGGGTTGAATCTTCTTCCCCTGAAAACCTGAAAGTGATAAGCACAGGCTTCAAAGTAGATGGGTTCTCAGTGCTGAGCCTGCAGGCAAGACAGGTCCTGGCAGCCATGTGCCTCCGAGGCCTCCCCACTCACAATACCCACTTGGACCATGGCAGCTCCTCCACTGCCCCTGACTCTCCACTCACAATATCCCCTTGGACCATGGCAGTTCCTCCACTGCCCCAGCTCCCTGCTTCCACACCCATACCTGCATTTTCCTAGCCAGTTAACCCAAGTATATTGCTCCCTATAAGGACCTTTAAGCTCAACTAGTCCAGAATGTCCAAGGGCAGATATGTGAGGTTTGTGGGGACACAGGCTAGCTCAGGAAGGTGTAGCCAACACCACCGGAAGATGCTCCAGGCAGCGGAATGGCTCTTGGCCCAGGTGCTGATGAGTCAAACTCCCAGTGACTGGCCAGGTATCTGGGTGGCTGAGAATTCATGAGGTCTTGATGGCTGGTGCTACCCAAGGCCCTAAAGTCTAGAATCTAAAGGTGGGAGTTTGGTAATTCACAGGTTCTAAGAAGACCCTATTCTCACTTCCTCTCCAGCCAAATCCTCTTCCCACTATCTGATGTGAGGCCCATTCACAGCAGCAATCTTCTGGCTTAAAAATATTTTTTTTTTTGCTTTACATTTTTAAAATTGTTCAGATATATATGCCCTTGAGAGGGATGTCCCTTTCAGCCTTATAGGGCATCTAGACCTCAGGATGAATTCATGGCTGCGGTAATGAAGAACCTGCAGTGAGAATGTGGAGATTCTGTGTAACTGTGGGCTAGGTGAAAGAATGGATAGTGGCAGGGAAATCTCAGGGGAGGTGAGCAGAAGAGACCATCCAAGTCTGCCTAGGCCCCAGCCACTCTCCCTTACAGCCCTGTTCTTTAAACTCTTTTCCACTTCCCTTTCTGAAGAAAGCACAAAAAAGAGGCATTTACATCTAGGTGCTTCTGCCACCACATGCAATGGCGTTTCTTCTCCTTTCCAGTCATACATCAAGACCAAGCTGAAATGCCACCTTGTCAGTGAAAGTTTCTCCCCGTGCCCCACAGCTCTTTGAATTGTGTGACTGTATTATTTCTTCTCCTATTTAAATCAAGAAACTATATCTTGAAAGCAGGAGTTTTGCTCATGTCTCTACTGGCAGTGCTTAGCAGAGCCCATGGTATATAGTAGGAGCTTAGTCAATGTTCAATGCAGGTAAGAATGAACATGAGGCATTCACTAAGGAGCCATTACAAAGACAGGGCTTTGCTCACCCACTCTGGCCTGAGCCATGGCTCCTGCTCACTCCCACCCTTGCAGGCTGCCTCCGAGGCACCACTCCCATTTCTTCCCGACAGCAAAACTTCACACCCCAAAGCAATGGCTCTGCTACATCCCCAAAGTGAAGAGCCTAGACGGCAAATAACACCCACCCACCAGTCAAGCTAGTGCCCCTCAACCTGGCAGACTGGACAAAGACATGACTTAGAAAGGTCAAAGGGAGCTCCGAGTCGCCACGGCCTCAAAGACCATCACCCTTCATGGCAACCACAATCAGGGACAAGATGGAAGTCTGTCCAGGACTCTGACTCTCTGTTCTAGAATTCAGTGACACTCATTACACTCTGTGCCTGACACTGTGCATATTTTAGGGAAGAATATCTATCCCTGGTATCCAGATTGCTTGTGTTTTGAAATCTTGAACAAATGGAGATGATGGGGCAGTAAGGACTGGGAGCCCCAGGGCAGGACCTTGCCTGCCTCACTCACCACTGTACTTGGCACACAGTGGGGCCCCGGTAACTGTTATTTTATTAATAAATTAATATTCAATTGATAAATGAATCATACAGGGAAACTAGAGCCAGAGGTATCCTTACAAAAGGTACCCACACTCTCCACACTGTATACCCATTTGAACTTTTTATACTGTCCACTGTAGACACACATGACCTATTTAAAAAAGAAAATAAACCAGCATACATGGAAGATCCCTTTCATGTTTAAAAAAAAAAAGAGAAGGCCAGGTGCGGTGGCTCACGCCTGTAATCCCAGCACTTTCAGAAGCCGAGGTGGGCAGATCACGAGGTCAGGAGATCAAGATCATCCTGGCTAACACGGTGAAACCCCATCTCTACTAAAAAAAATACAAAATGTTAGCCAGGCATGGTGGCACGCACCTGTAGTCCCAGCTACTCAGGAGGCTGAGGCAGGAGAATGGCGTGAACCTGGGAGGCAGAGCTTGCAGTGAGCTGAGATCGTGCGACTGCATTCCAGCCTGGGCAACACAGCAAGACTCCGTCTCAAAAAAAACAAAAACAAAAAAAAAGAGAAGGGAGAGAACAAGAAAAAATTCTGTCTTGCTGGAAGGATGATGAGTCTTCTCTCGGTAGCAGGGTTATTTTCACTTTCTTCTTTACTCCTCTAACCATTTTCTGAGTGTTCAAATGAGCATGTGTTCATTTATCACTACAAAATCAATTAAAGCTATATGTATCCTGAAAAGAACAAATCAACACAAAAACCCATCCCAACCTGAGAGTGAGGAGGAATGCGATGGCCAGAGAAATCAGAAAAAGACTTCGGAGAGGATTAAATGCAAGAGAATGAAGGGACCTGGCCAAAATGAGGAAATGACCATGAAACCACTTTGAAACTTGCAAAAGACATCTTCCTTCCTGCCTTCCCTCCTGTACCAGCTCACTGCTCACTAGAGGCCTCATTTCATAAACTTTACTGGCAATCTCCTCAAACACCCCTTCACTCCTCGTTCCCTCTGAGCCCATTAATGAGGACCTGTGTTGCTCCAACTCTCTTTCTAGTCTAGCAGTTTCAAGACAATCATTAGGGAAATGATAAAAATAGGTTCACTTATTGATTTATCTCCTTTACCCAATGCTCCTTCCTTTGAATGGTTGACTTGTTTCCTTAGCAACATGGCTAATTTGAGCAGCACGACGTGGCCTGCACACCTGCCATTTGTTCATTTCCTTCTTGAAGCACAGAAAGCTGGGGCAAGGGTGGTGATGCTGGTTCTGCTGTCACCGGAGCCCTGGGGGCCTGGCCTGGAGCTGAGCTCTTCATCTGCCTGAGCCTGAAAAGCCTCCTCATCATCACCTCTCAGGTACAGATCTGTAGGTACATGCTTGGGAAGGACTTAGGCCTCAGGCAGTAAATATTGGGTGTCCCCAGGCAAACATGCATCTCTATCACCACCAGGGGGCTCATCCTGAAGACCTCTGTACTTAGCTGTCTCCTCCCAGAGCCTATGACATCCGAACACTAAGAAGGCCATGCTCTGACAGGCAGGCAGATAGAATGCTGTGCACTCTCCCAACTTCAGCCTAATGCAGAATATGCTTTTGTGGGGAGCAGTCGGTGGGCACTCAGGCACTTCCTGGAAACTCCTGGGGGGGTATAGAAGAGTCCACAGTCTGAGGGGAGGCATTCCTCAGCCTCCTTTACCCATTTCCACCCCTCACCCCAGACCCTACAGGAAGACCTGTCTCCTTTTCTCCCTTCAGTCTCATGTTTTTGGATGTCTAAATCCAAGAGATGTAACAGCCTCAGAGGATGGCATGGACACCTTCATGCATGTCTTTCCACCTCTTCTTCATGTGCACATAAATATCATCCTAATAAGTGGACTTTGACTCAAAGACAGTAACAGAGAAAGAGCCTTAACTAGTCTGTGATTCCCTATTAGCATGACACCAAATAGACATTTTACATATGAACAGGAATGAAATACAGCTATCCAAGCCTTCCGTGTAACTTCAGAATCTTCTTCAAGACCTGGAATGCAATGGAAAAAATGTAGCTTGGTAAAGGAAACCAGAGCCAGGCCTCCGACTGCAAAAGCTGTCCCAACACAGTACTCAAGAGTCAATGAAGGGTTATGACCATCCATTCCCACAGAACCAAACAAGAAATACAAAAGGACTGAAGCCTAAAATGATACCGGAATCTGAACTCCCTCTGAAAACTGTAAAGTGTTGCACAAATACAGTTACTTTCAGTATCCTACTAACTCAATCTTTCAGCATCTACTGTGGCTCAATACTTTGGGGAAAGCATCTGTTGGTGGTTACAGCCTCCAGCCCTCAGGAGTGGGCTGGCTGGCTGTAGCCATGGACTGACACAGAGGAGACCAACTCCAATAAAGGATTTAAAAGAAAATTATGGTAATGGGCCTCCAGGAAAAGAGCAAAGACATTTGGCCCAGAACCTCCTGAGAATATGGAAAGCGCATCCAAACACCAGTCCCCAGAGGAGGATTTATGAAGCTGATGGCTCTGATGCAATCTCTCCCAGTGATTAGAAGGGATATTAATCACACCCCAGGCCAGGGCTAAGAACAGGAGGGGTTGAACCATCACAGAAGTCTGGCTCCAGTTCCCACAGACCCTGATGGAAATGCAGTGAGATCATGCTGGTGAGATCATATGACCCTCGTCTGAGCCGACTGAGAAAGATACATCTGTCCTGGAGGGACGAGTAATGCCGAAGACATAAGACCTTGTGCCTAAAACCCAGACATAGCAATAGTTATGACCATCACTTCAACAGTGTGTCTGCATCCCTCATGGTCTTCCTCACCTTCCTAGAAGCAGACATTCTTACAGAAATCTCTGCTTCCTAACCTGTCTACACAAAAGGAAAATTCAAACCAGCCCTGTTCAAACAGGCCTGGCCTGGCCAGGCACAGTGGCTCACGCCTGCAATCCCAGCACTTTGGGAGGCCGAGGCGAGTGAATCACTTGAGGTCAAGAGTTCAAGACCAGCCTGGCCAACATGGTGAAACACTGTCTCTGCAATTAATACAAAAATTAGCCAGACATGGTGGTGGGCACCTGTAATCCCAGCTACTTAGGAGGCTGAGGCAGGAGAATAGCTTGAACCCAGGAGATGGAGGTTGTGGTGAGCCGAGATCATACCACTGCACTCCAGCCTGGGGGACAGGGTGAGACTCTGTCTCAAAAAACAAAACAAAACAAAAAAAGAACAAGCAAGCAAAAACAGCCCTGGCCAGTCCAGCTCCCTTCCTGGAGGGATGTTTCACATTTTCTCCAGATCATGGCATAAAGTAGAAGTCAGTATGAGGTAAAAAGATGGAGAGCCAAGAGGGCTTTCTAATGCCTCTCAGCAAGCCGCTCCACCCTGCCCAGGTGAGAGGGCCCAGGTTAAGAGATAAGCTATGGTGCAAGGAGTCTTGGCCCAGGGCTCCTTCTGGACTTCTTTGCACTCACTCCTATGGCTGCCCTGGCAGGACATGGCAGCCCAAAAGAGACCAGCCCAGAAAAGGGAATAAACAGACAGAACTATTCCTGGAGATTCTGAGGAGCTATAGATGAACTTTTCAATTCTCTGAAAATAAATGTTAACCTTCCAAATTTATCAATATATGGACTATCTTCCTATTTGGGTAGTCCATACTTTTAGGTTTCCTGGGTCTGTTCTGGGCTGATCAACAGAAGGTGAACCACACATCACCTCCAAAGGGCAAGAGGGCTAAACCCCTGTGTTTCTCCATGTGACAGTTAGCAGTGTACAACTCTGGCTGCAAACCTGGAAGTCCACCCTGCATACCCCTCCCATCCCCTCTCTAACCACGGCAGGAGACATGCACTGTCAACAAGCAGAAAAACATGAAAGAAGGCTCTGCCTACTCCATACTGTCCCATGTCATCATCTCATTGCTTTCCTTGTGCAATTTTTCTCACCACCCAACCTCATCTTAAAAAAAAAGACTAAAAAACCAAACCCCTTTTCTTTTTTTAAAACAAAACAAAACAAAAATGTATCATGTGACTTCCAGCCTTAACATCAGTTTTTTAACTTTGGTTTCCATGGTGGTGGGATGCAACCTGCCATCGCCATGACAACAGCTGCCTCTGTTCAAATTCACCATCTGACAGGCAGTCCTGAACAGACACACACCTCTCTCCTTCTTAATCCCTCTCTCTCTCTCTCTTCCCCACTCCTGCTGTCAAGAAGATGGAAATGCCATCACACCTACTCCTAAAAACCTAATGAATGAAAGACAAATAAAGCAATATTGAGAACATAACAAAGAGGCAGAGAACTCCCCAAAAGGCCTTTTGTTTGCCAATACAATCCTGCTGCTCTCTCATGGAGGTCAGTGGACTCAGTTACTCAAAGCAAAAGATCCTAAGCATTACCCATTTAATGCTGGCTGTGAAGGCAAGTCCAAATTCTCATTACTTTAGACCAAAGAACTCCCATCTGACTCCCAGGACCCTGCCCTCTGGATAAAGTGGCTGAAAGGAAGTGCACATGATTGCTACTTTGGTGAACCAACACTGAGGTCAGTTCCAGACTCATCTGGGCCCTGATTCCCAAAGGATGGGAAGTGCTGGTTCTGAGAAAATAAGACAGTACTGTCTCCCTCCCTCCTCCCACTGCCATGCCCCTTGCAGTTACAGACAGCTGGATAAGTCTTAACAAATTCATTTGTTTTGCGTGTGACTGGATCCTGGACTCAAAACGCTGTCATTCAACACACAGTTTTGGTGAACAGCAGACAAATGATTGAACGCTACAGAAAAGGGAAAAAAGAAAAGGGGAGCATTAAAAGCCTCTGGAAGAAAACAAAACAGCAGTGGGAAAATTACCTGTTTCAGAAACGAGAATTTGTGTTTTGATGACACTCTGATGAATTGGAGCCCATCAAGAGTTCTGGCAGCAACGTGCATTTCAGGGAAGATGACTATGAGGTGCAATCAGCAACCCCACCCAAGACTACACCCCACTTCATATCAACACCAGCATCATGGAACTGAGACAGCATAAGAAAAATGAAAAGCCTTTTGTGAAAGAGTCCATAGATCACCTGTGGGAGAATGTTTGTTTTCCTCTGAAAACTCTGCAACTGTGCCCTGGCATTCAAAGACACCTACTGAGCCTGCAAACCACGTGAGATAATGTTGAAAGAACTAGGGATACTCAGCTTGGAAAGGGAAGACTTGAGAAATACATCACAGCTGCTTTCAAATATCTGAAGGGCTAGCTTGTAATAAGGGGCTCAGATGTTTTCTAAGTTATTATGGAGGCAAAGACTAAGACCCAATGTGCAGAGTACCCATCCGAAGACAGATCTGGAGCAATAAAGAGAAGAACTTCCACTGTTCCACAAGTGAATGGACTATTTTGTTAAGTAGAAAACTAAGTGTTGTGCTAATAGATGTTTAACTTCGGGGGAAAAGCCCCAATGTGTAGCATTTGCAAATTTCTGGGGTATAAATACTCTCTCCATGGCCAATTTCAAGCTACCATCTTGATATCACTGAACATGGAGTCTAGAAGAGACATACAGAGAGGACACTCAAGAGCTGGGACAAGCCAGTTTCAGCACAGCACTTATTGTGAGTTCCACATCCCCAGGGGAGTGTCAAGGATGTTAAGGCGGTGACTGCTGTATTCAATGGTAGTCATGCTGGATCAACCTTCATATGCATAAGGGGTGAACCAACCAGGTAGGAAGCAAGGTCAACAACTCTTAGTCACTTGCTCAAGGGCCTCCTGGGTGAGCCTTACTCTGTCCTTCAGCCTCAAATGGCCTCCTCAGCCAGACCTGCATTCAGGATGTCTGGTCCATCCCCCTCATCACAGAAGGCTGTTACCTGTGCAGCTGGAGGTGTGTCGGAAGCAGCCACAGGTGAATGGCTTTGTCAATGCAGTGACACATAAGAATTAATCACCCCATTCTCTCAGGCTAAATTTCAAGACACCCAGGCGGCTCCTGCTATTTCACCATAGCCTGCAAGAAAACTGAGAGGGAGCAGCCAAGACGTAATCAAAGTACACTCAAAAGAAACAGAAGGAAGTCAGGTAACTGGCTCCCCTCGGTCTAGAAGATCAGTGGATCTCAGCCATGGCTGGACCATAGAATCACCTGGAAAGCTTTTCAAAATTAAGAATACAGGGGTCCTATCTCCAGAAATTTGGATTTAATTTGTCTTGGCTGCAGTCTAGGTATCAGCATTTCTAGAAGTTCCCAGGCTTATTCTAATGTGCAGCCAGGCTTCGAATGCTGGAGACCAAGAAAGTTAATCGTGTCCTCCAATCAGCTGAAATAACAATGATGGAAACTAGAATCCCAGAGTCTCTACAGTGGGAACTGAAAGGCACCTTAGAGTCTTAGTAACTATTCCAACACACTCATTTTACAGATGTAGATGCTGAGACCAGGAAAGGAATGAGATTTTTCTAGAACCAGGGCTAGAAACCTCTCTGTACTCTCAGCCCTACACCCTGAAAAGCTTGGGAAAACTATTATCAGAATAATCAAATAAAATTCCCTGGTCTCTTAGCTCCAATAGAGAATTCTAAAAGAAAGGGATCTAAAGATCTTTTTATTTGAGCTGCTTCCTCCTTCCCAGGAGTACTCAATTGTTCTCAAAGAGCTACCTCTCAGGGCAGAGTCTGGATAGTTTGCCTTTCTTAGGGCTACTGAAGAGCCCAGCAACCATTCTGAGATGAGTGCTTGCCTAAGCATCCATCTATTCTCCCATCTGCTGAGATCTGCTCTTGGTTTTACACTGGGTAGAAGTCCATTGCCTATTGAGTTTTATATTATCATTTCACAAAGTTCTCCAGCAACATATTTGGGAAAGAAGAATATTAACCATTTTTCTGAGTCACTGTTACCAATTCTCACTGGATCTCTGCTGGTTGGCTTCACCTCTATGAATATCTTTCTCTTATCCATTCCTATTTTTTCTTACGTAAGTCCTTTCTTATTAGTCATGATCCTTATATCCAGCCTCCTATGCCCCAAACACCAAAAACATATACTTGCTAAGGATGAGGAAGCCCCAGAAGAGAAAGAAGGGACTAGAGAGAAGATGGTTGAGCACAGAAAGGGTACAGAGGAAAGAAGAGAAAATGTGACAAAAGGATGCTGGCACTTGGTCGCGGCCCTGGGTTCTAGGCTCTGCTCTGCCACTTATTGAGGCAAATCATTTAACCTCTATGGCCTTCAGTTTTCTTATGGATAAGTGTGAGTTTGATTCAAGTTTCTTTTTATTCTCTATAAATCTAATATTCTAGTATTCTGTTATGCTAATGAGGAACATGATGGGAAGGGAAATGGAGGAGAAAGAAAGAGCATACATGATTACAACTGAGAGAAGCCATTTTTGGTGAAATTACTAATGAGGAGATCCCACAATAGCATTCAAAAATGGAAATCCTGGCACACCCAGGGACATCTTGAAAGGGTCTAGAGTCCATGGAAATACTTCTAAATTGTCAAGCATAGGAGCTCCATGACCAGTTGGATTCGCTAGCAGCTTCTCTAACAGAGTTAAAGAAAAGCTAGAATCTTCACAATGGTGGCCTGGAAGTGAACCATTGTGGAAAAGCTGCCCTTTTCCACAAACCTACTATAAGCCTCTTCTATAGTCTTTATCAGGATATAAGAGTCTTTCTGCAGTCTCTCTATAACCCAACCCTCATTTCCTTAAAAAGCTGCATTCAGTATGTAAAATTTCAAGAGAAGGTCATGAAAGCTGCCACCTCCACACTATGACTCACACTATGGGTACCCCAGAACAGAAAGGACTGAGGGTAGACTTCTCTGAGAACCGGAAAAAAGAAAATGGACTTTCCATGCTAATATTGAAAGGGGAACTGGCATTTCCAAACCAAACGCGCTCTGCAGACAGATAAAGGAACTGCAGCAGTGGAGTTTTGGCGGGGGAAAGACAAAATAGCAAAGATCTCAGATTCCGACTCAAGCTCGCATTCCAGTGACCCAGGCCAGGATGTCTCAGGTCCATTTCATGATGACCATAATGATGGGAAAGAGATAGTTGCTCTTCTTCCATCTACTGATCCTTCACTCCTTCATGAGTTAGCCTCATACCCAGTGATGCTGCAGATGCATGCAAGTAGTTCACAGTGTCATCCTAAAAAGATACTCTGTTAGGGAAGAGTACCTGCTGGTCTTCTGGTCTAACCCAAGGCAGCATGAAACAATGGAAAGAGAGCAGCCAGTGGCACCAGTCAGACCACATCTATCTGTGACCTTAAGCTAATCATCTATAAAATGAGAACAATATCCACTTCACCCGGGGTTGGATTAAATGATACACTCCTCTAGAGCACACTGTAGAGTGCCTGTCATACAATAGGCATTCATTAAAGGTTAGTTTCCTCCATCCATTCTCAGGGATGCATATTGAGGAACAGAAAGCTCTCCAGGCCTGGAGGGAGGTCCTTATAGAATGGTGGTAAAATTATATGATAAAAAGACACGAAGGTAAGATAAAAAGAGAAATGGTAAGGCATATGATTATGCAGGTTGTTCTGCACCCAGCCTTTTTCACAGTGGAAGTATAGAAAGCTGTTAGAAGTTCTAATTTCCTAGAATCTATTCCTTTGCTTTGCTCTCCTGAGCCTGTCTACTGATGTTTGTGACAGAAATGAGCTCAGTCTTTCTCAGCCTGTACAGTCTTTCTGAGTGGGCATTTGTTACTCTTTAATCATCGCCAGGGAAAGAGGTTACCCAGAGATGTAACATCCTTATCCATAGAACTTCAGGTGGGGGGAGGTGGTGGGGCAGATGGTGATCTCAAAAATAAATAAATACCTCTCTATGAGAAGGGAGGGTGCTCTTGCCAAAATGCCCAGATCCTCGGATTGACATAGGCCCATATTCCTCAGACCTGCTCCCTCCTCATGTTACCACATCCACCTACTCACCCCACCTCCAGACAAGCCCACACCCTTCAACTGCTCCTCATATCAACAGACTAGAAGAACACATGCATCCTTGTGCATCCATATGGCTCAGTTATTTCACAAATACAAATTTCCATGCAAAAACAATCCAAAGTTAGCAGAAAGGAGAGGCAGTTCCTTTAACTTTTTAGGCCCACTCCTTAATTTCTTTTGAGTGCTCTGTCTGGTTTCCGGAAGCCAAGTGGTGCATCCTAATTCTCCATTCTCGTCCACACCAGTAAACATTTCCCACAGGTAAAATGCCCCTAATATCCCTAGCAGAGGACCTTCACCAAGCTCATTAGGCAAATTTCCAAGAGTCCCAAGCAATGGAGGTTTCCCCTTCCCCCCACAGCACCCTAACCCTTTCAGAAGCTTCCTCCACAGTTAATGAATTCCAATCTTTTCTCTCTTATCTGATAGAACAAACATAGAGGCCCTAAATACCCAAGAAGCCTAAGCAGATAGGAAGTAGTTAGCCAGGAGGCTGGCAACCCCCAGGAAGAAAATCTGCCCAGATGCCAAGGATCTAAAGGGGATCCTTCTACATGCCATCCATCAAGCCATCTGAAATTTTTTGCTACCATTTTTGTTCAAAGACAAAATCAAGTGAGTCTGTTAAGGTTATAGATCATTTTAAGTATCCTATCTGTTTTTATCAAAAGCTTTCTGGGAAAATTCTGCATCATTATTGCTCCTGAAGATATTTTTTCTGATTGTAAATCCAAATATGTCCTTAGGTACAATACTGGTATAAAATCAGCATTAGAAACATATAAAGGAAACAGGTTTTGATGTAGATATTTTAAATTTTATTTTTAAAAGTGTAAACCCAATAACTTTGAGAAGGAAGAAAAAAAGTCTTATGGAAAGACTATTTAGCTTCAGTGATTAAGAGCACGAGTTCTGATCCAGGCCTCCAGCTCTTACTGTGCGATCTCAGGGAAATGAGTTAACCTCTCCACACCTTAATCCTTCTAACTATGAAAGACAGAAAACAAGAATGCCTATCTCTGTAGGATTGTCATGAAGAATCAATGCAATAACTCATGGGCAGCACTTAGCACAGTATTCTGACACATAGTAAATGTTCAATAAGTGTTATATATTTATAAATTCTATCAACATTAACACTAATACTAATACCTAATATGTTTGCAAAGGGCTTTCATACACATTAGCCAATGCTAACCTCACAACAGTCTTATAAGGCAGGCAAAGCAGGGAAAGTGACCTCCACCTCACATCTGAAGACACTGAGGCTCAGGGAGGTGATGAAACCAATGCAAGGTCACGTAAACATTATCTGGCAGCACTCAGGTTAGAAACTTGGTAAGAGCCAGGAGGAAGTAGGACAGCATTGTTGGAAAGAGAAAACATAGCTGCAGAAGTTTAATGTTTATGTATCTGAAATTAACCATATACTAATAACCAAGATTTATTCACAGCTTACTATTTGCCAAACATTGTTCCAAGCACTTTGCATGTATTATCTCATCTGACCTTCACAAAAATCCTATGATACACCCCAGAAGCAAATTACTATCTCTGTTTTACATTTGAAAAATCCAAGGCACTGCAAGGGTAAGCAGGTTGCCTGAGGCACACAGCTATAAAGTGACAGAGGTGATACTGAGATTTGAATCCAGAGGTCATTTTTAACAACGACCCCCTAATACCCTAAAGCTTCCATGCAGAGACTGGTAAATCCTGAACTCTAAGGTGAAGCTTTCATCAACTGGGCATTGGACTAGATGACATCTAATATCCCTTCAACTCCTGAGATCTAGGACACAACACTTTTATTGTCTAAGAAAGAAATAAAATATTGTCTGAGTCTCTGAAAATGATACCTAAAGTGGACTTTGGAGAAACCAAGATGCTACCTCCTGCTTAAAATAGACATGAAGTAGTCATGAAAGTGTGTACTGATTTCAGTAAAGCATGTGACAAGAATATCGCGTACAATATTTTTACAGACAAAATACAGAAATGTCAGTAGGCTAAAGCACAGTTCAGAATACTTGAGAAAAGCTGAACGGTCAACGCACACTGACTAATACACTGATGATAAGCAGAAAGAGGGTCCCTGATTCTAAATATATTTTTTATCAATTACTCAAATGAAAGCATTAAGTATTTGCTTATAAATCTGCAGATGACATAGCACTTAGGGTGGGGAGCTCACTCATGAAACAGCAAAGTCCATAGACAGTGCGGTGTAGAAATCACTTAAACTTTGGATTCGGACCACTTGTTCAAGCTCACCGGTGGTGACCTTGGGCAAGTGATTTAATCTTCTTTAGCTTCAGCTTCCCCATATTTAAAATGTGGATAATACACTTGTTTGAAGTAGAGCCTGAAATTTGGTAGATGCTCAATGAATGTTAGTTCTTTGTTCTCAGTTGAAAAGGATCTCTGCAGGATAAACATTGGAGCAAAAGCAAGGAGATAAAATATACTTGATATAAACATAGAGTCCTGAATCTAGATTCAAAAATTAAACTGAATGAGAACAGAGTGAGAGAAAACTAACTCTGTCATCAATTCATATAAAAAAAAAGATTCAGAGATTTTAGCTGACTATCTCAAGTCAGAAACGGAATGCCACTTCTTTAAAAAAAAAAAAAAACACCACTTTAAAAAGTATTTTAATTCAAACTAATGTGTTAAATGCTGATGTTAATAAGCATTGCCTTATTATCTGGTAATTAGATAACGTCCCCCCTCCCTTGCAGGGATTTTAAACCAATACTAAAATTATGTGGTATGTGATACAACAAAGTAATAAATAAAGTGCCCTATGAGAGCCCAAAGGAGGAAGCTGGTCTTATTCGGCCAAGAGAAATCAAGGAAGGCTTCACAGAGGAAGTGACCTCTGAGTACAATCTTAAAGCCAGACTCATTCTAGGTGGAAAAGCAGCAAGTGCAAAGGCACGGAGGCCTGGAAGAGGATGGTGCCTTCAGGGATCAGCAGCCACTGAAGCAGCTGGAGAGACAGTGATTACAGTGGTCAAGGAAAGCTGGCGCAATGTGCAGAGTGGCTCATGAGAAGCCCTGCATACCAAGCCAAGGAGACCCTGCCCAGTTACAAGGCTAACAAATGACAGAACCAAAGGGGAGCTTAAGCTTTCTGACTCATCATGTATTCCCTCTGCTTGTGCCATCCTGTACAGTAGCCACTAGCCATATGTGGCTATTTAAACTTAACTAAAATTAAGTCAGTAAAATTTAAAATTTAGTTCTCAGTCGCATTAGCCACATATCAAGTCCTTAAGGGCCACATGTGCCAAGAGCCATGTCTATCATCACCAAAAATCCACCAACTGTGCTGTTCAATGCCATAGTATTGTCAAGTGAAAGGAAGTAGACTGAGTCTATATTGTTTTACAAAACAGAAAACAGGAAGGGAAAGAACAAATGGAAGCTATAAGGAGGAATATTTCCACTTCCTATATCTTAAGTTTTTTAACAACAGAAGAGCACCCTGTCACTGGAGGTATTCCAGCTTGACAGTCGTCTTTCACAGTGATGTAGAAAGAGTTTCTGTATTGAATTCATGCCCTTTGGTTAGAATGTTTGTGTTCTTTCATAGCAGCCTGGCTGACAGCCCAGTGCAACCGTATCTCTCTAGTTCCTTCATATAAAGTTCCTGTCGTACTTGCTCATAAAGGCTTTGATATTTGGTTGAGAATCACTACTCCTGATAGCCCAGCATCCCAACATCCCAAATTGTGGGAATTTTTTAACATGATAGATGTTTTTAAATTGTGATTCATAGACCTCTAAAATTGAATGCAAAATTGTATGTGTATTTTTCAGGAGAGACAGGTCTATAGCATCAACCAGATGTCAGTAGGATTTGTGATCCCAGTATAGAAAGCAAATGAACAAACACTGTACTAGAGGGACTTAATGGTCCCAACACTCCAAAAAGAGTCATCTAGATGCCATCTAGACACTTACTGAGGTCATCTAGACACTTACTCAGGTCACTACTCAGACATTTATTCAGGTCATACTCTGAAGTTCCATAGAGTTTCAAACTGACCCTGAAGAACCTAAAGACCATCACCCTACAACAGAATCATTTTAGAGCTCAACATCTCCTGACCTTCAGGAAGGAGGGAAGTGGGAGTAAAAAAGAGCAGGAAAATAAGCCCAAGGCATAAAAGTTGGATAACTCAGAGTCAGGTTGGGGAAGGTATCATCTGACAACCTCTTGCTGAGATGCTTATTGAAAGCTCTCTTGGAAATCTTGGTGGTTCATTTTCAGTGTTAGCCTACAGAAACAAACACACCCAGTTAGATGTGATACCAGCTTACCAGCTGGGGAACTTGCCCAGTAAATCTAAAGCCTGCTGAGCTATTAGTCCATTTTTGAAATAATGACTTTGTTCTAAATATCACCTGATACATGACAATTGCACCAGGATTCACCTCCAGCTCCTATAATATTTCTAGAACTAAAAGGTCTGATTTCTAGAACAACATACCAATTCCTCTGTCATCTGGTACAGCTGGAGAAGAACACTTTGGTTAATTGAACAAAAAAAGTGGTAATGAGCTACTTATATAATCAATATGAATTATAAATCACACAAAGCTCAAAATACAATGAAGTGCACACACCATTGGAACTGTGTTGAATATAATACAATGAATGCTCTTCAGAAAGCACTCCAACATTCTGTGGTACCTAGGGGGTCACCATTACAAATCTCAATTGTCATTATACTATATGCCAATTAATAAAGAGTTCCATGTAACAAAATGCCAGATAACAAATACCCTGGTTTTTGTTTTGTTTTGTTTTGTTTTGTTTTCCGTGAGAAAGCCTGCATCAAGTAATACAGAAACTGAAAGAATCCTGAGGAAAATTATGAAGTAGCTAAATCTTGTCTTTTACAGCCTCCCAATTCCCATGTGATGATCCTTCACTCCCCTCCCAGCCATCCACTGCCCTCACACCACCTCCTGGCAACCTCCTGTCCCCTCCCTGGGGCTACACCTGGTCTTACAGGTCCTGGTCAGGGCAATATGAGGCACTTTGTTGATGCTTGTTAACTCAATAGTAGCCAATTTGGGTATAAATCATCCAACAAAAGTTTACTGAATGCTCACCATGTGCCAGCATGTGCTAGGTGCTGGAATTAAATGGGTGCATGTCCCTTCTCAGAAGAGCCTGCTCTCAGTGATAAGTCCTGAAAGAACAAGATAAACTAACTCAAAGTTGATAATGACATATATTTTGCTTAATATGTCCCTGGTCTCAAGGTCATCAGCATTTTGTTAGAGAAGTCTCAAAGCCTCCTCACTATCCAAACCCAAAGCATAAGCTTTTGTTAGCAGCAGGGCTTTAGCTGGTAAATGAGAGAGATTTGGGATGAGGAAATGCATCAGCAATTTGTAAGACTGGCCTTCTAGAAAGGCATTGCCAGGCAGATAACAAAACCATGTACAGCAATGGTTCTCAAAGCATGATGTCCAAGACCAGCAGCATGAATATCACCTGGGAAATTGTGACCAACAAAAATTCTCCAGCCCTACTTCAGACCTACTGAACCAGAAACTCTGGGAGTGGGGGGTAGTAATCTGTATTTTAACAAGCCCTCCAGGTGATTCTGAGACACAGGTTGACAGCCAGTAGTGTAGATGAAACGGGCAGACCGCCTATGTCTGACATCAACACAAAGGAACTAAATGAGGAATTAGCCTTGATGTTGATGGAAATCATCTGCTGAAAGGAATGGTCGCTGATAGAAAAGCAGCAAAACAGTTCCCAGGAGAACACAGCTGGAAATTGCCAGGACGTTAGTGAGTGACTGTTGAAAATCCATTTCATGCTTTTTGGCTCTGACCAGTCCCATGAGACAATGGTGTGGAAATTGAGAAAGAGGCACAGAAAGTTTGAAAAACTTCCAACCTACAGCAAAGCTGAAGGCTGAGAAAGGCTCGAGAGTATTAATTTTCCTCCTAGTGCTGGTTTTCAGAGCCTCCGCTCTGGATCCAGAAGGCCACGCACGATGTCCTGCATCTCAGCAATGATGCCATAATAGACTGAGTATCATCAAGGCTCCACCCATGATCTACACCAGAGCACTTCTTCCTTTCCCCTCTAGCCTGCTACCTACCATCCAGCTACATCCTTTTTAATCCCTCCCCCAAAGGGAAGAAAGATGACACCCCCCTTTAATGACACAAGTCTTTGGAAAGCTCAGGCATATATCTGAAGGAGGCTTTCCAAATTCTCCAGAGATGAAGAGAACCGATGCAGCCCAAATGCAGCAAAAATGCAGCAAAAGACAAAATGCAGCACACACACAAAAATATAGCCTCAAGATTATGCAGAGTTGCAACAGTGATTCAAATCAACCACCCACAGGCAAAAAAAAAAAAAAAAAACATGCTTGGCACAGGTGCCAGGCAGGGCCTCTCTCTGAAGCCTCACGTGGCTGGAGCGTGGCTGGAGCCTAGCTGGGCATAGCATTCCCAAGCCCCACCCACCTGCTTCTGGGATTAACTACTGCTTTACAAATGGGTCTATTTGAGGCTCCTTTTTTTTTTTTTAATAAGTAAGAGGATTAAGGGTGGAACTATCTAGTCCTACAAATTTGGAGCTCAAGATACAATAAAGGAAGCTCCTAAGAAGTACCCACTGCTCTGGGAGGTGGCAGGGAGGATCTCTTGGATAACCGACACATTTTAAAGTCATTCATTGCTGTTCCCCTTAATCTGGCCCATCTTCACCTTATAAGAACACATCTTCTAGCTGCTCCCTGCTTTCCAGAGATGAGGACACTGGGGCTCGTCAAGCTTTATAAGGAAACATATTTGGGGTGCTCAGTGAGCAAAGATACACCATAAACATCTCTCTGCAATAACCTTAACACTAAGAAACCACGAGGTTGGGGGAGTCTAAAAACTTTGTGCTATACCTTCTGTCCTTAATTAAGATTGATGCTGGAAACATGACTGATGGGTGAACCCACACGTGCATCCTCTCTGTGCATGTTTAGAAGGCTTGGGAAAAGTAACATTGATCCAAGCCCCTCATGTTTCTATCCCTCTGTGGAAGGGACTGCTTTAGAAGCCACATCGTGGTGGTGGTAGTGGTGGCGGAGTGTTAGACACTAATTTCCATGCCTGGTCCCCATAACTACCCCTGCTCCCTGTAATTCCTGTAAAAATTCACACTGGAATTTGAAAAGAAATGGTTACAGAGGACTGTTCCTTAGCCTAGTCGTTCAGCATTTATCAGTGTGAAAACCCAAGATGATGAGAGGATTCAGAGTGACACGTACCTTCCACTTAACCACAGTCTCTGAGTAGAAAAGGCTAGTAGTTGCATATTTTGGGGGCACTCAAATGTAACAGGGCTGGGTAGGAGGCAGTCATCATAAAAATGACAAGAAAAAGCAGGTTACAAGATTTCTCCCCAGCTTCCTTTCTGTTGTGTGACAGTCCCACTGCAGAAAACAAAGGTCTTAGAGAAAAAGTAGATTCCTGAAGTTGGTCCTCTGTGAGAGACCTTAATAATCCTACCCAAGAGGAAGACAAATAACCTTCCTTTTCTGAAAATCCTAGGAAAAACCCACACATATAATGAATTATTCACAAAGGCTGAACCTAAAAATGAGAGAGGGAGAAATATAGAAAGATGAAAAGACGGGCAGAAAGAGAAAGTAAAGACCTGGTCTCTCTCTCTCTCTGAATAAATGGATATTAATTAGAGTTGCATTTAGGTTTCCTCTTTTATGTCTTTGTGGTCAGTGATAAGCAAAATAAGATCAGCAGAGTCACCATTGATGGACTGGATTGCACATCTGGGCTTTGGTGTTTGGTGAGCTGTAGCTTTCCAGGCAGCCCTGTGCATGACGTAAGGGAGGTGGCTGACCTGCTCATCAAACACATGGAGTCAAGGGTTTGCAAGAGTTCTGAGAGCTTAGCAAAGCTTCACTCAGTTTTATTTTCACTAAGAATATGAAGATTGAAAGAAACCAGATGTTCCTATAAAGAAGGGGGAAAGCAGCAGAATTTGAGGGGGAAAAACACCTACATTTTGTACAGCAGTGCTATAAAGAGATAAGTAATTTTGGATGGAGCTAATAATTTCAGAGTCTGGATGTTTCAGAAGAAAAAAAAAGCAGGCCTGTTCTCATTACTTTCCTCTTCCTCCTTTAATTCATAGCATGCACTGCGCCTATTGCAGAAAAAGCAAGTGGAGGGAAGTGGAGAAATAATGACATGCAAACCAACAGACAAAACTATCACATTGAGGATATTTTTGTCTCTATCCTCAAGTCATTTCATTTCTGTCAAATTCCTTCACTCCAACTCATTTTTCAGGCTTCATCCCAATTATAAATGGTCCCCACAACAAGTCATGGCCTGGTTTCCACATGAAACATTACCCACACTTCATATCAAAAGCAAAGCCAACAGGCAATTCAGAGATTGTCCTGGGATGCTCAGAAAATGAAGAACTTTCTCCTACAGCTCCAGTACCAGCTGCAGTCACTATCTGTTTCACCATCTGCATCCACGCACAGGTACACAGAAGATATGAACCCCTCTGCATTATCTGATCATAGGATATAATTACAGACTTCATCCTTGTTAGCTGCCATCATCTTCCCTAATCAAGGCATCTTGACTCATGATTCACTAGTTACATCAAACCTGAAATTCTTACCGGGACCTCAGTCTACTATCCTGCAATGTGCTATACATTTATAGGCAACAAAAGCAGAAGAAAAGAAGACACCAAAATGGGAGATTTAAGAACTAAAACTTTTGGTAACCCTCACCAAAATCCTCCAAAATAAACGGACATTTTACAATGGGAGATTCACAGTAGTAAAGCATACAACCTCTGATCCATAGCCAGAGTGCTTTGGGGATACAGTGAAATTCTCTACAATAAGAAATCATGGATTAATGTCCACAGGTTCATTGTGATGAGCTTCATTATCTCAGGGCTGCAAACATATTTGACCTTCCTACTGTAAGCCATATTCATTTCCACACGAAGCATGTTCTCCCCTGCTGAGACAACCAAGGCGATGGAGGTGTGGGGGGAATATCCTATTGCCCAACTCTGGCATAGAGTCTCCAAGCCAGACACACTACTTCTTGCCTTCACACCCGTGACCTGGAAAAGTTCAAACAAGTGTGGGGCATCCTGCAAACCACATGAGAGATGCTGTATGGCCCACAGGGTAACTGGCCCTGGGCATGAAACAGTGAGAGCTGGTAAGCATGAGGCACGGTGAACATGGGAGGGCACTCAGAACAGCCAACTGCCAGAGAAGATCTATTAGATGAGCAAAAAAGAAAATGAAAACGAGGAATCGTATAGAATGTAACATCACATTTTAAATCACATTAGCATTTTTAAAAAGAGTATGGTATCCACTGCAGAGGAAAGTGCCATAAGAAAATAAAATTATCTCCCTATGCAGATGTAGCTTCCAAGAAAAATGAAACACATTCAGAGTAGGCTGTTGACTTGCCACCATCTTTCATGCCAAATCTGGGTTATCTTGAGCATTTCTTCCCATAAGAACTAGACCTCCCCTATTAATAACTGGATAAGATTACCCTCCCCCTCCAAGTCGGGGTGATCCTAGAAGCATAAATTAAACCATTCCTTTTACTTAACCAATCTTTTCAGACAAACATGATTAAAGACCAGTAATGCACAGCATGATGAGACCACTAATGCGGCACATAGAAGTGTACATTATCCCCCTCGTCCTACAGTGACTTTCTGCAGCCAATGAAAGTGTAAGTCTCAAAACGTGTTGTAACACAAACAAAATCCTCAAGCATGCTAAATGTGCAAATGTCAATATGAAAGCAGGTCTTGACATGTTTTCTGAACAACTGAACAACCTTCCTTTCTTAAAAAAAAAAAAAAAAATCTGGCACTTACAAAGAGCAAAGAAGTACTTCCTAAACTTTAATGAGCATATTAATCACACAGGGATCTCATTACAATGCAGATTCTGATTCAGCAGGATTGAAGTGGGGCCCAGGATTCTGAATTTTTAGCAAGCTCCCAGGTGATGTGGATGCAGCTCCTTGCTCTCTTTGAGAGGCAAGAATCTAGAGGACTTCACCTGAACTAAGACCCCTCCCCACTTCAGGCACGCTGAAATTTCTGAAAGATGCCATTAATAATAACAACTAGTGATTACTGGGTAATTAGATAATGTTTTAGGCATGTGATATATATTAAGTCATTTAATTCTCCCAGTATTATTATTATTATCCTCATTTAACAGGTAAGAAGACTGAGTCACAGAGTAATGAAGTAATTTTCAAGGTCAGAAAGCTGGTGAAGGAACTAGGATTTCAACCCAGGCAGCCTAGCTCCAAAGCTTTATGGGCAACCACTACCCAGACTGACTCCCAATAAGACAAAGCAAGATACTTGGGAAGTTATTTGTTTAGAAAGGAAAGGAAGGTGAGACTAGGAATTTAGGTGCGTTTCCCACGGAAGCCCAATGTTTCCACGTGGTCACCACCAGAGGGAATATATTAGTCAATTACATTGTACATGGTGTATTTTATATTTTCCAACAGGGCTCCACTAAACACCTTAGCAGATGTTCCCTGAACACTGTTACCACAGCCTACATGCTGTAGAACCACTGTGAAATTTCCAACTATGCAGACAAAAGAGACCATTGGGACAGGGCTCGGGGCCAAGGCACTGAGCATGATGCTGAAATCAACTCCCTCGAGAGTCTCCCGTTTGACTCTCTTTGGTCCATTTTTGGCCAAAGACAAGGAAAGGGAGGAGTAAGACTCACAGCCGCACCTTGCGCGCTCGCAACGCCTGGTGGAAAGGCGGTGTCTTTGCAGCGGAAGAGAAAACGTGAAAAAAGGTGACCACGTGGTGTAGGAAACGTGCCTGGTTTCTCAGCTCCAAGGCTGGGCCCGGCCAGAAGTACCCGAGGTGCTGAACCCGGGTAACTGGGGAGCCCCGGGCCGCCGGGAGTTTCAGCGGCGCTGTCCGAGGTGCCAACGATGGCTGCTGGCACACTTTGCCACCCGCGGGGCGGTTGGGCGGCTTTGTCTACCGCAAAGAAACGGGAGGGCGCCTGTCTGAATAAACACGCCCCTAAGAGAGGGGCACAGCAAGGCAGCACCTGGTGGATGGGAAGATTTAGAGAACCGTAGAAGCCGAGTGAGAAAGGAGGGCCCAGCTGGGAAATCCGTAGACTGCCTAGAGGAATATTTGCAGCCGCAGCACACAACACAATGAGATCTGTCCGCTTTGTGCAGCGCACCGGCAGGCGTGACTGCAGGGACCCGACCCCTCCCCCGCCCGAAACCTCCACCCTAGCTAGATACGTTCAACTCAGGCAATGGATGGCCTGGGATCACTCTGTGAGAGTGGAGCAGGGGAGCGGGATGCAGAGAGGAGAGAGGGAGAAGCCCAGCCGGGGTTGCTGTGGGAGGATGCGAACAGCAGCAGGAAGAATATCTGCTTAGAGATGCTCCTTCGTTTCTAATGAGGGGGTGCTGCCTAGAAGCACCACGCGCCAGCCAATCACCGAGCTGCTGAGGCAGGGAACTAGAGAAGAAGGGGAAGGCCAGAGACTGGGGTTGGGGGAGTAGGGAGATGCCCAGGCCCTGGGGGAAATGAGCCGCGTGTCTGGCTAATACTAGAGACCCAAGGCAGCTCCAGCTGCCTCACTGCTGCACACCTGGACGGTGGGGGTGGGAAAGAGGGAGAATAGGGGAGAAAAGAAGGGGCCTCCATTGCAGATGCATCCCTCCCAAATCTCCCTCCCAAAGTCCCATGTCTCCAACCCCATCCCCATATTTAACGCCAGACCACTAGCTTGCCTCCTACTAATCCCCTTCACTGCCTCACCACCCCCAATTCCCAATGGCCTTGCCAGGCGTCCAATCCTTAGTGAAGAACAAGGCAGTGAGCTGCCTAATCAGCAGTCTGCATTTGGTGCACTTGATTAAACCTGCAAAGAAGCTCCTTCCATGCCTGTTCACCCTGACACCACCACCATCAGAGATGGCCCCCACCAGTGCTTTGGGGAGAGCAGTTCCTTTGGAGCTAGGGAGAGAGAGACTGCATGCACACCTCTGGCCTCAGCGGATGAATTCAGGCCCAGCCGATCCACCTGGATCCTGGATACTGGGAGAGCAATCAGCTGGGTCAAGCACTAAGAAGCAAGAGTACCCAACCAAGGACCAAGGACAGGATGGGCCTGATGAGCTGCTCTTTCTTGGCTGAGAGGAGAACTCCAAGTTTGAGCTCCTTGGGCTGTGGCAACAGAGATCACCTCCCCTGACAGACACTCACTCATGCCACTTTCAGTGGAACTTAAACTTAAGTCCCTAGAGTTAGCTGAGTCCCCACCCAAAAGCCTGTTTTATTTATTCATTTGTCTATCTGTACACAGGGTTTTGGCCCTGGGAACTTCTGAACTGATAAATCCCCTCATGGAGCCTTGACTTCCCTACAGGAAGACAGTGCGGTGTCTCCTGGTTGGTGGGGATACGGGCAGAGTGGCTGGCTTAAAGAAAGGAAAATGAGAATTAATTATGAAAGGAAGCATTGGGGCAACCCAATCTATGTAGAGGGCGGCATGTGAAGGGAGTAGGGGTGGGGAGGGGGCTGGGAATCAGACAAAGCCCAGCCCAGAAAGGGATGCACCCAGGGACACTAAAGATTTCCACATAGGAAAAATAAAAAACCAAAAGTCTTACCTTGAAAAACACTAGTGCCCAAACGGGTCTCCACGGCACCAAGCTTGCCCCTTAGATGCACCGAAGAGTGTGCTTCAGCAAAGGGGCAAATTGGCACCAGGAAGGGGTGGGGGATACATTCCATGCTAGGTACCCCCCTTCACCCGAAGAAATGCAAAGGGGGAGAGGGAGTTATGGTGGGCAAGAAAGGATATGGCCAATCGATGAGCTTCTTGGCATATTTCCTGACAATGTTATCTTCTCCGAAGATGAACAGGGATCTGTTGACGGTGAAACAGTTCTGCCGGACGGGAATGGGGTTGTACAAAGCCATAGTCCGCGCCCTCTGTGCTTTCGTCTGCTTGTAGGCGGCCGCCTGCCCCGAGGCCGGCACGGGGGTTCCTTGCCGGTTCCTGCTCTGGTCCGAGTCTCCATCGCCGGACCCTGGCCTGGCGACCACCGCCTCCCCGAAGCGAGCCATCCTGAGGTTTAAACAGACAGAAGACACACAAAGGTGATCGCGGCCGAACACCCGCACACAGCAACAAGCAGAAAGACACACGGAGACTCAGAGCCGCATCCAGACAAGCACGGGGACCACCGCCTCTGGGGAGCTCCGCGAGCTCTTCGGAGAGGCAGCAGCAGCAGCCCGCCGCTGTGAACTGTTGAATCTAAATGCAACCTCTGCGAAGCTCCATTCCTCAAGAAGGAAAAAAAAAAAAAAGAAAAAAGAAAAAAAAAGCGGGTGGTAGGGCTTGGGGGTGCCCAGTTTCTGGAGGAAAATATTTTTTTCAAAATGCCAGTGTGTGGTGGTGTTCAGGGACCAGAGAGGAGAGGGGTGGAGTAGGCTGCTCTTCAAACATAGCTCCTCTTCTGGCAGACGCACCACCTAGTTCAGGGAGAGAGGCAGGCACCGGCCCGCTAGGTAACAGTTTGGTGATTTATTGGTTGGGGGAAGGGGTGGGAAGGAGGGGAAAATGAAAACAAAAGAACTTTAAAAAAAAATAAACAAAGACGAGGACGGGGTTACGATGACATGCTTTATAACGCCAGCCCCTGCAAGTCCATCTAAGAAATTCCACCGCGAAGACTTGGGTCTTTATATCTGCCAGCAGAGACGCATCCAAAGGTTGGAGAAAGAGGGAGGGAGGTGGGGAGAGCGATATTGAGGTTCCTGCGTAAACCGCAATGCCCAAAATCTCAAAATAAGAAGTCGATCCAAGCGAAAAGGGACAAATGACTTCAAAGCTCCTGCGCTTGGGCTAGAAGTTGAGCAGCATCCAGAGAGCAGCGAAGCCTGAGTGCCAGCATCCGCCCGGAGCGCTCGCCACCGCCGCCTCCCCGGATCAGCATGCAACAGCGATCCGCGGCTGCGCCGCCGAGAGGGCGGGAGTGCGAGCGGGCGGGCGGCGAGCACCGGCGGGCGAGGAACAGGTTGCAGCCGAGCCTCGCGGCGGCCTGGCACCACACTTGTCCACAGACCGAACTTCCTCACTAACGGCTCAGTCTCCCTCTTCCCCGCAGGCAGCGCCCTCGGCGGAGCACTGGAGAAGATGCGGAAGGAGAATGGGGAGGCGAGGCAGAGGACAGCGAGCGGCGCGCAGAGGCGCAGCGAGGCGCGCAAGAGCGCTGGGAGAAGCGGGGGAGGAGCTGGCCAGGCGGGAGGGGCGGGGACGCAGCCGGAAGGCTGGAGGTTCCTGGAAGGTGAGGCTGGCTTGCCTTCTTGATTTATGTGGCCAAAGGGTAGCAGCCACCTCTGCAAAGGTCCAGTGAAGAGTCCCCTTTCCCCCAAGTAATGCCGAGAAGAGAGAGGCAGGTGCAGCCAGCGATGCGGCGGAGTCTCCGCAAGAGAGCGAGGGCCTGGCGTGGGGCGCACACGCACGCGCGTCTTGGGTCCCTGCAGAGAGGTGTCCCCAGTGCTGTGCCCTGTTCGGTGCCGGGAGCGGTGCCACGGGCCCGCCGCCGCCCTAGTAAGGTGTCGGGGCCTTTGCGCGCCTAGCGCCATGGCCGCGTCGCCGCTCCTCCGCACCTCCCAGGCTCCACGAACACGGCCAGGCATTTCCAAGTAGAGGGCAGAACCCTCTCCCCATCTCCCCACTTAGCACCTGGGAGGCCCCGTGGAGGAGGCTAGGACCTCTGGGGGTTCCACACTCTGCTGGTGGTGCTGGCTCCTGGCGGGAGCTTCTGCCCTCACGGGGCGGCCTCCCGGTTCCGCTGTAGGAAAGCCCTGCCCGACGTCTCCTGGAAGGGCCCTCCATGGTGAGTTATGGGCTAAAACTACCCTTCTCGAAATGCGAACAATCAGAAGGATCCTCCCGCCCCCCATCCTTTACTCCCAAATAAGCTCCACGGACTTTCTCAAACCCAACCCATTAATGTAGAAAAAAAAAAAAATAGAATTGGTATCTGAGCTGCAGAGGTGGGAAAGGTGGACTCCAAGCCCCAGGGAAAGAGCTCCTGTTTAGCCGCCAAGCCCTTCCCCACAGGTGACTGGTGGTTTGAACTGAGGGCAGGGACCAGCTGTCCCCTCCCATGTCCACACTAGCTGGGGCACACCGTCTTCTGTGTTTTCCTGCCTTGGCTCAACACATAGGCCTCTCCAAATCCTTCCAACCCGAACAATGGAAGGGAAGAAGGAAAGGAGGGGCTGAGGAAGGAAACAGACACTGACCAAAGCCCAGAGGTTGGAAACCATGGGTGAGTATGGCTTCACGCCTGTGAAGTGAGATTAACTGTTGAGAAGTGAGGTGATGTCTGAGTGCATGGCATGTGTGTTTCTACGGGTATGTGTCTGTCTGTGGGCAAGGCCCTGTGAGCACTGACATGTGTCTGTTGTGTGAGAATGTATGTGAGAGTGTGTGTGTGTGTGTGTGTGTGTGTGTGTGTGTGTAGGAAAATTCTCTACTGGAAATCCAAAGGAATGGTCTCAACATGTCCAGCCTGCTGCCCTTGGGGAAGGCATTTGACCTTTGGATTCAGGGGAGCCCATTTCAGGTGAAATTACTATTCAAGGTGAGTCAGCTGTAATTGTTACTTTGATTTCACATTACTGCCTTACTCTGTCCTTCCTCCTGCTTTAATCAGAGGGTCCTCTTCTGTCTGAATACCTAGTCAGTCGTGAAACGGAGGGAGGGTGGTGCTGTGAACCATGAAGTCCCATCAGCCAGTCACTTAGAACTAGTCCCAAGTGGCTATCTCGGTATCCCTGTAAACTACATAGGGTTAGAAAAAGGGCTTTCAGAAATTATTAAGTGTATGTCGCTCCTTTCAGACAGTACCATAATCCATAGCACAAAATTCATTCAAATCATTAGAGAAGTATCTTTGAGTCCCTTCCAGGTGCCAGGCACTGTTTTAGGCACTGAGGATACTATAATGAACAAGATGGGTGATGACATAAATCATGTAGCTTTTTACACTAGATTATACTAGATTGTATAACCTTGCAGGCCAGAAAGCTTCATGAACTTCACTCTCATGCTGTCACCTCACCCCTTTCCTTTGTGGTTCTGCCTCAGCAGGCTGGCGGCATACCTTCTCAATGCCCAGAATAAGCAGGGCTCACTAGCCTTTTACTTCCCAGACTTAGTTCTTGGAACATCAGAGATCCCCGACTTGTCTCTTCAGTGTTATCAGATGTCAGCAGAGATCCAGTATTCCACGTCCTGTATTCTCTTTGGCTGTTGTAATTCTTCAGAGACCTAGAATACTCAAGATGGGATACTACATGTGCAAATGCGACGACACACTGGAGTTGATATCTGCCTTCTTGCCTTCCAAGGAGACAGGAATCATAAATGCATAGGTTGGGAATTAATGTGGAATACCTTAGGGAGTTTCAGCACCTATGTGAGTTAAAAGGGATAATTCTTGGAGGGTGCAGCCAAAAAGGAAAGGGGCAAACATAATGGCATAAATGGCTTTGTGAAGAGACTTGGCCTAAGGGCAGCAGTGCTAGCAGGAAGACAGACTCTCATCTTCCACCCCCACCTGGCTGTCATAGCTCTTGAGAGCTTTGAGATCTATGAATTTCTATACTGGTTTCATACTCTCTAATCCCCCATTCTACCAGCCCCCAAGGCAGCTACAGTTGTTGTTTTTATTTTTTTTTATAGAGACGACGGTCTCACTATGTTGTCCTAGCTGGCAACTCCTAGGCTCAAGCAATCCACCTGCCTCAGCCTCCCAAAGTGCTAGCATGAGCCATTGCGCCCCGCCAGTGGCTACAATTTTAATGGTTGAATAATACATGTGTTTAATAGTTTTCAGTTTACATAAGCCCCACAGCTGAGCCTGACTCCAAACTTCTGAGGTGAGCCTGGTAACACATGTATCACGACCCTTGACAGACAAAGCAGCAGAGTTTCAGCAACGTTAAGCCGTTTGCCCACATCTGATAAGCGGCAGAGTGTGGACTTCTAACACATCTGACTTCCAATCTGCGGCTCTTTCTAAAACCCATGCTGCCCTTCAGGACAGCAATAGGGTAATTCTAAATTGTTTATCAAGAGAAGAAACTATACAATGACACTAAGCCTATGGAAATGCTATGCTTACCATCCTCAAATTGAATTTGATCAGAGGCCAAGTGTTCCTGGCACCATGCCCTCAATATCCAGGAGGATCCTCAGAAAAAGTTCATGACCAGAATACTGTAGTCATGCGGTATTGCATGACTTCATATGGGAATTTCTTCATATGGGAATTTGGTGGGCATTCTCCTTCCAGTGCCCCGAGTTCCACTGTCCTATTAAGGATCCACAAATGGAAATGTGGAAAATTAGCAATTAGTCATAACTCTGATTGGAAACCAGTCTGAAGACCATCTGAAAATCCCTTTCCAGTCTCAGAGGGACAGTAACTGTATTTTCCTGTTGTCAGAGCACCATCTACTGGTCACTGAGCACGAGTGCTTGGCAGCCCAGCACCCCATGCACCATGCCTCAGAGCTTAGATATTCCTAGGCTCTGACCTCTTGTCAACAGCCCTCTACTCCCCTATGGGACTTTGTTGAGGTACTAAATTTCACCACAATGCAGCCAGCCCATCTCACAGTAGTTGGAAAGTGCAGCCCCACACACACCCTCCCAAGTTAAGATGGGGTTACCAAATGCTCCACATGTTTTTCTGAAAGCAATGACCTGCAAAGTGGAAACCCAACAGGAGCTAAGGAAGCAAGTGGAAAACTTTCCTACTTTATAAAGCCCATGAAGACTATTACATTTCAAAGCATTTATCCTGCAGCCCCTCTACTGCAGTGTATCATCGAGCTGCAATCAGGTGTGAAGGGGACTGGTAGGTAGTCCCTCCAGCCTCTTCTGGAAAAGGCAGAAAACAAGGTGTCCACACTGCCCCAGATCAGGCAGCCTGTGGGAGTTTGTACTAAGACAGATGGACATGAGTGGCAAAGTTGGAGAAGCAGTTGGCCTATTACCCTCATTCTTAAGCTCTTCCCAGATCTGTCAGGCCTTGGGCCATCTTCATAAGAGATTTTTCACCCATCACTGAGAAGTCTGTGAATGTGGGCTTCATCCAAATGGCCTGTGCCCCTCCCACCAGGCCTGCTCCTTCATCTTCCCCCACCCTGCCAGTTACACTCAGATAGCTTATGCTTAAGTTATCAGAGCCCCTTTTGTTCTATTTTTCCTCCGTTGAGCTTTTCCAAGAAATAGACTCTTATGCAAAGCAGTGCTCTAAGGAACATAATGCAGAGAGGATTTGGGAGTGGGTTCTTAAGAAAAAAGTTGGCAGGAGACCATGTGCAAATGCATAGTGGAGCAGAGGAGCATTATGGCAATGCAGACATCTTGGGAGTCTGGTGGCTTTCACAATACCTCACAGCCCTTACTTGGGTGAAAACATAACTTCACATCCTTATGTAATGTCCGTCCCTAGAATCAGCATCTCTCAAACCTAAGCCTGAGAAGCCCCACACTCCAACATGCTATCAGCTAACCACAGGTCAGCAAAGTTGGTTTTAAAGTGTTTTAAAAACCATTCATTTATGACAACCCATCACTTCCTGGGTGCCAACCGTAATGTTTTCTCATTGCATCTTTGCAGAAGGACTGTGAGGCACATCCTGTTATCTGAACACCCAGAGAGTCAGGGACTTGTCCAAGTGCACAGAGCTAGGAAATAGCAGAGCTGGATCTCCTAATAATAAGGACAGGATTCTTCACAATATGTGACCATTATTAACATACTGCATGTCAAAATAATATTTTCCTTGCTTAAGAGTCAAGTTATAGGCAGGATCTTGAGCTTTAGAGAGGTAAGGCATGACCTTGAACCAGAGAGTCTCCCAGAGGGTTTAATTGTTAAGAATAATACCATTCTGCTCCACTGGGCTGTTGTGAAAATTAAGTTAGTTTATATGCATAAAGCTCTTAGATCAGTACCTTGCACACAATAAGTATGTGCTACGTAAGTACTTGTTATGTACATTTCACCTTCAGTAGCTGTGACCACGGTAACACACTGGAAACACTGCATGTCTACAGACTCTGTTTCTGAAAGCCAACTTCAGAAGTGCAGCCAGGGATGAACACACTCTGTTGTGCGGGGGATGGACAGAGGAGCAGAGACATGTAAGTGCCTGAGATCAGGTCAGAAAGAGGAATGGAGGAAAAAAGGAAAAAAAAATAGTAGAGACCAGTGTCTGGAGACCCAAAGGCCATGATACCTGAGAGAGCTGTGTGTTTGTTTACTTATTCATGAATTCATAAACCCATTTAACAAATACTCATTAATCCCCTTTGATGAGCCACACATTGTTCTCAGGGATTCTGGGGCTCAGAGATAAATTAGACACAGTCATAGCCTCTAAAAACTTACAGTTCAAAAGAGGAGAAGGGAAAACATACCCACAAAGGGCTCGAATACAAGGCGGGATGTGGAGTGCACCACAGGAGAGTACTGGGAGACAACAGAGCAGGGAGCCATCCCCTCCCACTGGAGGCAGCTGGAAAAGGGAAGAATACAAAAGAGATCTCTTTGAAGAGCTAGTTTATTGGAGGCATGGAGCAGCAGCCTGCAGCATGAATGTTTAGGATGTTTTGGGGGGTGGGGAGGGGGGCAGTACACAAGATGCATGGAGTTAATTAGTAAATCAGCATTTTTATTTTCTTTCAATGTATCTAGGATCACGAAGATTATAGCATTACCACTTCAAGCCTTTCTTTCCCATAAGATGAGGTCACCTTTCAGCCCAGAGAAAAGCCAAAAATATGCTTACCCTAATAGATATTAAGCTTTATTGGGAAAGTTGATTTGGAGGTTCGGAGTTTAGCCCCAGACAGCAAAGGATCCCATGCCCATCACTGTCTACCTCCCTTCCCACCCTCAGGGCCCAACCTTGCTGCTCAGCCAAGGCAAAGTGCAGCAGGAGGACTCAGCAGCGCCCCAGCTCCCACTGATGGGGGTGAGCAGAGGGTGAGAACAACCGGCAGGAGCACATCCATCCATCCACCCCCACGGCCTCTTGACTCAGAAAACACAACACAGCCCACACCTTGCAAAGCTCGTTCAGCCCGGGTGGGCTCAGGCCGATTGGTTCATTTAGCAGACATGCAGTGAGCACCTTCCACGTGTCAGGTATCATGTCAGGGGCTAGCCCAAAGGAGGCAGTGCCTAGGAGAAGGTGCCCAGGTTGGATTCGTGTCTTGCCTGGTCTTGATCCACTCCCTACATTTCACTCTTGAAGATAATGCCGCAGTAACAGAAAATGCAGCTCACAGCTGCAGTCAAGCCTAAAGGGGCCCTGAAGGCCCAGAGAAAGAGAATAAGATTCCACTGCACCCACCAATCCTGCCTCTCCAAGAACCCTTTGTGTTGGAATCATCAGCAGATTAAGCCACCACCTGTCCATCACCACACCCTCTCTCTCCCACTCTCTCCTACACTGAGCAGCTGGTTACACCCACCTAGTATAAAATAATCAAAGGGAAGAAGGCATTCCCATATGATATGGACTTAAGGCCAGTTTTGAAATATATACCTGGGCAGGCCATTTACTAGCTCTGCCCCTTCCACTCCACAGAAATTGCTCTAAGACTACCACTGAACCCCTGATGGTCCCTTTTTTTACCCTCCTACTTGACCACTCTGCAGCATTTGACACCACTGACCTCCCCCTCTCCTCAGAGGTCATCGTTCTTGGCATCCCAGCCACCACATCTCCCAGTTTCTCACCGTTTCCTTCTCTTCCTCTTACTGCTCTCACCTGTAGGGCACCCATGGGTCTGTCCCCAACCCCTTTCCTCTGTCTGACTTCTCTCCCTTCAAGATTATATCCTTACCTGCCATTTCAACTACCCCCTCCACACCACATCTAGCTCCTAGACCTCACCTTTCGCCTCATTTCCAGACCCAGGTGTCCAATGAAGTTAGGGGTAGCTGCATATGGATTGTCCCTCATCCCCAGACTCAATATGTGTAAAAGTGACGTCATTGTAAATCCTTCAAAGCAAGCTCCCCCTCCCAAAATGCCAGTTGCTATGCATGTTACATTGTCATCACTTCGGTGGCTCCCCACTGCCTATAAAATGGCCAGACACCTTAGCCTGACAATTCAAGGCAATCAGAATTCAACCTATCTTTCCAACACTATCTCCTCACGTACCATAGTATGAGGTACATAAACAAACGTGTCATGCCCATTCCTGCCTCAAAGCCCTGCTCACAGCGCCTGCTTCACACTGCCCCAAAAATATTCTTCCTCTTTTCTGCTTCTCCCACTCCTAGGCATCCTTCTATGCATGGTCCAGTTCAAATCTGCTCTCCCACAAAGCCTTTCATAATCTCTCCAACACTGACCTGTACCTCCTATAAACTCACAGAATTTCTGTATCGTTCATAGTACTGTTTTATCACTGATATTGTCATAACTGTAACTTTGCCATTATATTCATATTTAGTTTTTCAATTATGTATGCCTTGTCTCCTCAACTATGGTGTAAGCTTCTCAGGAGTAGAGGACATATCTTTCTCTTTGTTCTTTTACCTAGAGTGCCTGCATTATGTTATCCTCATAGCAAGCCTTTGCAAAATAAATTGTCACTGAATGCATGGATCTCCTGCAACTGTTATTGGTGAAAAAGAGCTTGGGCATCAATCAGGTATCTGGGCCCTGTCTGAGGAGCTACCCTTCCCCTAACACATTCTAGCTCTGACTAGAAGCCTCTCTCTGCTGCCAGGTGTTCCCAGCTGTTTCTTGTGAGTTGAGTGGACATCAACCCAGATGATATAAACAGGAATAAATATATATCAAAAAGGGGTATTTACTTCCCTTGTAGGAAATTAAGTGCCTCTAACTCAGGGGTAACTTCTCCAGCACACTAACTGCCCAAGCACCATCTTATCAATCATTAAACAATAGGGTTCATTGTCTTATGAGGAATATTTCTTGCTCTTAGAAACGGAGTTGAAATAAGATCTGGGGAATCAGTTATTAAAAGGAAACAGCTCCCCACCTAAAGAATATTTTGAGATCCCTTTCCACAGAAAATTAAACATAAGATAATAAAGTCCTGCTTCAAAAAAAACCCATATCAACTACAGTATTAATTCGTTCTATCTCTTCTTTACAAAAAGGCAAATGTCATCATGCCTATTTCTCTTATGAAGAATTACATATGAAAATGACACACACGTTTGCAAAGACATGCACTAGATTCTGATGTGATCTCACGTTCTGCCAGCCAAGTGTACAAACATGCAGGTTATCTTCCCATGCTACGGGAAGTTTTCAGACAGGCTTAATACAGTACATTCAAATGTGAAGAATTACAGGCTCTTTTGCAGGTTTCTGAATATTCCTAATGTGCAGTTTACAAATTGGAAAGGTGGAAATGTAATTCTCAATCAAGAGAGAATTTCTGAAATCCTCCTAACACCACTGACAAGCCAACTCCTTGGACACACACATATACATGCACTCAAGATTTAGCTTTTTCCTTTAAAGGCTTGTATTTTTTCACAAAACCACCCCATCACTGGATCATATTTTTCAATAATATTCTTCCATATGTAGTCAAGTATTAATAGAATAATTCAAAGTTTCCAGTTATGCTACTTTCCTTTGTTTAAATAATCTCTATTTTCATATTGCAAATTCTGGAGCTGTAAAAAAAAGAAAAATGGACATGGATCAAACAAATAAAGAATAATTACAAAGAAAAGTATAGGTGATGCTGTTTATAATATTATTTGTCCTAGGTATTAAATACTTACAATGTGCAAGGCTCCATGCTAACCAGATTCACTTTCCTTATTTCTCAAAATAAGCCCATGTGGCAAGTGCTATTATAAACCCCATTTTACAGGAAGAGAAGCAAGACTGAAAGGAACTAAGTAACTTCCCTGATGGTCACATAGGTGGTGGGTGACATAGCAAAAGATCAATCCTAGGTCACCCTGACTTCAAAACCCATTATCTTAGCCACTTTAATTCATCTCGCTGATATCATTAATAGAAATTTGAGCTAGAGAATAGAGATTTCATGATGATTCTACAGTTCCAAGAGGCAAGAATATATCCAGACTCTACAGATGGTGCCGAAGGGCCTCAGAATAAATGAGTTATCAGGGTGGAAACAACACCAGGAGGCTTGCACCTCAGTCCTGGTTGGGTTTATATCCTTACATGCAAAAATGGCAAAAGTAGTACCTGCCCTCTGAATCGCATGGGGCTACTGATAAACCAAATGTGATGATACATTCGTAGCCCAACCTGCTCCTCCTACTGCTGCTGTCATTTTGCATTGCAATATCCCAGAGCAACAGGAGTCAGATCAAGAACTGAGTGCTAATTCAAAAATTATTTCAACCCTTCAAAACTCTCAAAATTCAAAGGGTATGCTATTGCCCATAATTTATGCATAATTAGCATGGTTTTACACCATTTACTTGTTTTTCAATGAATGGCTAAGTCTATCCAAAATGTCCCAACCCTGAGCTCCCTGGTAGGCCAGCCTCAGTTAGCTATCTGCAAAAGGTATCAGCCAAACTCTGGAGAGGTCAGTAAGGGAGTTCAGGGAGCAAGGGGGAAGGATAGTTGTTCAGTCATAGAAAACAAGGGTCTGCTGCACCGGCGATACAAATACTATGCGGTGTTCAGCAAATCAAAGGGTAGCACTGTTCCTACCATTCAGGAACATCGATCCTGATCATTAGTTCTGGCTTTAATTTTTTTTCACAAATACTTCTGCTGCCAGCCCATGCCACTAAAGGACTCAGCGAATTTAAATCCTCCTGCATCTCAACTAGTTTTCCTGCCTGCACTCCAGCAGGTAAAACACCCACAGACTCACAGTGCTCTGGGCTGTAGAATTCACAGGAGTCTATAATGTTCAGGTTATTTTTAAACTTTCAGGCCACTCTCCCTCCCCATGAACAGCAGGCCTGCCATTTAGAACGGTGTTTAACCCACACCCCACCTGCTTTGAAACTTCAGCTTTTTGTGTTAAAAGAAGCAATACCTCAAGTGCGCGCGCACACACACGCACGCGTGCATCTAAAACCTGAAGACAGTCACCAGCTCACTGGGGCTGAAAGACCCAGCTCACAGAATGATGTTGAGATGGTAGAGATGTGTATTAAAATGCTTTGTAAACTCGGTGTCATGCCACTGTAGGTGGTATTACTATTATATTTACAGGTACAGATACCAGGCATTATAGGTGATGTCAAAAGACAACTTCCTTTTTTAAAAAATAAATTTTATTGTGTACATTTGAGATTTACAACAGGATGTTATCGGATACATATAGATAGTAAGATGGTTACTACAGTGAAGAAGATTAACATCCATTATCTCACATAGTTACTTTTTTTGTAACAAGAGCAGCTGATATCTACTTATTTAACACAAGTCTCTAATACAATACAATTTTATTAATTTTATTCCACATGCCCCACATTAGATCTCTAGACTCATTCATCCTACATACCTACTTTGTATCCTTTGACCTACGTCTCCCTACTTCCTCCTCCAGTCCCCACCCCCCACCCACTGGTGCTAACCACTGTTTCATTCCCTTTTTCATTCTACATATGTGAGATCATGCTGTGTGTATTTCACTTAGCATAATGTCCTCCAGGTCCATCCATGTTGGGGCAAATGGCAGGATCTACTTCTTTTTTACAGCAGAATAAAAATCCATTGTGTGTGTGTGTCTACATACACCACATTTTCTTTATCCATTCATCCATCGATGAACATTTTGTTTTTTCCATATCCTAGTTATTGTAAATAATGCTGCAATGAACATGAGGGTGCAGATACCTTTATGAGGTGGTGATATCAGAAAAGGGATTACTTTCACTGAGGGTGAAAGACCCAGTTTACAGAATGATACTGAGATTGTTGATATGTATGAAAATTCTTTGTAAACACAGAGTGTCACACCACTGTGGGTGGTATTATTGTTATATTTGCAGGGACAGACACCAGGCATTATAGATGATGTAAAAAAACAAACTTATTTCCAAAAGGGAATTATATCACTATAATCAAAGCATTCACGGCCCTTTATTTCCCCAAGAGCCGCACAGAAGTTGGCTAAGAGGTGTTAGGTTATAATTTTCTTCAAATTAATTACATTTTTTTCTTAATTGAAAAACATTGGGAGAAAAGGGAAAGAAATTCTGAAAGCAACTCAACCAAAAGAGTATTAAGTTAAAAAAAAAATCAAAGAAACTCTTCAAAGCAGCAACAGTAACCAACATCTGTGGAAGGCTGAAGCACTATATATGTGTTGCCTCGTTGATCTGCACAAGAATCCTACAACATAGGTATGGTTAGCTTCAACCATTTCCCAAATAAGGCGAATAAAGATCAGAGAAACTAAGTTCCTACACTAAGATCACACAGAACTACACTTGGAGCCTGGGCCTGCCAAATGCCAGAGACTACATCTTACTACTGCCCTTTGCTATGGTTTGAATGTTTGCATCACCTTCAAATTTCATGTTAAAACTTAATCCCCAATGCAGAAGTATTAAGAGGTAAAGTCTTTAGGACATGATTAAGCCATCAGGGCTAATCTTATGGATGGGATTAGTGTTTTATAAAAGGGCTGGAGAGAAGTAGCTAGGCCCTTTTTGTCCATCAGCTGTCTGCCATGTGAGGATACTGCCATCAGCTACTCTGGAGGAAGCAGCATTCAAGAAAGCAGAGACCGTGTCCTCGACAGACATTTAACCTGCCAGCACTTTGATCTTTGACTTCCCAGGCTCCGTAACTGTGAGAAATAAGTTTATGCTGTTTATAAATTACCCGTTCTAGAGTATTTTGTTATAGGAGCAAAAACAGACCAAGACAACCTTATTGCAAGAGACAAGCTGAAGGAGAAATTGTAGCCTGGAACTTAAGACTAGTTGAGGAGAGTTTCAAGGGCCTAGCGTAGAAGAGCAGGGGGTCACTCAGGACTTGATAAGAGCCAAGCAGTAGGCCCAAAGCTTCCTCCAAGCCATGGCCAAAGGTGAAAAGATAAAAAGTCCCTTTACCTGGGAACTGTAGGCTTTGTGTGAACTACAGATCCCCACATAGCCACTTGGCCATCAAGGCTATGGGGAACAAGATGGCACAGACAAAAATCAATCATAGAAGGTCCCCAAATGTCCTCTCCTTGGTTATATACCTCTCAGGGGAAAAGGCATTGTTGCCACAGTGCCCTAGGAACCTATTAGAAAATAAATCAAGGCCAGATGTGGCAGTTCACGCCTGTAATCCCAGCACTTTGGGAAGCCGAGATGGGAGGATCACCCAAAGCCAGGAGTTTGAGATCAGCCTGGGCAACATAGAGAGAATAGAGAACATAGAGAACATAGAGAATCTGCCTCTACAAGAAATAAAAATAAAAATAAATTAGCCAAGTGTTTTGGCACATGCCTATAATCCCAGCTACTCAAGAGGCTGAGATGGGAGGAATGCTTGAACCCAGGAGTTCAAGGCTGCAGTGAGCTGTGATCACAGCACTACACTCCAACCTGGGTGACAGAGATCCTATCTATAAAAAAAAAAATATTTTAGAGACTCCATCTCTAAAAAAAATTAAAATAAATCAAGCAGCTCGCTCACGCTCACTTGTGTGCTCTCGTGCTCTCTCTCTCGCTTTCTTGCTCTCTTTCTTTCTCTCACGCTCTCTCTCTCTCACTCTCTCTCTCTCACTCTCTCTCTCTGTAAATCTTTTAACCAAAACTCCTAACATGCAGGAGGGATGACTCACTGGAAAGCCTCCTCCACTCCCCCTCCCTCCTCACCCTCTGGCTGAAGCACTAAGAAGTGATAACATGATAAGGTGGCTCAACACTTTTACAGCTAAATATGTTCCAGGGAATTTTTTCACCCCAAAGTCTGTTTCCCTGGAGGCTATTAGGGTGTGCACACATTCTTATATATTGGGACTCAGCATGAATTGGCTTTCCTCTTCCTGCCTCCCTCAGGAGCATTTCCAAACTCCTCCTTCTACCTCCCTAACTGCTCCTTCATCTTCTTCACCTTTCCTTCTCCTGCCTCCTAAATGTGAACATTCCTCAGATCCCGGTGTCTGCCTTCTTCACTATGTATGCACTCTCTCAGTGATCTCATCCATATGGATGGCTTCAAATAAAGCTAATATCCAGAAGACTTCCAAACCTTTATCTTCGGCTCTGTTTTTTGTTGGTTTTTGTTTTTGTTGTTGTCTGGTACTATATTCACCATGGCTCAAATGGGCACCTCCACCTGGATGACCTGACAGCACCATGAATCAGTTTGTTTAAAAGCAAACTCATCCTCTTTCTCTACAAACCAGCTCCCTCCTAGGTCTCTAATGCTGTTTGCAGCATTGCAGTCTCCCCCTAACTCGGGCACAAAACTTTGGCTGCATCCTTGACTCCAACTCCCACAACAAGCATTCCCCAAGCCCTGTCATTTTTCTCTCTATGCCACAGTCACAGTCTTCCTGTCCTTGCCATTTGCACCACCACCCCTCGAGTCAGTATTACCTTCCATTCAGGAGATGGGCAGAGTCTCCTCATCCATCTTCCTCTTCCAGGTTCTACCACAAAAATTCATTGCACAGCTCAACTCTGACCCTATCTCACCTTTCAGTGCAATAAAATTGAAGCGCTTGTACAATGTTGTATCCCCAATGCCTAGAACAGTATCTGGTTAAAAAAAAAATTTTAATAAATTTTTTGTTGTTGTTGAATGAATGAATGAGTTTTCTAGTGCCTATCAAATATAACTATCCAATCATAAGATCTTATCATCTTAGGGTTGAAAGAAAACTTAAATGTCATCCAGTCTAAGTCCTTATTACCTGCCATTATGCTCCTAGCAATATCTCCTACTACTGCTCCAATGAAGCAGGACTGTTAACCCTTCCCTGAGAACACCTTGTAATTGACCTCCTCCATATCATTTCTCATTTTCTTTCTCCCTTCCTTACCCCTTCTTCCATAGCCACCTGCCAAAAAATTATTTAGACTTAAAAGCCCAGCCCATATGCTACCTCCCTTATGAAGCAATTTGTGGTCATATGACAAAAGTGATCTCTCTCTCCTCTGAGTACTGCTGGCACTTTATGTCACCCTGCCTCAGATACTGTGGTGTACACATCTTGGCTCCCCACTATACTACAAGGGGCTTGGCTCATTCATCTTTGCATTCTCCATAGTAACTAATGCACTGCCTTATGTCTAGTGGACTCTGAATACATGTTTATTAAATGAATGAATAAATGCATAAATAAATGAATGGAAACTATAAACAAAGCCAAATGGACACAAGCAGGACATGGACTCCTTAGGATCTGCACCATGTTGGGAAGGTGCTGTGGGAGAAGCTACAGCTGATAAAACCATTCTGGAGACAATCAGTTCAGCTCAAGGAAGCCTGTCCTCAACCTTCCCTTCACAGGTGCAAGTGCAACTCGCAAACCTAACATGACAAGACCAATGACCCAATGCGTGGAGGCAGACACAGTGGTCACCGTGAACCTGCAAAGCTCACATCTCGAGTACAATATTTTGTTCTTTGGTAGAAAATTGGGGAACATTTTCAACTAATTTCATTTCCTCCATGTATCTAGAGATGTGATGTGGGTTGAAGTGCTCTCTGTTAGACAGATGGGTAATAACCTAATCTAGCCACACACATCAACCTCTTCTTCTAACCCCTCCATGTTGCAGATAAGAAAAGACATGTAGAGAAGGGTGTCTTAAGCTCAGCATTATTGGCATTTCTGAGTCACATAATTCTTTGTCATAGGGGATGCCCTTGCACTGTAGGATATTCAGCAGCATCCCTGGCCTGTAGCCACTAGACACCAGATATACTTCCCCCACTCAGCTGTGACAATCAAAAATGTTTCCAAACATTGCTAAATGACCCTTGGGGCCCAAATCACCTCCCAGTTGAGACTCCTGGTGTAGAATAATTAAATAGATTGCTCTAGCTCATAGGACTCATCAACATCATGACCAGGAATGCAGGAACCCCAGTGGAATGCATTTGCCTCACTATGTACACTTTCATTTTCTCCCTCATATCTAGTAAGTCACAGCCTTTGAGAGTTGGAGTGAACTCAGAGCTGCACCTCTATTTTTCTGATGGTCTCATAGGCCTGCACAGGGCTCCATGCCTTAAGATAAAAGAAACTGAAGGGACAGCAGAGTCTGAAGGGACAACCCAAGCTGAAAAGAAAAAGTGACCTCAACCTGACATAATCAGCTTAAGGCTTATCAACTAGATTTCAAATAAATAGGATTTCTCCTGACACTTTGGATCCTAAGAAATTTGGTCACAAGCCCTGCAAAACAATGTTTCCCCCTCAAATCAGCTATGTCTGCAGTGAAAACTCCTACACTCATGCTTTCAACTCAACCCTGTGTACCCTCATCCCCTGCTTTTCATTCTGTTTTCTTTCCCTTCTTATTTATAAAGCTACAAGAAAGCTTGAATCCTTCAGCTTCTCTGGTCAACAACACCCTTTGAAAGCTTTTCTTCTAGAATTTGTCTTCACTAGAATTTGAGAACCATCTCCTTGCTTTCTGAATCTGATCTTTCGTTTCCTAAAAAGGCTCGATCACTTCAGGCAAGATATTTTTGGGAGCTGCTGGTAAGGACTTACCAATGATCACTTTTCTAAGTGAACTGCCATTAGCTAAGCACTCACGTACCATCTGAGGGGGCAGAAAGTAATTGCCCATTAATGCACTGCTGTTTCTCACCCACTTCCTTCCTCAAATCTTCCCCTGTGCTGTGTCCGGCACTCTTACTAACCTCTCCATTAGGAACATCTAGTTTCAAGTCTTAGAAGACTGTGTGTATTTCCCAGGGACTATTTTATGCTTTCCTATTTTATTCTCTTTGTAAAAGTCATTCAAGGATTCAGTACTAGAAAGATGGCAGAATAAGAAAATCTCTTGCTACACATTTCTAGAAAAACTGATAAAGTACAGAAATATATTTTCAAATATATTTGAAAAGATATATTGCTGAACTTGAAAGATATAAAAGGAAATCCCTAGGAGGAATTGAAATACAAAGGAGGAAGCGTGTGAATTGAAATTGCAGCTGTCCCATAGGCAGTAACTAGTCCTGGTAACAAAGATTTAATGGGTTGGGTTTTTTATGTGTTTTGTTTTGTTTTGCTTTGCTTTGCTTTGTTTTATTTTTTGTTTTGTTTAAGACAGAGTCTCGCTCTTTCACCCAAGCTGGAGTACAGTGGCCCCATCTCAGTTCACTGCAACCACCACCTCCCAAACTCAAGCGATTCTCATGTCTCAGCCTCCTGAGTAGCTGGGACCACAGGCACACGCCACCCACACAAGGCTTAATTTTTTTTTTTTTTTAAGTAGAAATATGGTTTTGCCATGTTGGCCAGGCTGTTCTCAAACTCCTGGCTTCAAGTGATCCACCAGCCTTGGCCTCCCAAAGTGCTGGGATTATAGGCATGAGCCACCATGCCCAGCCTAATGGGTAAGTTTTAATGTCCACTCAAGAGAAGTGATAAGGTCTTTAGACCTTATGTGGACAGAAGTTGGAACTAAGATTCTGCGCTAAGCTATAACCCTTAAAGAACTGTACCTTCAGTTAAATAAACTGCATGAAAATCAACTCTACAGCAAAAATAGATAACAAGGAAGCTTCTGTCTCTGAGTGAATGAGAAAAAGCAAAACCCTGAGAAATCAAAACTCAGGATTGTGTGTGACATGGATTTATGGGCTGAATTTACATGTTCAGCGGGATTCAGGAACACTTAGGCCAAGAAAATAACACCCCTGGGTCAAGTAAGAAAACCAAACAAAACTACTCTATTAGGCTACTCTCACAATCCTGAGTACACTGCATTTCCATGGGGAAAACAAGCACTACTAAACATGACTTGTAATCAAAATTTTTGAAGCACACAAGGAAATAATCAGCATAAGGATAAGTTAGCTAATACAAAGAACAAGAAGATTAAAGCTCCAGTACTTGAAATAATAGAAAAGATATGTAAAGAAATAAAATAATAGAATGCAATGAAATGAAAAAAAGATAATTTGAAAAAGTGGCAAATACAAAATTTCTTGTAATAAAATATATAATCATTGAAATTAAAGGCAATAGATAGGTTAACTATTAGATTATATATAACTAAGGAGAGTGTCAGTAAACAGGAAAACACATATGAGGAAACTCCACAGTATACAGCCCAGGGAGATAAAAATAGAGAAAATATGATTAAAGTTAACAGACATGGAAGACAGAATGAAGAGACCCAAAATATATCTAATGGGACTTCTATAAAGAGATCATAGAGACTGCAGAAAGACAATATTTGAAGATCTGTAGGATAAATTTTCTAGTATTGATGAAAGATATAAATCCTCCAAGTCAAGAAATTCAATGAATTCTAAGGAGGATAAATAAAAATAAATTCAACCTATACACACATATTCTAGTGAAATATCAAAAGATCCAAAAATATGAAGGAAAAAATCTTAAAAGCATCCTGAGAGGAAAGACAGATTACCTACAAGAAGCAGCAATTAGATTATTAATTATAATAATAGAGGCCAGGCCAGAAAGTGATAGAATAATATCATCAAGTGTTGAAAATAGCTAAATTATGACTCGAAATAAAGACTTTTCCAGGAAAATAGAGAGTTTACTATACAAGTTCAGGGGAAATAAGTACTATAAGACATTTCTTGGGGAGGAAATTTAAATGGAAGAAAAGAATGGTCTGCAAGAAAATGGTGTGAGGAGCAAAAGATATTAGTGGATATAATGACAATTTTATTTATATATATATAATGTCTAATTTATGAATACATACACAAAAAAGGAACTAAATTACTAATCAACAATGCCACGTAAAGTGGGCAGGATGGTCAGAGGTAAGGTGGTGTTCACAGGGAACACGGACTAAGTCAAGACATAGCTGTAAAGTGAAGTATCAGTCTAGGACACCCACTGAAACTCTTTCTATTCAGTATTGGACTTGAAGTACTGGTTAATGTAATAAGTAAAGAAAAAGAAAGAAAAGGCATATGGATTATAAAGGAAAAAACAAAGTTATCATTATTCACAGGTGATGCTGCCTGCATCCAAAATATAAGAGTTGCCTACAAAAAAAAAAAAAAAGCCACTCACAGTAGTAAGAGAATTCTACAAAGATGGTGGACATGAAATCAGTGTACAAAAGTACAAGTTCTGGTACACCTAAAACAAAGACTCAGAAAAAGTAATGATAAGAAGACACCATGCAAAAGCAACAAAACCATAAGGTACCTAAAAACAAACCCAATTAAAGATGTAAAGAAAAATTTTCAACTCTCTTGAGGGACTTTAAGAAAGCTCTAAACATAAGAAGAAATAAGTCATGCCCAGGGACTAAAAAAAAAACAAAAAACGAAGTAGCTTAAATATGGCAAGGCTCCCTTAGGTTAATCTATCCATTTATTCCATTTCAATTAAAATCTAATCTTTTTAGTGAAATGTGACAAGGTGATCCTAAAAATCATATGATGAATAAAGAGCCAATAGCCAAGACAATTTGGGGAGAATTAATATACCAAAACTACAAAGTTATAAAAACTAAATTAGTGAGACATGGGTGAGAGGGATATACAAATAGACCAGTGGAATAAAATAAAGTGCCCAGAAACAGCAGATAAGAATTGCCTACTCACTAAATGGTGTTGAGTCAAAGGACTAATCATAGCAGAGAAAAAATAGATAAAATTAGAGCCCACCTCACACTATACACAAAAATTAATTCCAGATAGATTAAAAGAGCCAAATGTGATATGCAAAACTGTAAAAAATGTTATTTAAAAAATATAAATGACTTCTTTTTTATCTCAGTATGTGGAAGGAATTTTTTAATGAGAGAAGATGAACAAAAATCATCAAAAAAATGCAGATACATTTTACCACACTAAAATTAATAACTCTGTATGACAAAAAGCACCATAAACAAAGTGAAAAAGACAAGTCATGTGGGGGAGAAGATACTGACAACTCACGAATTCTATCTAGAACATATACAAGATTCTCAGAAATCATAAGAAAAACACATACTACCTCATAGAAATATGGGCAGAGGATAGGAATCTACAGTTCACACAAGAGGAAATCCAAATGGCCAACAAACATATGTTCAGTGCTCAATTTCATTAGTAATCAGGGAAAGTGCAATTAATGCAATAATTGGATTCCATTTCACACCCATCAGATTGGCACACTTTAATAATTCTGAACATCTCAAGTGATGTTGAAGATATATAGAAATGGGAGTGCTGCATATGATATGCAGAGTGGAAATGACACATTCACTCTGAAAAGCAATGTGTTAGATAATACAGTAGTCCCCACCTTATCCACAGTTTCACTTTCCATTACCCTCAGTCAACCAGAGTCCAAAAATATTAAGATAATTTTAGAGAGGGAGAGAGAGCCCATATAAGTTATGTGAATAGCTTTCATTACAGTATATCACATAATTGTTCTATTTTATTAATAGTTATTATTCATCTCTTCCTGTGTCTAATTTATAAATTAAACTTTATCATAGGTATGTATGTGTAGGAAAAATATAGCATTTATAAGATTTGATACTATCCACAGTTTGAGGCATCCACTGGGGGTCTTATCCCCTGCAGATAAGGGGGAACTACTGTACCTAATAAAAGTTGGAAATGTGTATTCCTAAACTCAGCAATTCCACTTTTAGGTATCTTTCCCAGAGAAAATCTCACACATGCACCCAAGAGACATGGACAAGATGATCATTTTATCTGTAATAACAAAAAATTATAGCAACCTAGCCTCCCCTCAGAAGGGAAGCGAATTAAGAACCTGTGATTTATTTATACAATGGAGTTCTATGCAGAAAGTGAAATAATGAACTCAGTATGCATGTAATAATACTGGTAAATCTTAAAAACAAATGTTCATTTTGCTGCAAAAGGACACATTCTATGTATCACGTAAATAAAACTTTAAAACTCAAAAAATTCATATACATGCTTTTTCATAAATGCACATGTAGTAAAATTACAAAAATGCACATGGTAATGAAATATCAATCTCAGAGGAGTGATGACTTCCGGAGCAAGGAACAAAGAATGAGCATACAAAATGCATCTGTAACATTGTATTTATTTGAAAATGGGAGAGGGATGAAGCAAATATGGCAAATATTATTATGTATTTAATCTTGGTAGTGGGTACGTGGGTGTCTCTTGTTTTCTATACAAATGTTCGAAATATATCATAATTAAACTGTGTTTAGGAGAAGTTCAAGAGACATTCTTACTAACTGAAATACCCAGAGTTGGCAAAGATGAGTGCAATCTCATTCACTGTGGGTGAGGTTGGAATTAGCACAACCTTTCCTGAAGGAGGTAGGGCAATACTTCTCAAGAGTCATAAATATGTGCACAGCCTATGCCCCAATAATTCTAATCCTAGGAATTTCTCCTTATCAGGTCATTAGACTTGCACATGAAGATGCATTTATAAAACTGGTCATTGGATTGTTCATTTGAATATTAAAAACTACAATCTTTTTGTATTGTAAGTGAAAAACAATAAGGAACTTGTTATCAAATCATAAGAATCACATAAGAGAATTCTTGCAATTATTCAAAATCACATGGTAAAACTATATTTAATGACACAGTACACTGTTCATAATATATTATTAATCAGTAAAGCTGGTTACAAAAGCAAGATGTGCACCCTATAATCCCCATTAGTATAATAAGCTGTATGTGGGTATATGTATGTGTGTGAATATACATACAGGTATGTGTGTAGGGAAAAAAAAGCCTAGAAGGATATTTATCCATTATTAACGATCAGTTGTACATGATGGCATTACGGATAATTTTCATTTTCTTCCATATGCTTTTCCATATTTTCTATAACAAATGTAAAATACTTTTGTAATTTCCCAAAAAAAAAAAAATCTAAGATGGGCCTGAGATTCATATGAGTTGTTCACATCAGCCACCCTCAGAAATTGATGATTTATTCTGCAAGAGCTGGTATTTTTGGTTGAGCAAGTGAAGAAGACAGCATCAAGGGGAAAAATGCCCCAGAGTTTGATTGCAGAGGGAAGGCACAACTGCCTGAAGTATTAGAAACTATCATCTATAAAATGGATTGAACAACACTTTTTTTTTTTTTTTTTTTTTTGAGATGGAGTCTTGCTCTGTCGCCCAGGCTGGAGTGCAGTGGTGCAATCTCGGCTCACTGCAAGCTCCGCCTCCCAAGTTGATGCCATTCTCCTGCCTCAGCCTCCCGAGTAGCTGGGTCTACAGGCGCCCGCCACCACGCCCGGCTAATTTTTTGTATTTTTAGTAGAGAGGGGGTTTCACCGTGTTAGCCAGGATGGTCTCGATCTCCTGACCTCGTGATCCGCCCGCCTCGGCCTCCCAAAGTGCTGGGATTACAGGCGTGAGCCACTGCGCCCGGCCCAACACTTCTTTTAAACTATCTCACAGGGGTACTATCATAGTCATTCATAAACCGATACTGTTTTGACCCTCTCAAAAGAAAGGGCTCAGTTCTAGTCTCCTGAATAACTCCAGAGGAATGTTTTGTAATGATCTGTTACCTCCCTTAATGGCAAAAGCTCCAGTATCTCCAGGTTAAACTCTAGAAGGAAGTCTACCAGGTGAGGGCTAAGGTTGCACCCACCTCAATTCAATCCCCACCGTACTTCAGCTTCCCACAGGATTTATTTACTATGAGTGGAGTAAAGAGGGTATAAAGAGCATGTATCAGATATTTTATACACCCAAATCATTTAACTCTCACAACTCCAGGAAGTTAGTGTTAATTCCCATATTGCAGATGAGAAACTTAAAGGCCACATACCTAGAAACGGGTCAAACTAGAATTCAAACTCAGGGCTGGCAGAATCCAAGATTCAGACTCATCTTATTAAGCTAAATTAATTTTCATTAATGGAAGCAGTAGTACATTTTTAGCCATGCATCCCTTTCTGCAAAAGAAATACTACTCTAAGTGTAAATGAATTAAACAGATGAAGGCGGAGAGTTACTTGATTCAACTAGGAGCTGAACCCAAGCTCCTTCCTCCTGAGGGAACTCCATGGATGGGTTTGAATAAAAATGTCCTGAGGTTTCTGTAAAGGTCTTCAGTTCTCCCCAGCTGAAGTCTCTCTATGTTCAACAGGTGATGAAGGTCCTTGGTAGGTTGTAATTTGTTGTCTTGCTGAACCACATATTTGAATTTCAACCATAACAGCTGCTGTGCAAAGGTGTGGGTCCTGTTCCTGGCCCACTACCCAGTATGCTTCTCAGTACAGCCTTGTCTTATGGTTGCCCTTCACAAACACACAGGCTCATGACCACCACTGCTCCCACTCTGGTTCATGCCATCATCCATCTCTCCCCTGAACTGTGATAGTAGCCTGCCCACTGCTCATCCTGCCTTCCTTCAATCTATTCTCCAAACTGCAACCAGAGTCAGCTTTTTTAAAAGTCTAACAGACCATATCATTCTCCAGTTCAGTATTCTCTAATAACCTCCCCTAATTCTCAAAATGAAATGTAAATTCCTTATCATGTCCTACCAGGCCCTATATCAGCTGGTGCCTGCCTCTCCGTCTAAGTGTGGTTTCCCCCAGAAAGCAGAGCCTGAGGCAAGGGTTCAGGTGCCTTTATTAAGGTATGCAAACGCAAGGAAGCAGGAGTGAGGGAAAAGGGAAGTAAGGCAGGCAAGGAGGGAGAGCCAATATGATGGTGCATTACCTAGCTGGCCATTGGTAAAAGACAACTGTGCCTCAGGACAGTCCATCAGAAGACAGAGAAGAATTCATCTGCTCAATCTCTCACTGATCAAATGTTCATCACTCAGGGAGTTAATTTCCTCTCCACCTTCCAGTTGCCCAGGAGAGTCCTGTGCATCTCGTGAGTTGGTGTCAATAGGGAAGCTCCAGGGTAAGAGGTGGGAGGTACACCTTCATGAGGTGAAGTGCTGTCGGGTTTTACATGCATGGAGTTGGTCAGTCACTGCAGTGACAACTGGAACCTGAACAAGCAGCCAAAAGTCCCAGAAACAGTTGAGGCCACAAGGCTGTGACGTGGTGCAGGTAAGGTGTCTGGCACACTAACCCTCTGACTGTATCTTCCACGTCCTTCCCCATCGCTCCAGTCACAGGTGGAGTAGCTCCAGTGTTAGGCACAAGAGGGCATGGATGATGGAGTCTGAGGCATTACTATGACTGGTTTACTTGGCACTGGCCAGCGTGGGCAGCTTCTACAGAGGAATCCTCACAGAGTTCATGTGCTAGACACAACAACAAGCAAGGCTGGGAGCCATAGCTTCTCCCTACCTGAACATGTGTAAAGGGCAAGTTCCCTCAGAGCCTGCTGCCTGGTGCTGACTCAGCCCAAGTGCTCACCGGCTCACCTATCTCAACTGCCCTCCTTGAGGTTTCTCAAACATACCAATCTTGCTTCTGCCTTAGGGCATTAAGCTAGTTGTTCCCTGTACTGGGAATGTTGTTCCCTGTACTAGGAATGTTCTTCCCCATCCTCCCATAGTGGTTGCTTCCTGGCTTTCAGATCTCAGCTCACATGCTACCTTTGCAGAGCCTTCCTGGACCATCCACCCAGTCACAGTCTGTGACATCACCCCAGGTTAATCTTCCACTCTTTACTATCCTGTATTTTCTTGTCTATTTGTTATTGATCTATCTCAGATGAATGTAAGCTCCTTGAGAGCAGAGACTGTCAATATTGTTCACTGCTATCTCCCCATAGTTGGAACAGTACATAATATATAGTATGTAATCAATGGTTATTTCTTGAATATTTGTTGAATAAATGGATGGGTGGATGGATGGATGGATGGATGGATGGATGGATGGATGGATGGATGGGTAAATAAATGATTTAAAATGTATCATGTGAAAAGTAGCCATCAAATGTGATAGAAACCAAAGTGAAAGATAGAAAGGCAAACAATAATGCAGTGTGCCCAAATCACAGGAAACTTCACAAAAGTGAAGTCAAGGGCCCATACAAAAGTTTCTATATTCATAGGCATGGAGAGTCCCAGCTGCCAGATGCTTAGCTCATAGGTGTCAAGGGCATTCAGTTTATCTTCGTGTTTCTTGGAAGTGGCTTTTCACAGCTAAATCCTGCCTTGCTGTCTGCTGCCTTCTTTTCTCTTTCTAAGTGTTGATGGGACAAGTGTTCCCTTGCGGTTCTTGCCCAGACAAGGGTCCCATCTTAGTTCTGCCATAGCTCAATCTTGAAAGGGGCAGTCTATGCCTTGCCAGGCTTTTTCTGAAATGGCCGTAACAAAGGCAAATATTACACTTATTTCCTCCTCTGTTTTTGCCTTCTGGTGGGCATAGGAAACTGTGGGAAATGCAGAGGGGTAGGAATGGGGAGCCAGGTGGTGGTCTGTAACACCAGGAGTCCCCGAAGCACCAGCCTGAAGTCACCCATATCTTCTTCTGCCTCCGTGGCCTGCCAGCAAGATATTCCCACCCAACTGGAGACGACCCCTAGCCAGCTACCATGGCAACAACAGGACAAACTGGGGCATGAGAAATCATGACACACAGCATAAAAGAGCAGTTTGAAGAACAGGAATAGACTTTCTGGAAAACTGCTATAAAGGCAGGAAAAGGCACTGGAGAAGTGAGTGGAGGAGCCTCCAGCCGCTATGGGCGCTGGCTTACACACACAGATGGACTTAGACCTTGTGTGGAATCCATGCAGGCCAACATCCCCACCCACTCCCGGCCTCAAGGTTCTCCTTTTCATCCCTGCCCCATCTCCCACCTGTCCCTTCCCCCAGCATCCTGGAGAGGGACGATCCTGTCCCATAGTGGGAATGTACCAAGGTCTTAGAAATATCACCAGTTACTCTTTTTGTCATGCGCAAACCACATTGAGCTGAGACATTTTTCCTATTCCTGGCCTCAGACATTCGTTCAACTTCATCTATATGTTCAACTCCTGACTGGTGAGCAGGTAAGCACTTGGGCTGAGTCAGCACCAGGCAGTGGGCTCAGAGGGAACTTGCCCCTATGCACATTCCCTGCAGGTAGGGAGAAGCTATGGCTGCCAGCCCTGCTTGTTGTGCCTAGCACATGAAATCTGCTAGGCTCCCCCTGCAGAAGTTGTCCGAGCTGACCAGCACCAAGTAAGACCAGTCATAGTAATGTCTCAGACTCTGTCATCCATGCCCTCTTGTCACCAACGCGGGAGTCACTCCACTTGTAAGGAACAGTATGACAGTATTCCTTGGCTGACATTTTCTCCCTTCTCTGCAGCATGTCCTAAAAGCCCACCAATCTCATCTTCCTCCTTGTTTTGATGGACTGAATGTTTATGTTCACCCAAATTCATATGTTGAAATCCTAACCCCCCACGGGGATGGTATTAGGAGGTGGGGCCTTTGGGAAGTGATTAGGTCATAAGGGTGGAGCCCCCATGAATGAGATTAGTGCCCTTTTAAAAGAGGCCCCAAAGAGATCCTTTGCCCCTTACACCTTGTAAGGTTACAGTGGAAAGAAAGGTATCCATCAGGCAGAGGGCCCTTGCCAGACACCAAATCTACCAGTGCCTTGATCTTGGACTTCCCAGCCTCCAGAACTATAAAAAATAAATTTCTGTTGTTACAAGCCACTTACTTTGTGGTACTTTATTATAGAGGCTCACAGACTAAGACACTTATCTTTCAGTAGAAAAGTGAGCACAAGACCCCTTGACTTTTCTCAACAACATCTGAAATCTCAAACAGGCAGTCTTAAAGATTAAAATTACAATTTTTCCCTTTTCAAATCTCTAGGGAAAGACAGGTGGAGGAGGAAGGGAGAAAAAAGTCTTCTCCACCTCCAGCTGCCACATCCCACGGCCCCACAGCTAACACTGCAGGTAAATATTAGCTCCCATTGGAGCTGAAGAATACCAAAGACAGAGTGAGAGAGAGAGGGAGACAGAGAGGGTGAACATGAATTTCTGCTGCTTAGTGCCTTCCTGGCAGCGTGGGAAGCTGGTTGAATAAGCAAAATATGAGCTCTCAACTCCAGGCACATAAATAAGCTCAAACAGATCTACTGCTCTTAGCAGCCCCAGAGGGAGGCGTAAAAAAAGATGGCTCCCTTGGCCCCAACCCTCTCCATGACTTGCAGCCAGTCAGTTACTTGAAGCAAGGACTTCTTCCCCCTGAGGAGGAGGTATGGAAAGATTGAAGACACCAAGCAAAGGAGGTGGGTGTCTGAGTATGTGCCAAGGGAATACCTCAGATCACATGGAGGGTCGCAGAACAGGCACAGCCTCTCCTTACCCTCAGGCTCTTCACCCATAGTGAAACACAACTCCTCCTAGTCCAGAACACAGGAGTACCCCCTACAGACACAAATGGTATGTTCTCTAGGTTAATGGACTCTCTCATCTTGTCCTCTGTGACCTCCCCAGCCTCCTACTCACCTGCCCATCCCTCCTGCACTAATTTCCAGCCTTCCTGTGAGGCTGAACTCTTTTCAGTTTCCTCCTCACTCACTGGTACCATCAGCAATGATGCAGTCTCTCTCCAGAAGACCTTGACCATGACTCCAAATGGACCTGGTCCTTCTCCTCATCCTCCCTTCACCTCCCTCCAATTTCTTACCAGTTCTCCCTTCCCATTCCTGGGCTCAACATCCCTGAAACCAAATTCTTCTCCTCCAAACAGGCTCTCTTCCCATTTTAGTCAATGGTAACCATCCGAACCTCAGTCCCACAGGCATAGGCCACCAGTTCCTCCCTCTCCACCCAGTAAATGCATCCTGTTGAGCCTTCTTCCATTCCCTAAGTCCCCTCTGTGACGCATCTGGCACACTACTGCTCATGGGTCCTCCTCACAGAGCTAGGGACACATTCAAGGGCATGGCCTAGGGTGTAGGGCCCAGAAACGAGGCCAGAATGAGCAAAGACCATCTAACCCATTAATGAGTCTAAATTATGGTCAAGGATGAAAAAAAAGAAGTCAGAACTGGAGCTGAGTTACTGAGCATCAGATGCTCTTGTATGCCTGTTTTTGACCTTGCCTTGAGCAGATGAAAGACTAGTTCTGGAATACAAGGTGAACTGGGGCATTGATTCAGTGACTGGGGCAAGTAGTTCAGGACAGTGACCTGGTTAATTGAAAGGAGCCAAAGATCAGTTTTTATTGTGGTAACAACTGGGTGAATTTTTTACGAGCACAGCAGGTAAAAAGACAAGGCATCCAAACTTTTCTCCCTATTGCCCTGAACAGACCCTCCACACTTGCTCCCAAGGCTCTTCTCACGTTATCCTCTCAAGAGGAAGCCTCCCCAAACCTCTCCACATTATTGAATCCTCTCATCCTTCAATTCCTTATCAGTGTTTGTCCTTGTCCTTGGAGCTCTCCCTGAGCACTCCACTCCTCAAAAATTGCTCCTCCCCTTCACTCTGGACTTTTGTGCCCACCAGTGGTTGTCTTAGCTTTAGATTTCAAGGATGAGCCAAATTTCAAAAGAAACCAATATAATGTGGCCAACTTTCTATTTTTTTAAGTATGGGCTTTCAACCACCACTATTTATGCTCCAACATCTCATAAAAGAAAGGGCATTTTAGCACTAAAATGTTGGAAGGATATAATCTCAGAAAATCCTATTAAATAAATGTAGCCTTATGAAATAATCACACCTTGCCCTATTTTTCTCATTTCACAGAAAACTGATGAAAATGTTATCATCAACAAGTACAAATCCATAAATTAGCATTTGGGAACCACAGGCATAGATTTCTCATTTAACATTTAATCATATAGTGCTTTGCATTTTTGTTCACTTTTGTTTTTCCTGTATTGTTTATCCAACTTTTCAACTTTGCATGTCTTGGCTATGAAGTCCCTGTAGTACGCAAAGCCTAGTACATGTGGAATAAATACCAAGTGAATGAATATCAGGTCAGAGGAGGAAAATACTTAGAGGAACTAAGGGGCAGGAGGGAGTTAAGAAATTAAAACTGGTTTAGGGGGAAGACAGCATATTTTCACTACCATTTCTTGCTGCCTTTATGCTATGAACCTTGAATGATGCTAATAAAAATGGATTTGTCTATGATATAAGTGGTCCAGCCAAAAGCACCTCAGATGCAATAGTTCATGAATGCTCCCAAACTCTCAAGCCACCACCTACTTGGGTAGCAACTATGTGAAGGGGAGCATTATATTGGGAGTCAAGACAGGGCCACCCCCTGATTTGCCTTTGGAGCTTCATTTCACCTTGTCTAAGCCTCAACTGTCTCTTCTACTAAATACACCTATTGTAGATTATATTGAAAGGTCCCTTTCAATTCAGAAGGTTGTGATTTTTCACTTCCATTTTATCAGTGTTTGAATAGGAATAATGTACAGAGAAGGTTAAGAGTCTTGTCCAAGGTCCCCTGGAGGCTCTGGGGAGCGGGGTGGGGATGGGGGCCTGATCTCTAGACCCTCACTCCACCATACAGCATGGCTTTCCTGACCACTCACAAGAGTAAAATGCAACATCTGTGCTAGGCCACCACAGCTGTGGTCCTTGATCCCACCATGAAGCCCTTGGATTCATAACAAAAGTAATGAGGTACTATCTAATGAGTGTCTACTGTATGCCAAGCTCTTTCCCTGCACGCTCTCCCACCCTTTCAACCACCCATCAAGGTAGGTATCATTTCCCCTCTGCACTGTGAGAACCCTGAGGCAAGAGAAGTTAAGCAACCAACACAGTAAAGTGAGAAAGAGAGCAGTAACCTATACCCAGTCTCTGTCTGCAGAGCCTGTGTTCTCCCTGCTGTGGATCTGGTGGGTGACCAGCCTATCAGGGGCTAAGGGCTCAAGAGCTACTGGCAATCAAACAGATTTTGCAAAGCATACAACTGAAATACGTGAGTTTGTCTCAGCACCAGAATTCCTCTGGAGCCCACAGCTCTCTATCATCAACCACACCAGCAGCTGGGACTAGATTTATCAGGGTCAGCTCTCCTTGCTAGACCTTCTGTCCAGTTGGCTTCTGGGCCTCTGTCCACTGCGGGATTCTGCCACCAACCCCTACACTTCTGGAGCAGGATATAAAAGAGAAGTTACTTAGCATAATACTAATGTTCTCATTTGGAACCCTGAAATAAACTGATTACTTCCATTTTCAGGCCACCCTCAGCACTTACTCCATCCACCCCTCCCTGCCTCCTCCTTGTATTACTTAGGCACATGCTGGGACCATTAACTCCCTTGAAGGCAGAAACTGTTTGTTAAAATCTGTATCCTTTACAGAGCCTAGAGCTAAGCTTTGCACCTATACTGTAGGTGCTCAATAAATATTTAAGAAGAGGAGAAAGGCTTAGGCCTAGGTTTCACAATTTGTGAGTCAGGAAATTATCACTAAATTCTAGGCAGTTCTCAGCAAGGGAAACTACAGAAATGCTAACTTGTAATGTCACTGTATGATTAGGAAACAAAATTATTTCCTTTGCCCCTGGGCCCTTTGTCTTTAATCTCTAACTCATGCCTACTGGATACATCCAGGCAAACTGTAGCCTTTAAAAAAAGTAACTTAATGGACAAAGGATTGTTTTAATGAACGTACAATTTCTGAGAACAAAGGAATTATTAGATCCAACTACTTGAGATGCACTGGTTTCAGAAAAACACTGCCACAAAGTGTCCAAATACAAGTCCATCAAGATTTGAAGACACTAAAACTGTCCAGCTGATGGTCACAGGGTCAGCAACAATGCATGTCTGGGAAAGGATCCAAGCTGGTAAATGTTTATACTCGTTCTTCCAGTGTCTGGAGTGCCAGGAATCTAGAAAAAGGTGGTAGGGTGTTGGGGCAGAAACGAAACAGATTGTACTGAGAAGAACCACCAGACAACCTAGAACAAGATCCAGAGGGAATAGGCTGGAGCTGGAGCTGAAGAGTTAGGGTTAGAAAAGAAGAAGTGTTTTGCTAGATCTTGTATGTGGTTAAGCACAGGAATTCACACCAACTTCGGAGGAGGGTTTAGGGACAGGCCTACCTAGAGATAGCCTTGAAGACAGCATAGAGTAGGTTTTTCCACATTGGGAAATGCTTCCTTGGGGGAAACCTTCCAAAACAGGCTGACATAGAAAACTGGAAAATTCCTGAGAGCCCTGGCTGAGGTAGGGCTCTGGGAGCAGAAGCCCTGCTCCCTGAATGCTTCCCATCCCCTCCCCATCACCTGCAAGCCCAAGGCATCCCTGAAGGGCTCCAAGGAACACAGTTTGCAAACCACTGGAGAAGTGTGAAAGAATCAAACTTTGGATCTAAAGACCCAGACATGAAGACTGGCTCCATAACTTATTAATTAACTTCTAACGTCTCTGGGCCTCACTTCCTTATCTCTGCAATGTCCTCTAACTTACTTGTTAAAAGAATGAAATGAGGTAGCAGACATCAAAGGGCTTTGTAAACTGCACAGTCTCATAAAAGGCATTTGCTTTTACTAAGAACCCTTCCTAGTTATCCAAGTGTCTAGCCTTTAAAGGGAACTCAAAAGTCTATTTGTCTTCTCACCCAAGGAGCAGCCTCTTCTATTCAGGATTACCACAAAGGCAAATTGATTGACTAAGCCCTCATCCGGCCCTAACCATAGGGGCTCCAAGTTACTTTGTGGGAAACAATTAGCCCCCTTACTCTCTGTGCTACACACCTGCTACTTAATCATCACACCTGGCATGACCATTACTTTCCAAGAGACATTTATCTCGCCTACCCCAATTAGTTCATTGAGGGCAGCAACCTTGTCAGACATCTCTGGCACTCCCTTTAGTCCTGCAGGCCTCACCAGTTGCCTCATGCCCCTGCTTAAAATACATTATTGGCTCCCCACTTCTCGTAGGGTAAAGTCCAAATTCCTTAGCCCTGGGCCCTGTCTTCCTTCTTGCTACACTCTTCCTGAAGACTTTCATGCACTCAAAGGCTTTACCCTTTAGGTGGTGACTCTCAAATAAAACATTGCTAGCTATGACTTTATTTTTTTTGTTTTTCTTTGTTTTTTGAGACTGAGTTTCGCTCTTGTTGCCCAGACTGGAGTGCAGTGGCATGATCTCAGCTCACTGCAACCTCTGCCTCCCAGATTCAAGTGAATTCTCCTGCCTCAGCCAAGTAGCTGGGACTACAGGCATGCGCCACCATGCCCGGCTAATTTTGTATTTTTAGTAGAGATGGGGTTTCACCATGTTGGCCAGGCTGGTCTCGAACTCCTGACCTTAGGTGATCCACCCACCTCAGCCTCTCAAAATGCTGTGATTACAGGTGTGAGCCACCGTGCCTGGTTGGCTATAACCTCTTTCTCCTCAGCTCTTGTCTTTTTACAACCAACTGCCACAGGAACCCTACCACAGGAACTGTCTCCACAGAAGGGATGTTAAAAATATTGATCTGGTATGGCAAGGGCACTAACCAGTCAGAACAGGAGACCTCCTGCTATGTCACACAGTAACTGTTCCATTTCTAGATCTTGAGAATGCCCTAGGTACTGGGTTAGTTAGGGTGAGCGAGGCAGTGGAAGAAAATATATGAGTGCCTGCTAAGGGCTGACTATTCGTCAACAGCACAGAAGTATTTCTATACCTCCACATGCCCATACAGCTCTCATCTTTCCACCCCATGCCTCCACACTTGTGCTGCCTTCTCTGTCTCTGTAGCCATCAATGGCTCCACTATCACCATCCAGTTGCCTAAGCCAGAAATAGGGGTATTCTTATTGCCACCTCCTCTCCCTCAATCCTATTCTTCAATCACAAAGTCCTACTCTTTGCAATTCCTAAATATCTTTCAGATTCACCTGCTTTCTCCATTCTAGTCCTTAGGTCAGGCTACTGCTCTTATCACCTAAGACCACTGCAGTGGGTCTCCCTGATGCTGGTCCTGCCTCCTCCAAGCCGTTCTCTGTATCACAGCTAAAATCATCTCCTTTAAAGCCAAATTTGATCATGAAACTATTCTACAATTGTTCAGTAGCTCTGCATTTCCCTAAGGTTAAAGCACAAATTTCTGCACCTGGCCTATACATTATTATCTCGTTTTTTAGTTCCTGCTAATCTAATCTCTCCCCATACCTCCATCCATGATATTACTGCGCTCTAAAAACCACCCATAATCTCGGTTTCTAATTCTCTCAATTGCCAAATTATCTCTGGCCTCTGGGTGTTTTCCCATGCCATCTATTCTGCCTAGAACTTGTCTTTCCTTCTTCTTGAACCCCTTCTACACACAAACACACACACACACATACACACACACACACACACACACAATCCCCCTTCACCTGAAAATCTCCACTTTGTTTTTAGGTTTAGCTTGTATGTCAGTTCTTAAAGGAAGCTTTTCCTGACCATCCACTACCAAGATGGGGTTGGGCACTCACTGATATGGTTTGGCTCTGTGTCCCCACCCAAATCTCATATTGAATTGTAATCCCCAATGTTGGGGGAGGGCACCTGGTGGGAGAAGGTTGGACCATGGGGGCAGACTTCCCCCTTGCTATTCTTGTGATAGTGAATTCTCATGAAATCTGGTTGTTTGAAAGTGTGTAGCCCTTCCCCCTTTGCTCTCTCTCTTCCTCCTGTTGCAGCCACATAAGACATGCTGGCTTCTCCTTCACTTTCCACCATGATTGTAAGTTTCCTGAGACCTCCCCAGCCATGCTTCCTGTATAGCCTGCAGAACTGTGAGTCAATTAAACCTCTTTTCTTCATAAATTACCCATTCTCAGTATGTCTTTATAGCAGTGTGAAAACAGACTAATATAGGCACCCTCCTATGTGCCCCTGTGCCCCTATAATACCTTATATTTCCCAACCACTCCCCATAGCAATGATAACACTATATTGCATTTGCCATTTTAATTGAGAAATAAGTTGGTCATTTTTTGTCTTTGAATATCCAAAATAGATGTTTAATCAATGTTTCCTGAAATAAAACAAAGGAATTCACAGCCTAGCACCTTCACATAAGGTCATCTGTGGATAGGCATTGGCAGTGCAACAGAAAGAAGCCCCAGATGTCTGCTCTCCTGGGGCCTCCCACCCTCCTGGATACAAACAGAAAGAAGCCAACACCACTTCATGCACACTTCTGACTCTCAATGCAGAAGCTAAGGGGGAGAAGAGATCCCAATAGACATTATAAATTCCTCAGGAGCCAGGGCCTAAAAGCAAGTTAGTAATTTGCAATCCTGATATGTCAGAGTCAGGTCAATCAATGTGCAAAGACAGAATTGTGGTGTGCTGCCAGCCTGTCAGAGCAGTACCCAAATTGGAAGAAAAGAGCAAGAATACTGAAGCAGGACATAAGCCGATCACATTATTTAAAAGTGTGTATGTGAGCACACATATATGTGTATATGAGACTGAAGTAACTGCAGCCTCCATGAGTTGGTACTGTGGCAGGCATCTCAGGGATGGAACGGCATGTATCTTGAGATTTTTCTCATTCAGACACAAATGAAGTATCTCTGGCTTGGAAACGTGAGCTTCCAAAGTGCCACAGCATCAATAGTCTACCCACATCCAAACAAACTGCACTCAAAATAAATCAATTAACACACTGCTGGGGTGTTTCACAGAATGGGAGGCCTCCAGATGTGGCCCTGCCAATGGCCCCACCAAACTTGCCGCTCATATCTGCCCCATCCTATCTCCTTGCACCCTCAATTCCTGGAAGGTCTTTCTCTGCACAGCTCCTCCCATTATGACTGAGTTGGCACAGCCACTCCAGGCCGTTCTGTGCCAGTCAACCGTGCTGGCTGGGGCAGCTTGAATTGACCAAAGGCAGCCTCTCTGCAGAGTCCCAGGCAGCCTCTCTGCAGAGTCCCAGGCAGCTGAGATGAGCAGGACAGAGGAGGCTTGGACCAGCTTTCCGACTGGTATGCCCTCCACCTGTCACACCCAGGGGAGGCCCTGCAGGGATAAGATGCCTGGTTCCACTTTAAGCCACTTAGTTGACTTAGAGCTCAGCCCCACCAAAGGCCTTGAGACAAAGTCTCTTCACTTTATCAGTTATCTCTCTTTTCCCAGGTTGTGGTAATATACAATTGGTCTGCTGCTTATCAGAGGCTGGAGTAGGGGAAATGAGTAATCTATCTACGTCAAACTCAGACTTCAAACAGACTATAACGAACCTGGAGGAAACACATACATTTAAATAAGTGATTACTTCTGAGGCTTTTAGTTGAGATCCCAGGAGAAAAAATATGATGTGGTGGAAAGAGAAACATTCAGATTTGGAATCTTAGCCACCTGAGCTTGAGTCCTGACTCCTACGTTTACTAGCTTTTGGACTTCAGGAAAGTTAGTTAATTTCTCTAAACCTCAGTTAACTCATCATCAAACAAGGATAGTATCTATCTCATCTGGTTGTTGAGATGTTAGAATGAGGGGATGCATGTGCAGATCTAGCATGAGGTTTGGCATACAGTAGGTGCTCAAAAAAAGCTAATTTACCTCCTCCCCATTGTAACCTCTAGAATTTAAATTACATGTATTGTGTTTAATGAAGAAATCATATGTGGTACACAGAATAATGTCCCCCTCAAAGATGTCTACATCATAATCCCCAGAACCTGTAAATTACGGGAACTAAGACTGCAGATGGCATTGAGGTCGCTAATCAGCTGACCTTAAAATGAAGAGATTTATCATGGATTATCATGGTCTGACTAATTACATAATCTCTTATCTAATCACACCAGCTCTTAAAAGCAGAGATGAAGAGAAAAGAGTGAGTTCAAAAGACAGAGCATGAGAAAGACCCCACCCGCTATTACTGGCTTTGAAGATGGAGAGAAGAGGCCACAAGCCAAGGAATGCAGCAGCTTCCAGAAGCATGAAAGAGCCCTTAGGTTACAGCCAGCAAGGGAAGGAAACTGCGACCCTACAGCCACAAGACTTGACTTCTGCCAACAGCCAGAAGGAGCAGGAAATACGTTCTCCCTGAGAGCCTCCAGAAAGGAACACAGTCTGCCCACACCTTAATTTTAGCCTGGGGAGGCCCATACCAGGTCTCTGCTTTACAGAATTGTAAGATAATAAATTTGGAGTTTTTTTAAACTACTAAATTTGTGGTCATTTGTAAAGGCAGTAACAGAAAAACTAAAACACTTTACTATCTATACGTAGATTTAACTGCTTTTTTTTTTTTTCTTTTTAAGAGATGGTCTCACTCTGTTGCCCAAGTTGGAGTACAGAGGTGCAATCATATCTCACTGCAGCCTTGAACTCCTGGGCTCAAGCCATCCTCCCACCTCAGGCTCCTGGATAACTGGGACTACAGGCACACCACCATGCCTGGCTAATTTTTTTTTTCTTTTTTTTTTTTAGAGATGAGGTCTTGCTATGTTGCCCAGCTGGTCTCAAATTCCTAGCTTCAAATGATCCTCCCACCTTGGCCTCCCAAAGCTCTGGGAATGAAGGCATGAGCCACCATGCCCAGTCTAGATTTAACTTTTAAATACAGTTCTATTTTTATAGGGGGGGAAAATCCCAAAATAGAATAACAAGCAGGTTTTCTTTTACTCAGTTAACTATTCCTAAGAGAAACCTTGATATTCTGGATATTTGAACCCTGAGACTAATCCAGGCACCCTTTTCTCCTGGTAGCAGCTTGTGCAATGAGGTACATTTGGGAAGAATGTAAGAACCTTGGAAGTGCAACCTTACCAAATCACCCTACAGTGAAGGATAATATTACAAGCTTAAAAAACAATGGCCCAGATTCTTCGGGAATTAAGAAGAGTCCAACAGGTGCAGTTCAAAAGAACAGCACTCCTAAGAATACTGTAATTTAAAGATAGGAAACAAACCAGGTACCATTTACACCAAACACAGGATCTGGAAATAACACAGTGATCTAGTAGGTGCCACAGCCCCACCAGCCACCAGAAGAGCTTTCTCAGTGAAACAAATGGCACATTTCATGATGTCTCCCAGCATGTGAAAATCTGCTCTACAACCAGACAACAAGATACGAGAGTGTCCAAGGGCACGTGCTGGAAGGCAATAATGGGATTGAGCAGACAGCATTTGAACCAAGACAAATTCTTCGCTTTCAGTCCCAAAGACTTCTAGATTTCAAGAGCCCAAGCCAAGAAGCTGTAAACATGAATTCAGCATGGCACTTGATCATCTTTTTAAATGCCTCTGAATCTTCATATAGTACATTAGCCACCCCAACACCAGGAACAAGAAACTGATGGCAGTACCTCTACGCATTGTGCACTGACAGAGTCCATAGCCCCTGTAATGAAACAGCAGTCTGCTGTATTAATTAGATAATCTATAATAGCTTTATCCATTAGGCCGACTGTATGCTGACGTGCTCAGAATGAAACCCTTGGCACCAAGCAAGCCTGGGACCTTTGGCAGAGATTCACTTCATCCTTTATTACAGACCAAGGCAAAATCTAAGCTGTGCTGCAAGGGCAGGATGGCACCCCTGTGATGACCTCACAGATATTGGGAGACTCCAGAACAATGGCCCCTGCCACATCCTCTCCCAGTCCTGGAAGTCCCCCCAAAGAACACCACAGTCTGGTAAGGTACCTAAGACTGCCCCAGACATCTGAGGTCAGCCCTGCTAGTGAGCATAGAAGAAGCCAGCCTAGAAAAATGATGCTATTTTACCTGGAAAGCAAGTTGTCAGGTGGGCTCCAAGATGAATGAGTGACAGTCATTTGCAGAAAAAAAAACATGCATTCACCCTTACATTCCTCTGCTGTCCATAAGTGCTGGGGTGCCCAGTGTGGTGCGCTGTTAAGAGCAATTATCTCCTGAGACTGGGGTTGCTGGGGATTCTTTTGAACCAGTGGAAATTCTGGAGCCATGTGCAAAGGTGAAAAGATGCTCTCCCCATACTGATGCCTCCCTTTTTGGAATCTGAATGATCTTACTGCATGAATCACTAATTTAGCAAGTCAGGTGAGCTTGAGACCAGATCTGTCAAGAGCTACAATTTTTAACTCTTAACTTAGAATGCTCCCCAACTGCTGCCTCTGTGTCAGGCTGATCCACCCAGTTCATTGAGGGCAAGGCCCTTGTGTGCTACATCACCTGTTGTACCTCATACTCCTGGTGTAATACCAATTACAGGACAAGTATGCAGCAAAGACATGAAGTTGGGGAGGACTGACAGAAGCTCACCTACCAATGAGCCAGCTACACAAGGCACTTCCTCTAGGCCAGAGAATCACTTCCATCCTTCATCCTCACTTCCTATCCTTCATCCTCTCCAGCCCTGAAACCCAGAAGCATGGGGAATAGCAGGGTCATCTGGTGTGTTCATGTTTTCCACTTTTCCACATATTTGCTTAAATTCATGCTAAACACAGAAGAGGCACTCAGGAATAGTGTTGACTTGGAAATATATGAAAAAACAAATCTTGAATTGGAAGATTATGTATTGTATTTTAATCTTTGTTTTCAATTACAAAAGAAGTAGCCACAGAATTTCCTAAATACTAAGTTCCCTAGTGCATGGAAAAGGAGAATTGGTTAGTGCTCAGAAAGAAAGGGATTCCTGCCCTTAAGAAATTCAAAGTCATGAAGGGGAATGAGACATGAAAACAAATAAGTATAGAAGTGTTGATCAAGAAAGTAGGCTCAGTACGTATCTCTCTTTCTTTTCCTCCATTTTGTTGTGTTTTGTTTAGGAACATATCTAAAACTAGTACTGGAAAACATGAATGCCATCAGTGAGCCAGAGATGTGAGAAATTTCTGAAAGATCAGAAGTCAAAAAATTTACAGAGAGAGAAGACAGAGGAACCACAGCTGGGAAAAATGGAAGAGGAGACCCCAGAGGTGGGAGCAACCCCAGGGGACTCCAAGCAGAGTAAGTTGTCTACGGAGCACTCATCATGGCGGTGAGCTGGGGAATCACATTCTGAGCTCCTGAGCTTGCTGGCTGCTCCCATCTCCCCAGCTGGTGCTGGCCTGAATCAGCAGATGAATCAGCAGATGACCTAAAACTAAAGCAAAAAGTGCATCTGCTGGGGTCAGACAGGAGGGGCAGGGTCCCAAGTAGATAGCAAGGAAGCCCTACATTCAGAAACTAAATTATCTTCCCCAAACTATTCTTCTTCTCACCCATCTCAAATCCATTTTTCTTCCAGAATTCTCCATCTTACTCTACCCTGCTGCTGTAGTCAAGTACCTGGGAGTCCTCCCTTCTCTTTCCTTTCTCTACTTCTCCAGATAATCACCAAGTCCTGTAATTCAAATTTTAATGTCCCCTGTCAATTCCCTCCTCCCTTTCCCCCCATAGCAGTTCCAGTACCTTACACCCTCTCTTTTACCTCTCCTTCTCCATCTCTCCCACATCACACAATATAAAGAAAAATCTTTTTTTTTTTTTAATAGCACAGTCCACCTTAGCCTTGGAGGACACCTACTCTGTTGAGTGAATGCTTTGGTCAGCCCCACCTGGGGACATGCCAGAATAACCCAGATGCTCACTGGATTGCTATCAAAGGAAGGCAGCTCAACTAACTGCAGGGCTTTTTCTCGGCCACCCTGCCTATGCTGCGGGAGGGAAATGAATTACTTGGAACAATGGAGGAGATACCAAGGGATCAAAGCAAAAGAGTGAGAAAAAATAGATGAACCAATCCTGGAAGTAGAGCTGAGAAACAAGCATTAGGAAGAACAGAGATGTTAAGAATGAATTCAAGGAATTAAAGGAAGTTTGTTTAGATGATGTTTAATGCAAAATGTCTTCTTGATCTGGCCCCAGAAAATCTTCAGTAAAAGCTCCATTTCCCATCAGTGTACTATGAAACTAAATTATTTTGAGGATTCATCAAAGCACTAAGTCCTGCTGTGAGGCAGATACAGGATGAGAGCTGTCACATATACATTCTATGCATAATCAAATTTATTGTGCTGCAGGGGGAAGAGAATGGATCCTGGAGTTTGACGGACCTGGGATCAAATCCTGGCCTCACCATTGGAGAGACCTCTGTCTGCTCACAAAGCCTCAGTATTACCTTATCTGTAAAACAGGGATAAGAAGCCCTGCCTTACACAGTTGCTGCAGGACATGCCACCTCAGAACCTGTGTGTCTTTATAGCTGTGTAGTGAGGTGATAAGACTGTGGTCCTGCCTGCAGCAGGCTATCTGCCTCCTTTTAAATCTGTACCACCCTTTGTAGTTTTCCTCAGCAGCAGGCTTTGTTTTAGAATACCAGGCCTCAAAATACATTTAAGATATTTTCTTAGTCATCTCCAACATCTCAGACACAAAGAGAGAGCACATTTTCTGATCTCTTATCGCCATGGGGAAAACCCAGGGAAGAGACAAAGAAACCATGAAGTATGAGGTTGAAATTGAGACTATGGAGTTCGTGTCAAACATCTACTGGAGGCAGACAGCAGAATGGACCTGGATCTTTGGTTGAGAAGCCTGAGGCTGTACAGTTCTGTCCACCACCTTACTTTCATCTGGTATTTCATATTCTGCATAGTGCTTTCACACATTTTTATATTAGTTCTGTAAAGTAGAGAAAGTGGAGATTTTTTCCCATAGTTTGCAGAGAAAGAAATTGAGTATAAAAAAGTAAAGTGGTGTGTGTAAACTTACACACTTTGCAAAGCCAGAGCCAGGACTCAAACTCTAGCCTAGTGCTTCCTACTAAGTTATGCTGCCCCTCTGCACTGGGCCAGCTTATCTCCATTTGGGCTTTTCTTCTCCTTGGTTTAGAATTCTGCCCCTCCTGCACAATAAGCCAGAGAGGCCGGGTGACCAGGGCGCTCCTGACAGCAAGGCTGGTCTGCAGAGATAGACTTCCTGCAGAGGGAGCAGCCCACGTATGGGACAGTGGGCACAGCTGCACTAAGATCCTTTCTCTCCCATGGGGTGGAACATCACCTATGGAGCCCATTGACCCACCAATCACTGTCTTCTGGGGAATGGAAGGAAGAAAGAGACAGGATGTGGAAGGGCTTGAAATTGAGGGCCTTTGAGTTTATCTGAACACAAAGAACCAGGACATGGTCATGTCCTCCAACTCCTTCTAGGATATTATAGAACCAGGTCACTGGGAGGCTGTTTTGAGACCCTGCCATCTGGGCAATAGGCTGTGCTGGCCTGCCCCCAACAGAGGAAGTGGGGAGGTGGCCCACTGGAAGGCACTTTGTAACAGCTGGAAAGAGAAGGCGCAAGAACAAAATGAGGAGCAAAGATGAAGCTCTGTGTCCTTCACATCTGTGCCCTTCACACCTGTGTCCCCCACATCCATTCCCTTCATACCTGTGCCCCTTATACCTGTACCCTTCACACATGTTCCCCCACACCTGTGCCCCTTACACCTGTGCCCTTCACACCTGTGTCCCTCACACCTGTCCCTCATACCTGTGCCCATCACACCTGGCCCCTCACACCTGTCTCCCTCATGCCCTGACCCTCATACCTGTGTCCCTCATACCTGTGCCCTTCACACCTGTGTCCCTCATACTTATGCCCCCATACCTGTGCCCCCCACACTTGAGTCTCTCATACCTATGCACCTCATACCTGTGCCCTTCACACCTGTACCCTTCCTCCCTAAACCCAATCCTCCTCTCCCCATGCCCCAAGTGAGATGGGAAGCAGAGCTGCTACTTTTTGCAGCCTATTACATGGCATGCCAGAGTCCAAGGTCCGTGTGGGCTATAAAATACTGTGATTGTGTTGACAACACAACCTGCAAATGAGTAGACCTGGCAACTTCTGGCTCTGAGCTGTCAGATGAAATGAATTAAGGCTTTTCTAACTCTCGGCTCCCCTCCTTTCTTCCCTCACTCTCTCCCAGGCTGCTTCACATTCTCAAAACAGAGGCTTTCTTACTGCCAGCCACTTTCTCTGGCCCCTTTCCTACTATGCTATGTAGAATCAGGCTAAAAAGACACAAGAGTTTGCCTCCAGCCCAAACACACTTACAGCTGCCCGCAAATCCCAGCTCCCATGCAAACCCAGCAAAGCAGGAAGAGAAAAGCAGAGGCGGCGCTTGATAAATTCCTTTGAGGCCCAGTTGTCAGTGAGTCTCCCATATCCGATATGATGACTTTTAAGTTCTGAGTACTAGAACACACAGTGATTCGAGTGTCTGCATTAACCAGATGTGATGACAGAGCAAACTTGGAATTTCCAATCTGGGTAGGAAAGAAAAAGAATGACCAATCATTGTGTTCTTAAACCTATAGCAGCCTTCCAGTAGCACTTTCTTGGCATCAACAAATGTTAAAAGCAGTGAATTGGGCCAGGTGCGGTGGCTCACGCCTGTAATCCCAGCACTTTGGGAGGCTGAGGGAGGCAGATCATGAGGTCAGGAAATCAAGACCATCCTGACCAACATGGGGAAACCCCGTCTCTACTAACAATACAAAAATTAGCTGGGTGTGGTGGCAGGCGCTTGTAGTCCCAGGTACTCTGGACTTCTGCTGAGGCAGAAGAATTGCTTGAACCCGGGAACTGGAGGTTGCAGTGAGCCGAGATTGCGCCACTGCACTCCAGCCTGGGTGACAGAGTGGGACTTTGTCTCAAAAAAGAGCAATGAATTGTTAACTTAGCCGATTAAAGATGATAAGGATAAAATGAAGCCTTGCCATCCACTGTGGAACACAGATTTGACATAGCCCCTAGGGGCCAGGAAGCCTGCTTTTCCAGACTTTGGGAAGAGCTGGGCGCTTTTTTTTTTTTTTTTTTTTTTTTTTTTTTTTTTTTGAAACAAGGTCGTCTCGCTCTCTCACCCAGGCTGGAGTGCAATGGCATGACCATGGCTCACTGCAGCCTCGACCTCCCAGGCTCAAGCGATCCTTCCACCTCAGCTTCCTGAGTAGGATCATAGGCATGAGCCACCACACCCAGCTAATTTTTTTAAATTTTTTGTGGAGACAGGGCTCTCACAAGGTTGCCCAGGCTGGTGTCGAACTCCTGGGCTCAGGCAATCCAAGGCCTACCCCAGCCTGGATCCACCGCAGCCTCCCGAAGTGCTGAGTTTACAGGAGTGAGCCATGGTGTCCAGCCAAGCTGGGCATCTTAATAGCAGTGGCCCCAGGCAGGGCATCCTCTGTTGAGAGCATGATGTCATTCTGGTCACCCACAAAGCTATTTCAACTTTTTCAGTAATCAACATCAACCCTTTCTGCCTCTGCCTACCCTGCAGGTTCAAACACAGACCAATCACTCCCCCAAATTTGGGGGAGTTTCAGCTTGCTATTGTTCTTTGGTGGATTGACAGCTTCTTTGACACACACAACTTTCAGTCCACCTCCCCTGGGCCACCCTGCCCAGAAGCATTGTGCTATGCAGCATATCTGTGGATTTTAAAAATTGAAGTGAATTACAATTAATTTCCTTTGAAGAATTTCAAGACACCCCTGGGGCATCAATAAGCAGGATTGGGTATCACTGATGTAAGGTTTTACTCCCAGGGATGGGAAAGTTTCCATTCTTCGCTCCTTCATCTCCTTCTATGGAAGCATACGACAATTGCCTCTTTCCCCCGCACACTCATGCAACCTAAAAAATATGTAGCCCAATGCTGGAGATCATTTTCCAAAGAAAACATCTACCTGATCACAGGTGCTGCCTGAGATTTGGTCACCAAACCATACTGAGATAATTGACACGAAAGTACTTTTGAAAGGTCTAAAGCATTCTATAAATGTAGGTCTTTATTATTTCCTATTATGACTATTATTGCCGAAAGGATTGTACTCCACATACCACGCTCTGTTTACCACTTGATCTAGAGCCTTCTGGCCATCTTGGTGGAAATGCCCCCTAGACTTCTGTCCCCTGGCACTTAGTAGGATTCAATGTTTTTGCGATTGGATTAACTTGAAAAGCACTTCCGAAAGGTACTTCTTAAGTAGAAAAGATGCTGCCTCCCTGTGGGGATAAATTTGGCCATCACTCGGGAAAATCCATTTTATGTTTTTATACCTGTGACCATATGACATGTTATGTTCTTGGAAGTTAGTATTATACTGTATCTGTGGGAGAGGCTTGCCCTTTTGTGGGGAAATGCCTTAGATGAGCCTCTTGCCAGGGCACGCACATACACCAAAAAGACTACAAACACCGTGATGCAATTAAAGGTGACAAATAAGTACAGATCACTGCTGGTCACTGTGCTGGGTGATGGGGACACCAGGATGACTGAGTTGCAGCCCTGTCCTTAAGGGGTTCATCCTCTAGAAAGTAAGGCAACTGATTGTGTATACCGGTTTCACACCACAAGCAACTCGGAGCAATTTGGGAGCAGAAAAAAGGTAGAGTCTAGCTCTAACTGCCATAGACAAAGTCATGGCCTACTCAAGCAGGGCATGAAACTTGGTTTAAAGGCAGTTCTTTAAAAAAAAAAAAAAATCTAAATTTGGGAAACTCTAACCTTCTAAAATTTACAGGGAAAATATCTCAAATTTGAAATCTCTGTCTTTAATTTTAGACATATTATTATTCTCTATGTCTGAATTGACTCCAGATGCTACAGGGCTTTTTCCCCCTTCAACCCCCTGCCTAGCATGGGTACCATCTCTGACATATTTAACATACAAACTTAAATATTCAAATATCCAAATCAAATAGGAAAAGTTTGGTAGGTATGTTTTTAACTTAACATATAAGTCATAATATGTTATAAATCTCATCCAGTTCCTATTGTTTTTTACTCAACACTGTTGTGAAAATCTAACCATGCTGCTATATGTGTTTAGGCTGTCGCTTCTCCACTGCATATCCCTCCCATAGATGCTCCACCACACTTTATCTATTCCCTTGGAATGGGTACCTAGGTTGCCTCTAAGTCCCTGCTATCACAAGTAAAATACTACAATGAAATCTTTGTACACATCTTTTCAGAATTTATCTAGGACATATATACCCAAGAGTGGGATTGCTGGATTATAGGTCAGGCACACATTTCACTTCACTAGATTCTTCCAAAATAAGCGTACCAGTTATGCTCCCACCAGTGTACGCGTGCAAATTTCCATCTCCCTCATCAGTGACAAGAGTGGTATGATCCACCTTTCTGAATTTTGCCATTCTCATGGGTATAAATAAATTTCTCCTAATTGTTTATATTTGTATTTCTATATTGGGGATTTCTAGCCTAAAATACCATCTGAATGACAGTCTTTGATTTAGACTTTCCCACTCCCCACCTGATGATTTAAAAAAATAAAAAGGCAAAAGCAAATGGTATTTTTAAAAATGAGAATGGAATTGGAACAAACCTACTGCCCTGAAAGAATTTCCATAAATGCACCATTCCCCATCCACAATTCCAGCTCCACATCATATGGACCTAGGGATTGTACTACCCAGAAAACCAGGAAGTCAACTTCTCTTGCATGAATATAATTTTGGAAGTAGAGAGAATACTTTTGCCCACTCTAGCCTTCAGTTCCTCTGCTTCTAGAGCCATTATGAGACCAAAACTCCTAAGAAAAGGGGCCGGAAGTGAAAGCAGTGGGTGGAAGTGGCCGTGCATATCATGTTCTGAGACATATGCTACTAAACAAGGAGGGCTGAACTGGGCTCAAGACTGGTCCTGGTGACAGCACCCCAAGGGAGTATGGCCACCATTCTCACCACACACCTCCCTTAACTGTTTAGTATAATCTGGAATTGGAGCCACACCATAGATGGTAGTGTCATTTGTGGGGAAAGGAAGACATGAGGAGGAATAGACTGGAGGATGGCATAAGTCAAAAGTTCCTTGGACCTGTTCAGTTGAAGACTCTCATTAGACACCTGAGTTAAGATGTCAAGGGAACAGCTGGATTTCAGCCTCAGGAGCTCAGAGGAGAGATGAAGGCTGAATCTATAAATGTGGGAGTCATTTACATGTGGATTTATGTAAACCTACAAAAATGGGTGAGATCCTGGGAGTGAGCATAGACAGAGAAGAGAAGAGGGCCCAGAAGCCAGCCCTGGGGCACACCTACATCAGGGGTATAGCAGAGGAGCAAGAACCAGCAACAGAGACTGGAATGGGACAGCCAGTGAAATAGGAAAACTAGAACAGCATGCTACCACAAAAGCCAGAGAAGCAAATGCTTCAAGAATGAGAGTCTAAGTACTCTGAGAAGTCAAATCAAATAAAGACAGAGAAAGAACCATGGGACTCAGGAATGTGGGCATCACTAATGACCTGAACAAGAGCAGTTTTTGTGAGCAGACCACCTGTTAGAGTGGTTAGGAGGGGCAGGAGATGAGAAAGTGGGGACAACATTCGCCACTTTTCTGAGAAGTTTTGCTATACAGGAGAGCAGAGAAATGGGACCGAGGATAAAGAGGCGTATGAGGTAGCAAGGATTCTTGTGTTTTGTTCTTATATGTGACATTCTATTGCATGTTTTTACACTGGTGGGATGATCTAGTAGAGCTGGAGAAATTTATAGCACAGAAAAAAGAAAGAATGAGATCAAGAGCAAATGTGGAAAATTTTAAAAGAGAATATAAAACTGTCAGAAGTTAGTCTACACATATTGGCCATGCAGTGAGCACAGAAGTCTGTGGCAATAAGAGGGTGTTGCATGGGCTCCAGGGTGACCACATGTCAGAGAAGCCTCTGGCAAGTGCACAGAGAAATTGCTGTAGTCTCACTAGAAACATGCAGTTATTGACGGCTCTTGGTTTTTCGTGTTTTAATGGATAACATGCTTTTTTGGGGGTTTTCTATTATTTTAATTCATTTTAATTGACATAATAATTGTATATATTTATGGGGTTTAATGTGATGTTTTCATATATATTTAAATTGTAGATTTTACATGATAAAATCAAGCTAATTAACATATCCATCACCTCATATACCTATTTGTGGTGAGAACATTTAAAATCTACTGTTTTCGCAATTTTGAAATACGCAATCTGCTATTATTAACTATAGTAACATGCTGTGCAACAGATCTCTAAAACACATTCCTCCTGTCTAACTAAAATGTTGTACCCTTTGAACAACCTCACCCCTTTCTCATCCACCCCCCTCGTCCCCAGCCTCTGTAACCACCATTGTACTCTGTATGTCTGAGTTCAACTTTCTTGGGTTCCACATATAAGTGAGCTCATATGATATTGGCATTTCGGTGCCTGTTTATTTCACTTAGCATAATATGCTCCAGGTTCACCCATGTTGTCACAAATGACAATTTTCTTCTTTCTAAGGCTGAAAGTATTTCATTGTGTATACACACCATATTTTCTTAATCCATTAACCCATTGATAGACACTTAGCTTGCTTGCATATCTTAGCTATTGTGAATAATGAGACAATGAACATGGGAGTGTGGATATCTCTTCAAAATATTGATTCATCTCCTTTGGATATATACCCAGAAGTGGGACTACTGGATCATATGGTAGTCCTGTTTTTAGCTTTTAAAGAACCGCCATACTATTTTCCATAATGGCTGTATCAATTTACATTCTACCAACAATACATAAGAATTTCCTTCTCTCTACATTTTCACCAACATTCATTGTTTGTCTCTTTTATTATAGCCATTCTAACAGGTGTGAACTGATATCTCACTGTGGTTAAATTTGCATTTCCCTGATGATTAGTGATGTTGAGCATCTTTTCATGGATCTGCTGGCCATCTGTGTGTCTTCTTTTGAGAAATGTCTGTTCAGGTCCCCTGCCCATTTTTTAATAGGGTTATTTGTTTTCTTGCTCTTAAGTCGTTTGAGTTCCTCATATCTTTTTAATATTAACTCCTTATCAGATGTATGGTTTGGAAATATTTTCTCTGTGAGTCATCACTTCACTTGGATAACAGATGTTTTAAAGCTGCATTTTATTGCAAAATATCTTGTTATAATGTTAGGTTATTGCACAGTATTTTGTTATCAATTATTGAACTCTTTGGACTTAATATACCTCAACTCCAGAAATATCATTAAGCTGAAAAAAGCCAATCCTAGACATTCCAAGGAAAGGAACTCCTTTGACTGTATTAGTATCAATTTGAGAATTCAGAAAGGTAGGCGGATGCATTCATTCATTCAATAATATATATTGGGAGCCTACTATGTGGCAGACCCTGTCCTAGACATAAATAAATGGCCATGGTTCTGGCAAATAAGTAATTACAATGAAATAGAGTGGTCAGGAAAGTCCTCTGAGAAGAGAGATGTGAGACCAGACCTGAAGGATTAATAAATAAATAAATAAATAATCAGCTACACATAGAGAACAGAATGCAAAGTTCTAGATAGAAGGAACATTCTATGGGGGTGGCTAAAGCTAAGTGTGAGTAAGAGTACAAGGAAATGGTACCTTGCTGCTAGTGGAGGTATAAATGATGAACATTTTCAGTAGGGGGAGCAATTAGATAATTTTCTGTAGTAATTTCACTTCCAGTAATTTATCCTAAGGAAATTCTCAAAACTACAGTCAAAACTGCATATTGCCTCCCTGTAATTCATTCTTCACAGAGCATAGGCAAAGAGAATTTTTTAAAACCTAGATTAGTTTGTTCCAGTGGTGTGCTGGTAAACATTTAACAACTAGCTCTCTAGGGGAAGAGTAGCATCTGCTATAAACTCCTGTGTTATAAATATAGACAGTCCTGGGCTTATGATGGTTTGACTTATGATCTTTTGACTTTAGGAAGGGTTTAGATGGTGTTAAATGCAGTTTTGACTGATGATATTTTTCACTTACAATGGGTTGATCAGATTGTGTCCTGATAAATCGAGGAGAATCTGTAACTGTCTGCAACCCAGATCAAGCCACTTATCAACATGATTTCACTGAATAAGGAGCTGGGAAGAGACGTGCCAAGAGGCTCTCAGAAGCTCCCATGAGCCCGCTCCAGCACACCACTGAGTAGGCATCCCTCCGCTGCACGGAAGCCTCCAGTGCATGTCTCACACCTTGCAATGAAGTCCACAGTCCTCACCCTGAGCTCCGAAGTGTTCCCTGACCAGGTGGCTCCTGCCCACCTCCCGTAGCTCCTCCCACCACACCAAACCCCCTGCGCTCCCTGCTTCTGAATTTTGATTGAACTCCTCAAGTTCACTTCCACTTCAAGGTCTTTAACTTGCTCTTCCCCAGATCTCCCCCTTGTCATTCAGATGTCTGCTCACACATCACCTAACTCAGAAAGCTCCTCGCTGCCCACCCTACCTGAAGCTCAGGGCATCATCTTGTTGTATGTGATTGATAGCCTTTTCCATATCCAAACTTACCCTGCTTATTGATCATGTCTCCCATTAAAATTTAAATTCCATGAGATCAGACACTTGTCTGGTCTTGGTTACCCCTGTAATTTCTAGTATTTAAAAAAAAAAAAAATTGGCCAGTAGTAAGTACTCAATAAATATTTGTTACTGATAAACTGATTAATTTATAATAGTAAAAAAAATTAAGCCACTTAAGTGTCCAAAAATAGGGAAATGGTAAAACTAACATTTATGGATCATTTACTATCTGCCAGGAACTATGATAAGCACTTTATATGTCTCTCTCATTTAATTTGCACAACAGACCTATGAGGTGAGCACTATTATAATCACCACTTTACAGATAAGGACATACCCAGAGCGGTTAAGCAATTTGCCAAAGCCAGTCTGAGCCAAGTAGGAAAGTCAAGCCCAAGGTTGCTCCACAAGCCCAGCTCATCTTAGATTCCAGGGATGGGGACCAGGAAGCCTCACCTAGACCAATGAGCGTGGAAATGCAAACATGCCGGTCTCCAGTGCTTGCTGAGCTGTTAATAAGGTAGTTCTTTATTTCACATTTGGCTATTGCTTTTTACATTGGTCAAGAGCTCTTCAACAAGGAGGAATGAGAAGCAGGGCAGATACTAAGTTTATCTAAGTCCCTAGCTTAATGGTGACATAATATTATCAAAATCTCTCCCTGAACCTCAGCCATTAGCAATTACAAATGATGTTTTCAAACGATACTTAATGATATTGTTATAACGCTCACAGTATAATGAAAAGTGAAAGAAATAGAATAGAAAACTATATATTCTGTAAAATCTCCAGAAAAAGAAATTTAAAACACATTTACATGTATACGTAATGCTTAGAAAAAGACCAAAGATAAGCACATCAAAACATTAGCAGTGGTTGGGTTGGAGTGAGTGGATTATGAGTGATTTTTATATTATTCTTTATAAGCTCCTATATTTCCCAATTGTTTCACAATGAGCACGTCTTTTGTAATGAAAGAAAAAAATGTATATTGTTACATTTTTAAGTGGTTGAAGATTTTAAAGGCAATGGAATGCAAAATTAAGAGAACATGAAATGGCCTAGACAGAGCAGGAATGGGAGGCTGCAAATGGGTTACCTCAGGGACCAGGCAGAGATAAGGCAAGCTGGGAGGGATCTCAGCCTGAGAAAAAGCGAGGGAAGTGATTCCAAATCAGGAAAGCACAGGACAGAGAGCAGACAGTGCAGAAAGAAATCATGGAGTGGGGGTGGCCCTCAGGGTTTTGATCCCTTCACCCCATGCCTGAAGAGAAGCCCCAGGTTGGGGGATGGAAAGAGAGGCCAAGACACTCAAAGCTGAGTCAAGAAAAAAAGGTGACAATCCTCAAGGGTCAGGACTGAAAGAAACCTTGGAGCTCTGGAGGGCAGCACCATTCAAAACAGTAGCCAGGAGAGGTGTGCAGCTGCTGAGCGCCTGACACTGTGCCAGTCCAAACTGAGATGTGCTGGAAGGGTAAATTATACACAGCATTCAAAGACTTAGTGCAAAAAAATGTAAAATACTTTCTCAATAATTTTGTTTTGTGTTGAAATGATAATATTTTTGGTGCATTGGATTAAATAAAATATATTGATTTTACTTGTTTCCTTTTGCTTTTTTAACATGGCTACTAAAAATCTTAAAATTATACAGGTGGCTCAAATATTATTTTTATTGGACAGCACTGATCGAGACCAATCCTTTCATTTTACAGATGATAAAACTGAGCTAGTGAGGTTAAGGGGCTGGAGTTGTTTAGTGAAAGCCACACAGCTAGTTAGTGAGAGAGGGGAGACCAAAACTCAGACTTCCCACCACCCTATCCAATCCTGTTGCCTCCTCACCCAACATACACATCAAATGTTTAATTCTGGAAGCATTTAAATGACATATTTGGTTTCTCTGTGGAAAATTGATGTTATTTTTATCTGATGTTCTGTACACTTGGAACAACCAAAGGATTTTTTTTCTCAATGTCCTTTGTTACTTTGAAAACTGTCTTTGTGAAAACATTTTTTTGTTATTTTATTTTATTTATTTATTTTTATTATACTTTAAGTTTTAGGGTACATGTGATTCAGTTGAAACGATACATGAATGAAAACATTAAAAAATTTTTTTATTAACAGACATGCCAGTGGACCTGGGTGCTTGATGTTACTTAACACAGGTATCATTTCCACTTTTTCCCTCTGCTCCAAGCCACAGGGAAACTCAGCCATTTCCAGGGCCCTTGGCTTCAGGAAGGTCTCTTGATAAAAATTAAACTAGATCCCACCATTTCATTTAGGGGCATATTCTTTGTTTGCATTGGTTTTGTGTTGAAATGATAATATTTTTGGTGCACTGAATTAAATCAGGCCAAGGAGGTATCATCAGAAGTTACTAGGTGGGCTGTAGGGAAAGTTCTTCCAAAGGGGGCTGACTCCAATATCAGGCTTCCTTTTGCCCTCAGGTCTGCCACTTGGTCGATCGGCGATGCAGGAAGCCACACTAAAGATGGCAGGGTGGGCAGACCCTGTTGACATCAGAGAAGTGCCCCACCAGGCCCAGGCTGCCTCCTCCTGACTTGCTGTAATGAGAAAAATAAAACTGCAATTTGTTCTTCAGGTCACTCTACTCCAAAAGTCAAATAAAATTTCTGATACAGGAGCCCTGTATCTCTTATCTGTCCATCACATAGAATGAAAGGGTTTTAGGAGAAGACTATTTTAAAATGCAGGAATTTGCCCAAATCTCTGATTTGACCCAGTCAAAATCCTTGTACTAAAGAATCCTGCAGAATGCCAGGCAAAGCAGGCTCCATGCAACTGCAGAGACCTTCCTGAAACCAAGGGCCCTGGAAATGGCTGAGTTTCCCTGTGGCTTGGAGCAGAGGGAAAAAGTGGAAATGATACCTGTGTTAAGTAACATCAAGCACCCAGGTCCACTGGCATGTCTGTTAATATCCTGGACCAGGTCATGAAGGAAGTAGAAGCTACCCTACTTTTCTTTAACTTTTAACTGTCTGCAACCCAGATCAAGCCACCCAGCCAATCTCTGGCATCCATCACCCTGGAATATACCAATGCCATCTCAAAAGAACTCCTATTTTGGGAACCACCCTTTGAAAATGTCAAGAGCTGTGGGTGTCTTCAAAATGGTGAAATTACTTACCTCTGAGTTTCATGGTCAGTATATGTTGCCATCAAAACCGAGTCAAAACAGCTGGATAACCAAGACAGCATACACACTGCCACATCAAAACTCACTCCGCAATTTCAGCTTCTTACTTAAAGAAAACAACAACAATCTTCTATTGAAATTTACTTTAAAGCAGAGCTCCAATTTACCTTTTGTTTTACTTGCACAATTTGAATTCTTTTTTTTTTATTTTTTAAACATTTTTCCTAAAAAAAATTGAGAGGTATAATTCTTTGGAATATCATTTTTCTATTTCATATATGTAAAAGAAATCAATAAAATAAGTTATAGGAAAATTTGTTCCTGGTGTTATGCATGTGTGTGTGTTTCTAGAAATCTAATGTTATTATTGCAAAGCACATATTGTCCTATAGATGGTGAAAGTGAGGTTCAGGAAGGCTAAGTAACTTATGTAATATCAGACAGCTAAGAATTACTGGGTTCAAATCCAGATAATGCCCCCTCTACATCCAACTATCCCAGGACTCAGCCTCAGAGTCATAAGTTATGATCCAGTTGAGGGAGGAGAAAAGGAAAAACTAGTTGGGCAGACAGCTAAAGCTTGTCTTTGGTAAAATTCTTTCAAAATGAAAGACAGCCTGAAAAATCAAGCTACAGGCACAAATAGAGCAGCCTGGGGAAAACTCAGGCTGCAGCTGCACAGACAAGCAAGTAAGGCCCAACATAGCAGCCTTTGTTCTTGGTGTAATCAGTGGGCTCCCACAGAAAGGTTTCCTCCTCTTTTCGGGCATGTACACAGTGGGCTCCATGGGAACTTGCACAGGGAGGTGGGGGACCTACCCAAAACATAACCACAGTAACCCGAACAAGAGAAGCTGTGCTTTGTGCTTGCCTAAGGACATGCCCGCAGCTGCACAGATAAGGGGAATTACACAAACAGCTACAGAGATGAGGGGAGTTTCTTATAAAAGCTTTTGAATTCAACTGTAAAAAGGCAACCCTCTTTCGGGTCCCCTCTGTGGCAGAGGACTTTCTTCTTTTGCTTATTAAACTTTCGTTCTAACCTCACCCTTTGTCCACACTCCTTAATTTTTTTGGTCATGAAACGAAGAACTCCGGGTGATGCCTTACAACGAGAGACTGCTACATTGTGGTGCATTGGTAAGACTGTCACAGAATGAGCTCTGTCCCCTTACTGTATGTGCACAGAGATCCAGAACCTTTCAGAGATGTTCCAGTTGCCTTCTAACTGATCCAGAAAGGCAGCTTAGTCCCAGAAAAGAGTATGTAGAGGTCATCAGATGATCTCAGACAGTCTGCTGTGTCCCAAAAGGGAGATAGGGGGATTTGCTCCTGAAAAAGGCTGTGTCTGGCTGGGCAGGCCCCATGAGCACAAGGTACCTGCCCGCCCAGTTGCCATGGGTCTCAATCAATGGTTCTTAAACTAATCAATCACCTGAAGAGCTTGTAAAATATATACATCTATATACATCTTCCTGTTAAAACTTCACCTAAGATGAACTGATCTGAATCTTTGAGGGTTGGGGTCTAGACACCCATATTTTTTAAAAGCAGACTGGGAATGGGAAAGGCAGGGTCATTGGGCAGCTTACTGTGTAAATGGCTGTTCTGTCTTCCCGGCCACAGCCTGGGGGAAGCAGGACAGAGCCTAATAACAAACATGAGTAATAATCATACTAAGCACCTCACACACAACCCTGAATGCTGGTGTCCTCAGCCCCAGAAAGGTTAAGAGATGTGCCCAGGCTCCTGAGCAATAGACCCAGGCAAACTAATTCAAATGACTTTTCAGCTTCCACCAACTCTGCTGCCTGAAACTTCTTGAGAGGCGCCTGAGACAGCAGAGCTACGCATAGATGCTGGTGGAGATGAGGGCTCAAAGTAGGAAAGACTCAGAGCCTCCACTGTGTGGAGAGAGATTGGGCAGAGAGGCAGGCACCGCAACAGAGGAGCACCCTTGGGGAGCAAGTCCTGGCTGGTGTTCTAGATGGTTCTGGCTGCCCAGTATGGAGCAAACCAAAATAAGGACCACCTCTAATCCACATTAAAAAGGGCCCAGAGAGGTGAAGAGGCCTGGCCAAGGTCACGCAGCTTCCTATAGGTAGTTTCCTTTACAGAAACAATTCTTTTTTGTTTTTTTTAAGATGGAATCTCACTCTGTTGCCCAGGTTGGAGTGCAGTGTTGTGATCTCGGTTGACTGTAACCTCTGCTTCCCAGGTTCAAGCGATTCTCTTGCCTCAGCCTCCCAAATAGCTGGGATTACAGGCGTGTGCCACCATGCCCAGCTAATTTTTATATTTTTAGTAGAGATGGGGTTTCACCATATTGGCCAGGCTGGTCTTGAACTCCTGACCTCAAATGATCCACCCACTTCAACCTCCCAAAGTGCTGGGATTACAGGCATGAGCCACCGCACCCGGCCTCCTTTACAGCAACATTTCTTGAGCAACCCTATGTGAGCCTGGCCATGCACCAATGCCAGATTTAATGATATCCTTTCCAGGAGTGTGCATGTTATGAAAGAGGGCCATGGGTTAGAGTAATATTGATACGCAATCAGTCTTCCTGGGGTCAGTCCTCCCCATCAAAGGAACTTTGGTTTGAAAGCAGGCACCTCCCTGAGACAACTACACCCAACACAGCTTGGTGAGTGTCACTGTCCTGCAGCAGAACCAGAATCACAAACCCACCACTGGGGCCCAAGAGCAGCACACACCAACCATCACCACCACCTGGACACTAAAACTCCCATTCCTGCCCCCACTCCCAGCCTGTTTCTCTCCCCTACCCCACAGCAGGCACAAAGGGATCCCTGAAGGAACTTCTGAATTCACAAGCCTCTTGCAAGCGCCCCTCCACCCCACCCAGAAAGGCACCAGGGCTCTCCACTCTGTGCCGGATGCCCCTAGCTGAGCCACAGTGTCCCCAGAGCCTTGCCCTAGCTCTGGATAAAACCGAAGCTGTCAGCATGCTAATTAGGACCTTGAGAGGGTGGGCTCATGGACTGACAATTAATAACTCCATCTCTCTGTTTCCTGCTGGCATATTATTAATTCATCGGGCCTCTCCAGTGGGGCCAGAGAGATAACACAGACTGTGAAAGTTCACATTTCAATTTGAGGCTGAGATGCTGAGGAGGGGTGTTGAGAGAAGTGCCAGTCCTCCGGAGAGTGAGGGCATAGCGTGGGAAAGACTTGTCCACAGTCCCACTTCTAGGACTTGACCCTACAGAAATGAAAGTGCACATCCTAAAGGCATGTAGGGGAGGCTTACTACAGCACAGCTGGTAACTGCAAAGCAACTGGGAACATCCATTGATAGGGTTGCTGGAATAAACTGTGGTTCAGTCATGCTGAGGAATACTCTGCAGCGTGAAAGAGATGTTATGGACATCTTTCCAGAAATGGCCAAAGAAAGATGCACACCATATCCTGTAATTTTTAAAAACTAAAAGAATAAGAGCAAAACAAAGACCTATATGTGTAATATAATTTCATGTTCATCACAGAAAGAGGGAAGGGGAGGAGGGAGGGAGGGAGGGGGAATTTTTCCCAGCTTAAGTATAAACACAGGGGAAAGAAGCAACCATAACAGATGGCAGCTGGGGGAGGGGCTGAGATGAGAGAGGAGTTGAGATGGGGAGAGGTTGAGGTGGGGGAGGGGTTGAGATGGAGGAGGAGTTGAGATGGGGGAGGAGTTGCAATGGTAGAGGAGTTGAGGTGGGGGAAGGGTTGAAGTTGGAGAGGAGTTGAGGTGGGGGAGGGGTTGAAGTTGGGGAGGGGTTGAGATGGAGGAGGAGTTGAGGTAGAGAGCAGTTGAGATGGGGAAGTCTTGAGATGGGGAAGGGTTGAGGTGGGAGGGGTTAGGATGAGGAAGAGGCTGAGATGAGGGAGAAGTTGAGGTGGAGGGGGTTGAGATGGAGAAGGAATGAGGTGAGGAGGGGTTAAGATGGGGGAGGAGTTGAGATGGCGGTGGAATTGAGATGGGAGGGGTTGGGACGGGCAGGGGTAGAGATAGGGAAGGAGTTGAGATGAGTGAGGTTGAGATGGGGCAGAGGTTGAGATGGGTGAGGGTTGAGATGGGTGTGGTGAGATGGGTAGAGTTCAGATGAGGTAGGCTTGAGATGGGGAGAGGGTGAAATAGGGAGGCGTTGAGATGAGTGTGGTTGAGATGTTGAAGGGTCAAGTTGGGGAGACACTGAGATGGAGAGGGGTTGAGTTGTGAAGGGGTTGAGATAGGAAGGGATTGAGTAAGGAAGGGGTTGAGTTGTGAAGGGGTTGAGATGGGAAGGGGTAGAGATGTGAAGAAGCTGAGGTGGGAAGGGGCTGAGATGGGAAAGGGTTGAGATGGGAAGGGGTTGAGTTGTGAAGGGGTTGAGATGGGCAGCGGTTGAGCTGTGAAGGGTTGAGATGGGAAGGGGTTGAGTTGTGAAGGGGTTGAGATGTGAAGGGGTTGAGTTGTGAAGGGGTTGACATGTGAAGGGGTTTAGATGGGAAGGAGTTGAGATGGGAAGGGGTTGAAATAGGAAGGGGTTGAGTTGTGAAGGGGTTGAGATTGACAGGGGTTGAGACGGGAAGGGGCTGAGTTGTGAAGGGGTTGAGATGGGAAGGGGTTGAGATGGGAAGGGGTTGAGTTGTGAAGGGGTTGAATTGTAAAGGGGTAGAGATGGGAAGGGGTTGAGATGGGAAGGGGTTGAGTTGGGAAGGGGTTGAGATGGGAAGGGATTGAGTTGTGAAGGGGTTAAGTTGTGAAGTGGTTGAGATGGGAAGGGGTTCTGTTGTTAAGGGGTTGAGTTGTGAAGGGGTTGAGACAGGAAGGGGTTGAGTTTTGAAGGGAATGAGATGGGAAGGGGTTGAGTTGTGATGGGGCCATGATGGGAATGGGGTTGAGTTGTGAAGGGGTTGAGTTGTGAAGTGGCTGAGATGGGAAGCGGTTGAGATGGGAAGGGGTTGAGATGAGCTGGGTTGAGTTAGGGAAGGGTTCAGATGAGGAGGAGTTTAATTGATAAGGGTTGACATAGGAAGGGCTTGAGACGGATAGTGGCTGAAATGGGGAGGACTTGAGATGGAGAGAGGTTGGGTTGAGGAAGGGTTGAGATGGGGTAGGACTGGGTTGGGGAATTGTTGAGATGGAGTGACAGGAGGGGGATGCAGTTAGACCTGACCACCTGACCCCAGTGCACCCAAGCTGGGTGTGTCCAGCCAACACTGTCTCCACACCAGGAGCACTGTCCCCAGAACTGACCACTGGTCTGTCCTACTCCAAGAGCAGAAAGAGAATTTACTGAATTCCTCTGTTTTCTTTATAAATTTGGGAAGGGTTGCAGGTTCCTCATCACCTGATCAGCAGGCAGTAATGCTGCCTTTTTAGAACAGCAGTGAGGCTGAGTAGTGGGATGTGAGCACAGCTGCAGAGGGTCTGCAAGGAGGTCCCCAGGAGAGGCGGGGGCAGGGACAGAGGGGAAAGGGGGACAAGCCCTCTTCCTCACTCACACGCCAACCCTGCATGCCTTCATTCCCTCCCTGCTACAGGCTTCGAGAGAAAAAGAGGAAGAGAAAGATGGTTAAAGGAGCTAAAAGCAGAAGAGAAGAGAAGGAGGACAGTGTGGCTGGGGTATGAGCGGCTGAGGTGGGGTCCTCAGAAGGGTGCCCCACGCCCACCTCCTTCTCTGCGCCTCAGCCTTCTCACCTGCACCTTCAATGAGAAGTTATGTGCGATTAATTTTAAAGGTCTTTTCATCGGTGCCTGGAATTCTATAGGTGTCTAACTCTGCTTGGGGTCGGGGGGGGGAGCGGGGGTGTACAGCAATTTCATAAATATTTTTTTCAGCCAAAAAGGCCAAAGCGAATTCCTCCAATTATGTTCACCTCCTCCACAATGAGCACTTCCTTTTCTGCACGTGTCTTCACCCATCCCCTCACATCCAAGAGGAAAACGCCTTTGGCTCATTTGCAGCCATGGGTCCAGGCAAGCCCTTAAAGATGGCAAGGGGTTGCCAGTGGTCAGGGAGGGGGAAGGCCCTGGACTGCGGTGGGAGTCTCGGGGCGCTCATCGTGCCCTGCCAAGGCCCTTCTCCTCCTGGCTTCGCTTTCCTTTCTTGTGATGTGAGTGCTGACCACCAGGCTGCCCCAGCCCCTCCAGCTACACAGCGGAAAGCATCCCAGTGAGACTGCGGCTGCAATACACAGAAACAACCACTTGGGGGCACCATAAAAGAAGAAAAAATATCTCTTCTGAAAAAGAGGGAAAACAAATTGAGCAGCTGGCGCTAGAGGGCGCCGCTTTTCCCATTTTCTTCAAAAAGGTGGCTGGGGGCAGAATTTCCGAATCTTGACATGTTCAGAAGACTGAAGAGCCTCCTTCTACAGATATGGCCATGGGAGCAGAGTGGAGGCAGCCCAGCGCAAGGGCAGGGTGGGAGAGAGGGGACTGATTCACCTGAGCCTCCAAACAGGGAGGAGACTCTGATGGTACCACAAAAGGAAGCACAGAACGGGCCGATCCGGCTTGAGCACCAGGCTGCAGAGTCTTGGGGGAGAGTCCTCCCCCAAGGCCTGCCTTAGAAGGGAAGAACTGGGACAACAGATCTCCCCCAGCCCTTGCTCCCAGCACTGTGCTCTGGAAAAGATGGAAACCCTCTGCTTTCTCTCAGGGCATCCAATGGCTTCAGAAAGAGAAAGGGAGTGGCAGAGAGGTTATGCATTCGTTCTCTGCAAGAGATGAGAGTCGCCAGGCACTTAGCAGGGGGCCAGTCCCCCTCCTTCCCAGTACAGGACCCTCCTTGTCACAGGCGGTCTCCACTGCAAGCACAGAAAACCGCGCTGCTCGCGCACCACCTTGTTTATTCTCAAACCCAGTTCTCTAGGGAAGCATTTCTAGAACTGCGGAAGGTTGAAGGGAAAGGCGAGTCACCAGAGACCAGATCTAGAAACAGCCTCTTTTTTCTAATCCCGGGAGGACAGGTAAGGAAAATTCAAGGGTGTGTGCTGAAGTTCCCCAAAGGATCATCTTAAAGCAAATCTCTAGAAATCACCCAAATTGTGTCAGTTCCTAAGGGAAGCCCAATTCTCTGGATTCTCTGCACCTTCCTGCTCTGCTCAGAATTCCAAGAAAGCAGGGCATGTGCTCCGGTCTCTTCTTGGCTGGTGGTTTTCAAACTTGCTGTTGGTTAGTGATAACCCAGTGTGTTGAAGGCTCATGATTTCTGTGTTCCACTGGCATATGTTTTGGTTTCTGCAACCCTGTTATACTACAGCCCTAGGATCCTGAAATGCCTCGTCTCTGAGTGAGAAGGTTGGATTTTGCAGACCTGCAAACTCAGGTGCCTTCAGGACCAAGTCAGTCCTCTAATAGCCCTAAGGCAGTAGGGAATGGTGGGGAATACAGTGACCTGGAGACTTCCTGCCCCCTCTAAAAACATACACATTTAAATAAAATTAAAATATCCGATAATTCAACAAAGCACTCATATATAAGAACAAATTCTGCCATGCACCCTTTTGGCAATAGTGGTTCCACAGATTCCTGTATTCTAACAACCCGAGTGATGTCTGATGCTGGCAGCAGGTGGCAGCATGTGGACTGAGGTCTCCACTTAGTCTCACTAGATCTGCAGGAGGCTGGCCGCCTTTCAAAAGGCCAGCAAAAAAAAAAAAAAAATTGGCCCAATGGCCCTTAAATTCACCCATAAAGCTTCAAGGTTGAGACAGGTGTTGCCTTACAGAATATGTTGCTGATGCTGAATGCGGTGTGAATGCCAGTGAGACTGTTGTTTGAATGTGATCACCCCTACTAAGTCAGCATAGCTGCAGGGCACATGAGACAGAAGTGGGTGGGACTTGCAGGACTGGTTCCTCCTACCTTGTCACTCACCACAGTCCACTGACCTTCACATAAAGCACCAGCAGTCACCCAGGCTCTCAGGACCCCAGCTTCCTCACCTGTAAATGAAGCAGCTAGACCAGATGAATAATAATAATGATCATAATAATGGCTCATATGCACTGACTGTTGACCTTGTGCCAGGCACTGTGCATTCCCTCCTGTAGTCTCCCACATGCTGCTGTGGTCCGTTGATGTATACAGCTGATCCCAAGCCTAACTACAACCTCTGCACCTTGGGCTTCGGCAAACCTCTGATGCCTGTCAGTTTGAGATAATGACTTCTTGATCTGTACATATAAACATTGTTGTAGGGATGAGGCTGATGATGAAGGCACATGCGATAGATGTTTTTACGTAATTTGGATATGAACCTTTTTTATAGGGGTTGGCTAAGGTAGTAATGATGGGTAAGATTAAGGGGATTAGGGTTATTATGGTAGTGGAAAAATACATGTTTGCTACTTTTATTTGGAGTTGCATCAATGTTTTTGGTTCCTAAGACCAACGGATGACTCTAATCCTTTCAAAGTTGAGAAAGCCATGTTGCTAGGCATGGGGGCATGAGTTAGCAGTTCTTGTACACTTTCTCGGTAGACAAGAAGTTGCAGGCTTCTATTGTTAGATTCACAATCTAATGTTTTGGTTAAACTATAAGTGATAGCAAGTGACAGGCTCCTGAAGGTGAGGAACCAGACATCAAGGAGAAAAACAACCAAGCATCGGACTAAGTACTTTACATGCTGTTTTTCCTTCATAACAATTCAAAAAGGTTGCTGTACTCATCCACAATCTAGCAAAAGAGCAAAATGAGGCCCACAAAGGTTGGATATCTTACCCAAAGTCAAATAAGACATGGCTCTGTGGTGATCAAACAATAGCTTGAAGGAGGACAGTTCTCATACAACCTGTAAGTTAACCAACCTGTGTTTTACAGCTCATGAATCTCCACACCCCAGGGGCTGACCCTGGTCTAGACCTAGAGCCAGTGGTGTCCTGAGCTTCCTGGACTAGACCGTTTGGTATGGCTAGGGCTATCAGAGGCCAGGTGAACACATAGATCGTAACTATAACCATAGCCACTGTTACGGAACATTCATAAATATTCATTCACAAATAATTACTGAGGGCCCATATGTCAGCATTGCCCTCAGCACTGGGGATATGGAGTGAACGAGGCAGTCAAATCACTGATCTCACGGCACCAACATTCTTGTGGGGGTTGGTGGTCAACTGCATAGGTGATATGGCACAGTGACCAGGTGTCTATTTTAGACTGTGTGATGAAGGACAGCCTCTCTGAGGAAGTATCATTTGAGCTAAGGTCCAAATGGCAAGAATGAACCAACCCTGTTGAGATCTGGAGAAATATTCCAGGCAACGGCAGGAGCCAGGGTAGAGACATAAACAGGCATAGCCTAAATAAAAGGCGAGTGGGCAGGAGCACAGGGAACAAGGGAGAGAGTAGATGAGGCCAGGAGTTAAGCAAAGCTCAGGTCGGATAGGGCTTTATGAGCCAGCAAAAAGAGTTCATATTGTCCCTGCCTGTTGTGTCAATAGATCACATTCTCTTATTCTAGGGAAACAAAGATGCAAAGACACGTTAGCAGGCCATTGCAATGGTCCAAAGGATAGTGGCTTGGAAGAGATTGGTAGCAGTGGGGATGGAGAAGTGTTTGGACTTGGGATATGTTTGGGAGATGTTATTGACAGGGCTTACCACTGATCAGAAGTGAGGAAAAATGGAGAGAAATAAAAGATAATGAGAATATTTGGCTCGGACAACTGGAGAAATAGTGGTGCCATTTACTGAGATAAGGAAAAATGAGGGGCCAGACAGGATCAGAAGAGGATCAGGAGTTTTGTTCTAGCCACATTATGTTTTAGAAGCTGATTAGATAGACAACAGTGCAGAGATGCCAGACAAGCATTTGGCTTCAAGAGTCAAGGGTTCTTTGGAAATTTACATTTGAGAGTCATCTGCAGATATGTGGACCTGGTGAGGTCACCCAGGGAGGCTGTAGGCAGAGAAGAGGCCCAGAATAACCCTGGTGCTCATCAACATTTTGAGGACCCCCCACCAGACTATATGATCTAATAAATGTGGTCAAACTTTGCAACAGGCTTGCAAGGTAGGTATTATTTCTCTCCTCTACTCAAAAAATGCGGAGGTTACAAAGTGCCCAAGCCCACAATTTACAAGTAGCATTGCAAGAATTCAAGCATGAACTGAGTTCCCGTCATTTACCCAGTGCTGTGCCAGTTACTGTAGGGACACCAGTGAGTAGGATGGCTCAGTAGAACAAACATGGGCTTCGGAATTAGAGGACCTGGAGTGAATCCTCACTGGCTCTGTGATACTGGGCAGGTAACTTAACCTTATCAAGCCTCAGTTTCCCAATATGAAAAATCATGTTGTTGCTGTTGTTGTTGTTGTTTTTCATCTGCAAATGTCTACTGAGTGCCTATTATGTGCCCAACACAGTACTAAGTAAAGGAGACACAATGGGGAGCAGACAGACTTCTCTGCTTACAATCTAGTGGGGGACACAGACATGTAAACAGGCAATTACAATGTAGTGTGCTAAGTACTATGATTATGGAAATACCCCCTCCCTCTTTATAGAGTAAGTCATACCAACCTACGCAGACTTTAAAGTTACACATAATTTCCTTTCTTCCAGACCCATATGCAATAATAGTGCCATACAAAATGTTTCTGTTCTTCATCATGGTACCTATTATTTCCATTAGAATAAATAATACATGCAAATCACCTACCATATAGCCAGTGCTCAATAAATGGTGGCAGTCATTATCAAGACATAGGTTTTTGACCTAGTACCACCTCTAACTTCGGAGCTCATTTTTCTCTCCTGTAAATTATAAATAATAACAGCTAATTCATGAGGTCATTGTGAGGCTCAGATGAGATCATATGTATGAAAAATGTTTTAAGCTGGAGAGAACTATATTAAAGTATTAGTAAAACATTGTGACATGCCCACTTGCTAAAGTTATAAAACTTAGTACACAATAAACACTTGGTGCTAACCAAGAGGTCCTCATCACCTGAAAAGTGGGCCTGAGGAAACCTTTAAATAGGTTCTTAGGAAAACAACATTCTGTACAAGAAAATCTGCTTCATCTGAAATCACCTAAAGTACTCCTTCTCCCATCAGCATTTGGCTTACCCAGCCAAAGACAAAAAAAAAATGCAGGAGACCTCCCAGGTTGGTTTCTAGTCTGTTTCACTATCACCAGGGTCCTGACTCAGTGTCTAGGAGACAGGATTTGTAAAGCTGGTGGTATGTGTCCCAGGCTTTCACCTGTATAAGCAGTGGACAGGGCCTTGGGAGGAGCAAGATGCTGTCAGGGCTGCCCACAGAGAACCCTGCCTGATTTCCCACTACAGTAAATCCAAGCCCTGGGAAAGGACCAGGCTGCCCCTGTCCTAGAGCCAAAGGGATCCTGTCTAAAGAACATAAGTCAGGAGAAGCTGAAAGGCAGGAGACAGAAGGGAGGAAAAATTTCCATCTCTACAAAGTGCATGCAGATCCTGGGCAGCCCTGAAGTGGGGCAGAGAACAGACTCCCCACTTCCACTGCTGACTATTCAACTGGAGGACTCTGCAGTCAGCAACCTGTACAACCACACAGTGGACACAGGGAACTCAGCTGCCTCCTTCCCTGGAACTTAGCTGATTAGAATGGATATCAATTCCCCTCAATATGTTTACTTCATCATTCTTTCAGCAAACACTTATTGTGAGTCAACTGCACACTAGGCACTGTTTTGGACCCTGAAGGTAAGACAAAGGCCCTGCTTTCAAGAAGCTTGCACTCCAGTGCAAAATATCTGTGCTTGTATGTATGTGTGTGTGTTTGTGTGTCCGTTGGGGAAACAATAAGGGCTATGATGAAAAATAAAGCAAAATAAAGAGGGAAAGAGAGTGACAATGGGGGAATGCTATTTAAATAGGGTGATCAGGAAGTTCTCTCTGAGCAGAAACCTAAATGAAATGAGAGAGGAGCCATCCTGATAAATGGGAAAAGCATTCTAGGCAAAGGGACCAGCAAAAGGCAGAGGCCTGATGTGGGAGGTCTGAGTACATTCAAGGCATAACAAGGGACCAGTGTAGCCAGTGCAGAATGAGTTAAGGGGAAAGATGAAGAAATCAAACCAAAGACATTCATGCATCTTTAGGAGGCTGGCTGGGCAGGGGGAAGAGGGAGAAGATGGAAATCATGCACTGAGCTAAGGACTGATATGAAATATTTCTTAAGACTCTTGGACAGAAACTACTTGTTCTACCTTTCTAAATCCTTTGTGAATCAAAAAAGAAAAAGTAAGGATCTTTAGCTGCAGTTGGGGAAACAGAGTCTAGCAGGGAGGGGCAGAGGCAGGGAGGCTCATTAAGAGGTGGTTGACATTATGATCTTGGGCAAGTGACTTAAACTCTCTATCCCCCAAGTGCAAAAATGGGGACAATAATGGTAATAATGGTACCAGCTTCAATCAATTATTACATGGATAAATTAATTAATATTTATAAAGTACCTAGAATAGTGCTGGGCATCTAGTATCATATACGTGTGTGGAATAAAAATAATAAAAGGTGCTTGGACCAGGGAGACAGCAGCAGAGGTGGTGAATGGTGATCTGATACATTTTGAGGGGGGAGACACTGGGGATTGGCAAGAATTGAGTGTCAATGTGAGAATCAAAATGACTTCAACATTTCTGGCCCCAGCAACAGAAAAAATGTAGGTTTAATGAAAGAGAAAACTACAAGAGAAGCAGGTTTGGAGAGAAATCAATATTTTGATGTTAGACATGTTCAGCTTGAGATGTCGATGGATGTACAAGTAAAGATGGTGAATAAGTGGGTGGTATCTTAAATTCAGGGAAGAGGTCCTGAGTACAGACACCAATTTAGAGGTCAGCAGTATACGATGCTAACCAAAGGTCTGGGACTGGGCAAGAGCACTAGGAAGTAAGCACTGGTGAGAAGAGAACAGGCTGAGGACCAAGCCCTGGGACATCCAGTGTTTAGTAAGGATTGGGAAAAGGAAGTGGAAACTAGCAAGAGATTGAGAAGCAACCCACAACATAGGAGGAGAACCAAGAGTGGGTATCGTAAAAGCCATGTGACAAAACACTTTCACCTGTACTCCTAGCTCAGGAGGCTGAGGCAGGAGGATTACTTGAGGCCAAGAGTTTGAGATCAGTCTGGGCAACACGGCAAAATCCTGTCTCTAAAAAAACATAAAATATAAAAAATAAGGACAAAAGAGTTTCAAGAAAGAGGAAGTGATCAAATGTTGCTGCTAGGTCAAGGAAGATGGACACGAAGGAACACCCATTGGATTCTGCCTTGGGAAGGCCAATGTCACCATGTCAACAGCTGTTTGTTTGCCTGGGACAAAGACCTGATTGGAATGGGTTCCAGAGAAAATTGTAAGAAAAAAAAATGGAGACAGAATAAACAAAGGGGCTCATTTTTCTCTACATGGGCAACAGACTCCACATGGAACTTGAGGGGTGGTCAGTCCACAGTAACAGAAGGTAAAGGCCTGGTACCAGGGACCAGATGCAGCAGGCGGTCAGTGCAGTGGATGGAGCCTGTACATGCCTCTCCTGATTGCTGCTATTTTCCCAGTGAAGTAGGAAGGCAATTGTAGTCATGAGCTAGGAGCGAGCTGGCAGGAAATGATGGGATTTGAGAGTTAAGGGAAAAGCATGTGAAATAATCTCTAGAGGAGTGTGAGAGTGAATAGAAAAGGGAAAAGTAGTAAGATTTCTGGGCAGGACTAAGGGCCAACTGGAGGTGGCAGTCATCAATTCACAGTGAGGTCAATCGGCGTGGTTGTGACTTTTTCTATAGCTATGGTCACCTGCCCATATGTACATGAAGAATAGGGGAAAGTGGGATTTAGCAGGGCTGAAGTCTTGCCAGACAAGGTATAACAAAGCAGCAGAGGGACAACAAAGTTGAGGGTGAAAATAAGGAGATTATAATGATGGTGAAGCATGAAGTACACTAGAAACCAACTTGAGCTCCAGCATTCTTGCCCTTTGTGGATGATTCATTCTATCTTAGAAGTTGGTAGAAGAAAGAGCTTGAGAGGGTAGGAGGAGACTTCAAGTGAAAGGTCACTATTTTATCTGGAAAATATGTTTGGTGCTTATGATGGAGTTCAGTTTGATAAGATGGGAAATGGTGACATGACTGGGGAAGGGGATAGTGAAAAGGTAATAGGATCAGTGTCTTGTGGATGCAGTAAGATTAAAGAATCTTGGGAACTGAGCACTAGAGGGAGTGGAGAGAAAAGAGGGGGTGATCACACAGTGGGATGCTTGAAACCGAGATTATGGAGTAATGCAGTTACGACAATGTCCAGGCAGACCATGGAGGTGAGCTGTCAGCAGGAAGCAAGAAGGCAAAGTCACCAAACAGAAGGGGCTAAGGAACCAAGAGGTCAGGGTGCAGGAAGGGTCATCTACATGGATACTGAAATCACTAAGAACTGCCAGCAGCTGAAGACGTGGGGAAGAGAGGCAGTAAACCCAGGGCTAACCCATTCTTCCTGGAATGAAGCAAGTGACTTGGGAGTTTGTAGATGGTGGCAACGAGGGGTAGTAGGTGGTATTATCTGATGACATGCACGCCACAGCTGGCATTTTTAGGACAGGAGAGGGGAGTAATGGTCTGGAAGCAATAGTGAGGAGCAAATTGCTTCTCTAGACTCCAGGGTCCAAGGCAGCGTGGAAGGGAAAGCAGCTGTCACATGAGGCAGCTGCAGAGCAAGCCGCATTCCTGGGGGGAGGCTCCAGCAGAAATAAGAGAGTGAAGGGGACTTCCAGAGAAGATGAGGAGGATGAACAGGACTTTGCTGATGATGAAACATGAGTGCCAGACAGTGTATTAGTGAAACCGTGCCCCAAAGAGTTAAAGAGGCCAATGACTACATTCTTTGGCTTACAGGATAGCAGATAAGAAAAGAAACAACCTGCTGAAAAGCTGAAGCTGAAACTGTGCCCCAAAGAGTAAGAAACCAATGACTAACAGATATTCTTGAGCTTGCAGAATGGCAGATAAGAAAAGAAACAACTTGCAGAAATGCTGAAATTCCCCACAACGTGAGATCAAGAAAAAACTGGCTGACATCGGTTGGAACCAAGATGGCCTGGCCTACTGGCGTCTGCAGAACAAGCCTGCTGACACCACAGCCTGAACTTCCATGACATGTTTCATACTAAGTCCTCAAGAATTTTCACATGCGACCTGTGAGGTAGCATGAAGAGATAACTGAGCATGTCCAAGGACTTTCCAGACCTCCCCTTTCCCTCCACCAATCACTTACTAATCCCTTGAACCTTTTCTAATGAAAATACTGCCTTGAAGCGAGGACAGAGAGACAGATTTGGGCTTGACATCCCGTCTCTTTGTGAATTGACATGCAATAAAAAGCTTCTCTTCTCAAAAACCCAGTGCTGTAGTATTGGCTTCTAGTGCCCCGAGCAGCAAGCCCTCTTTGCTCAGTAACATTAGGGTTCGTAGAACTGGGGAGGGGTGTGGAGAAGATCAAATTAAGGCATGTACAGAGCCATGAGGCTAAGGAATTTGGGTGGTGAGGGGAAAAGCCATGATGAGGCCGTGAGTGTTGGGGAGCAGAGAAGGATGGGGCAACATCACTGTCTCTATCACTTCCCATTTTCTTTTCAACCCACTCCAACTGGGCTACTGACCCCATCGCCCTGTGGAAACTACTCCCATTCAGGTCATCTCTGTGTTGCCAAAGCCAGTGTTTCCTTCTCTATCTTCATTTTATTTGACCTCTCAGCAACATTCTATGGAGATGATGACCTTCCTTCTGAACACACCATTTTCCTTACTTCTTTGTCCCTATACCCTCTGGTTACCCTCCCACCTCCTTCTACTCCTTCTCACCTCCTTCATGTGCTCTTCCTCCACTGCCACACCCCTAAAGGCTGACATTCCCCAAGGCCATTGATGTGTGTACCCTGGTTTACCTCTTCATGGACCTGCCCAAGTGAAAACAGTCTCCCAATCATCCCCGCCAGCACCCCAGGTAGGTGGCTGGTACTAGATCTTGACATCCTCCAATCAGTAAAGTTTAACTTAGAGACATAAAAGTTATTTCCACATTGCTAGTCATGGTAAAGCTAGTTTTTCATTGAGTATTGTGGGATTTTTTGGGTTAGGCCAGATGATAGGCATTGAGTGACATGAACAATGTGCATGACAGTCTCAGCCCTCAAGTTGTTCAGGGTCCTCTTAGAAAGATAAGATGGAGGTGCATTAAAAAATAGTACTTCTAAATATGAAGAAAGGCCAGCTATCAGAGCTGCATTGTATTTAAAGGAAGTCTACTCCCTCCTACTTGTCTTTCGAAGTCATGATGAGGTGACTTACTCAAGGTCACACCACTAATTAGGTCACCCTGGGAATTAGACCCAAGTCTCCAAACCCCAACACCAGTGCTCTTACCATGGCATCTCAATAGGTTGTTGAGAGAAGTACTTTGAGAGTTAGAATGAAAGGCACTGTGCCATCATGGTTAAAGGCATGGATTCCACAACCAGACTGCCAGGGTTCAAATTACTAATTAATATCAAATCACAGTAACAATGCGGTTGTTATCCACGTGACCTTGAGAAAGTCACTTAACTTCTCTGTGCCTCATTGGTTACATGTGGCTAATAACTGTACCTACCTCATAGTTATGGTGAAGATTAACATGAGTGGATATATGTAAGGTGCTTGGAATGTTGCCTGGCACTTAAAGACAGGTATGCAAGGCTCTAAATACTAATAGTGCTGAGAGATGAACAACCAAGAGATTTGTTGAATGCTGGCTGTGCCCAACTCCTCTCTGAATCCCAGGAGCCCGGCATACATTCGGACTCACTGAATGAATGAATGAGCGAACTAACAAACATTAACATCCTTATGAAACAGAGATCAGCTCATTTACCCCTACTTGTATCATCCAGAACATTCACTGAAACCAAGTAGGTAAATCCCACCACGACCACCACCATCAAAATACATCTGTGACTAATCTCTTTGTACTTGATGACATCTAGCAAGTCAACAATCTAAAGCAAGAAGAGATGAAGACATACAGACCACAGGGCATGCCAGCATGCCGAGTAAACTCCGGCATCCACAGGACAAAGCAAAGTCCTTCTATGGAGCAAAAACCTGGGGCAACCGAGAGAATTAAGTGAAATCCCATCTTCCTTTAATTTAGGACTCCTAAGAAGAAAAAGCCAAAATTCTCAACAGGTGTGAATTAAAGTTGGCCTTTTGCCCTACACAAACAGAGCAGAAATAAAGCCAGGAGTGGCCACACAGATCTTGGACATTTTCCTCCATCCACTGGAGATGTGCCCAAAATGTAATCATTCATCCAAGGAGGATATTAAAAAGGCAGGGTTAGCTGCAGTTCCTGAAGTAAAGATGAAATAGATGATCCACGTTGTGAAGGATTCTCCCTGGCTTTCAGGAAAGCTCAGAGAATGAAACAGACCCCAGTTCTTTCTCCACAGGCTCTTAGTAAAACAAGTGAGCCTTGGGGGCAAGGCTGATTCACCCACATCTGACAGCTGAACGCCTCAGTGAGGCTGGACGAGGCCTACAGCCGGGTGGTGAGATCAGGGACTGACCACGAGGACCTCATCCAGAGGGTCCAGCCTCTCGTTAGTCGCAGCACAGCGAAAGCATCTCCCGACCCTCCAGGGCGGCCTCACGGGGCCCATCCGCTCCAGGAACCCACCCCGACCTCAGGCCCAGCCAGCCATGCCCGCCCCCGCGTCCCCGCCATACTCACTCCCATTCCTTGCGCCGGGCCTGCGGGGTGCTCTGCATCTTGTGCGCCTCGTGGGCCTTGATGATGTCGCGCTGCTCGATGAGGCCCCCGCGCCGCCGCTTCATGACCTCGGGGCTCACCGGCAGGAAAGGGCTGGAGCCCGCCTCCAGTGCCATGGCGCCCTCCCAGCCCTGGCCCTCGCCCTCCTGCACCTGGAAGAAGTTGTCGAAGCCAGAGGCGGCGCGCGGGGAAGCCGGCAGCATGCCCACCTCGTCCGAGGCGTCGGCCTCGAGCAGAGCGCACTGCTGGGGCCGCCATGCCTCTTCTTCCGGCAGGGCCAGGACGTGGCGTTGGCGGCGGCCCGCGGACCTGGGCTCAGGGCTCCCCGCAGCCGGGCAGGGGGCGGGCTCGGGCAGCCTGCGGTCTGGGCTCAGTCCACGCATCTCGGGCACCATCACAGAACATTGCTCTGTGGGAGGGAGAGGGCAGAGACAAGGAGTGGGGAAGGGAGGGAGGGAGGAAGAATGGGGCCAAGGTCACAGGGAAATAGAGAAGAGAAAGAAAGAGGTTAATGGCATTGCCTTCCAGGCCAAGGCTTCTGGCTTGCTCAGTGCTACATCCCGGGCCTGACCCACAAACTGGCACACAGTGGAGCTCGATAAATGATGTTGAAATTAGGAGCATCCGCGGCGGACCAGGCTGGGCCCCCAGGTGTCCAGAATTTAACAAAGTGGACTGGATTCTTGCCCTCATAAACTTACAGTCTACTGCAGAAGACACAGATTAAAGAAATAATGATATGCCGCGTTGGTAAGGTTTAGAGGTGCTGCAATAAGGAGAGAACTCCGAGGGCCGCACATCTCAGCCCCACCTCGGACAGCTAGCTGGCTGTTCCCTCCCATTTTTGGTAGAAGAATCCCTCTAACCCCTTCCCCAGGGCCCACTCTGGGGGGATTGCCACCACCACCTGCTGCCCTGCCTCCCAAGTGCGTGCCTGGGGGCACCAAGCCACAAGGTGGTCTCTCCTTTTTTTTTTTTGAGATAGGATCTGTCACCCAGGCTGGAGTGCAATGGTGCAATCACGGCTCACTGCAGCATCAACCTCCCAGGGTCCGGTGATCCTCCCGTCTCAGCCTCCTGAGTAACTGGAACCACAGGCACACACCACCACATCCAGCAATTTTTTTATTTTTTGTAGAGATGACGTTTCCCCGTGTTGCCTAGACTAGTCTCAACTCCTGGGCACAAGCGATCCTCCTCACTCAGCCTCCCAAAGTGCTAGGATTACAGGCATGAGCCTCTGAGCCCAGCCTAAGGAGAACTCTTCTTGAGAACTGGGTCCTGTATGCAGGTTCCTTCCTCCTTTTTTAATGCCTGTGCCTGCCTCAGGACCTGGGGCCACGTGTGACTCAGATGCCCCTGCTGCTCCCCTTGGCATCATTCTCCTTTTCCATGCCAAGGAGGACATAACCAGATTGGCCTCTGAAAGACGTACGTATTCAATCAGCGTTGACTGAGAACTTACCATGTGCAAGGCACTGTGCCAGGCACTAGGCACAACAACATGAGCTGGACTTAGTCCACATCATCCTCATGGAAGAGGCAGGAAGAACATCGATTGTGACCACATCACAGAATGTGCTATGATTGGCGTAGGCCTGATTGCTAGAGGAGCACATGAGAGGCACACCTGGCTGGGCGCAGTGGCTCACGCCTATAATCCCAGCACTTTGGGAGACCAAGGCGAGCAGATCACTTGAGGTCAGGAGTTTGAGACCAGCCTGGCCGACATGGTGAAACCTAGTCTCTACTAAAAATACAAAAATTAGCCAGGTGTGGTGGCGTGTGCCTGTAATCCCAGCTACTTGGGAGGCTGAGACAGGAGAATCGCTTGAACCCGGTGGGCAGAGGTTGCAGTGAGCTGAAACCGCACCATTGCACTCCAGCCTGGGTGACAGAACAAGACTCCATCCCAAAAAAAGAAAAAAAAGAGGGGCACCTAGCCCAGCTGGGGTTGGTCAGGAGGGCTTTGTGAAGGAAAGGACCCTGGAGCCGGGTTAAACAGAGTTTGCCAGTTGAAGAACAGGAGAGGAAAACAGGCAAAAGGAAGAGCATGTGCATGAGAGAGGATTTAGGGAAACCAAAGGATTCTTCCTGCCTCCCTGGTCACTCCTCTCTCCTCCTTTGTGCACTGTTCCTCCACTACTACACCCCTAAAGGTTGAGTCCAAAGCCATTGAGGTGTTTTCCCTGTTTTACGCCTCATGGACCTGCCCAAGTGAAAGCAGCACTCCAGGTGGGTGGCTGGTACTAGATCTTGACATGCTCCAATTAGCAAAGGTTTAACTTAATGAGAGACGTAAAAGTTACTCACACATTGCTAGTCCCCACAGCAGGTCTAAGTACTGGGGGGAGTCCTTGTGGCTTGAGAGGGCCTGAACTTACCACCTTTTCAAGATACCTGCTTATTGCCTCCCTCCTAGCCAGGAGCCCAAAACCAGAATTCCTCCCAACCACACGTCTCAGTGACCACAGGTGGCATCTAAGAAGTGTCCCGTGCTCTACATGCTCAGAGGAACTCTGGCCTCCAGATCATTCAACCAGTGTTGGATGGTTGAGCACCCACTATGTGTTGGGAGCTGTACTGGGCCCCCAGGGTGGCATCCTCCCAGAAAGTTGCCCTCCAGACACCATCTCCCACCCCGCCTTCCCTGGGTTGGACGGCAAGTCAAATTGCAAGTCACAAAAACAAAGACTATTTCAATGGTTAGGAATTATAATGATCTAACCATATCATTTTATGGATGCTGAGGTCCACAAAGGTAGAGAGCCCCACCCAGGATCACACTGCCAATAAAAAGCAGAGCTGGGAGAGAACTCAGATTTCAAGTCCTAGCTTATGGTTTTCTCCACTATATTGATCACAGTGTCTCTACCACATGAAGCAGAATCCATAAATGCCTCTCCCAGCCCCCCTCCTCGTTATGCTAAGATAATAAATAGAAACAAAAAGTCTGGATGAGAGGATGATCTTAGCGCATACATGATAAAGCCTGATGGGAGCATTCAGTAGACTCGGACGCCCCTGGAGCCCTAAGATACCTTCTCTATTCGTCCCCTTCTCCATCTCCAGCATCTGGACTGGTCTTCCTTGCCCTACCAGCACCACACCCTAAGGCCTCAATGCTTTTGAGCTTGAAGCTCCCAGGACATGGTAGCCAACACTCGGTACTTGGCCACCAAGGCCAGGTCAAGGGATCAGGGAGAAGGAAGATAAGGAGTCCAGAATGAGCTTGGTAAGGAGAAGAAAATGTATTCCAAATCATGCCAACAGCTGGGTGGGTCCCTAGAAAGAGTGATTCACGTTCCTCACGTTGTCATTCTGTCTCAACTCCCCTTGAGGGATTTTAAATTTATCCTTCATTCCTACGATGTTTAAATGTCTCTCCCTCACCACATGCACGCGCACACCCCTCCCCTGCTGCTCCCACTCCCTCCCCAGGCCTTAGCATCTCCAGCAACTCCAAGAATTCTCAGGCCCTGCTGGCTGCAGCCTCCTTTCCCTCGTGTCTGTCTGTGACAAAGGCTCCTGGGCCACCCTCCCAGCTCTCACCAGGCCACCAGTACCTGGCTCCCCACCTCTGTTTCCTGACCCATCCCACCCTCTCTCCTTACATGATTTCCTCTTCCCAGACACTTTGCCAATTTGAATCACATCTTTGCCAAAATTACAACAGCAATAATATGCACTGCGGAGCTCCAGCTTTATGTTATGAATATCAAAATATGAAATTATCTCATCTTTCCTTTAAGAATTTCTGTTAAACAACCCTTCTATTATTGATACAAATGTTCACCAGGAGGGTCTGTTGCCCCCACTGCTTGCCAAGCCGATCAGTCCCCAGTTCTGGCTAGCACCAAGCCGAGATCTCAAGCAATTCAGACAAGCCAGTCTATATCTTCTAGGAAAGGACACTCGAATCTATACTTAGCCTTCCCCCTCCAATCCCCAAATTCTGGCATTCCTTAAATTCCTTGAGATCAACAATTTTGTCTTGTTCTTCTTTCTATACCCAGCACCTAGTACTGAGTTCAATTCATATTAGGTGCTTATGGTGACCATTAGTGCTGTTTGCCAAATATTCTGATTATCCCCTTCTTGGGCACACAGTAGGATGTACTTCCTGGCCCTCTATGGTTGAGTGGGGCCATGTGACCATTTTGGCCAGTGAGTTGTGAGTGGAAGTGATATATGTTACTTAAGGGTAGCATTTAAATGCCCATACAAAACTCTCTAGAGCAAGGATTGGCAAACACTGCAAAGGGCCAGAAAATAAATATTTCAAGCTTTGCATGCCATATAATCTCTGTTGCAAAGGACCAGAAAATAAATATTTTGAGCTTTGCGTGCCACACAATCTCTGTTGCAACTATTTAAACGCTGCTGTTGTAGCATGAAAGCAGCCAGAGAATATGTAAATGAATGGGAATGACTGTGTTCTGATAAAACTTTATTTATAAAGTCCTGTAAACTTTGGTCTTTCATCTGCGTCTCTTGGACTCCATTATTGTCATTCAGCCTACGCCCATGGAAGCAGGTTCTACAGAGAACCTGGCAAAAATAGGAAATGGAGATCTACAAAAGAGAATGAGGGGTGGACCCAGGTGAGCAGCTTCCTGAGAGCAAAGTTGCTGTCCTATAGCTCACACTCAACACTCCTGAAGAGAGGGAGAAGAGGGCCTGCTTCGAAATTAAAAGTTATAAGATGAGCTCTGCAAAACTTGCCCAAGAACGAGCTAATGAAAGCTTTGAGAGCACCAGTCTGACTCTAACCCTTGCTTCCTACCTACTTCTCTTCTTATTCTTCATTGCTAAGTTTGGTTAATGAGCAGAGGGTGTGATTTTAAATTATGGGGATCCTGGGGTGGAAGAGCGTTTAGTGTAATCCAGCAGCCCCAGAAAAACCCTTCCCTTCCCTGTCAGGGCACAGTGGAATGGCAGAATAAGGGCTCTCTTCCTCCACCCCCACACAAGCACCCTGCACTGCCAAAAACACTCGAGCTCATAGCCTACTTCTGAAATTGTCTTCCCTGTCACCCTTCCAGAGTCAAAGTCAAGATCTTTGTCCATGAAGAAATATTATGTCCTTTGCACCATCTTTCCCTTTATACCCTATCAAGAGTTTTACTTCTTAATTCATCTATTTTTTACTGCTTTAGAAATAATGGTCCATGCACCCCTTTGGCTTATCTGTGCCTCTCAGACCCTTAAAGATGAGTCTGTCACATTGAGGACATTCATCTTCCTTTCCTTGGGTGCATGCCCATCCTATTCCCACCCCTCCACCACTCTCTTTCTGATTCCTCCAGAACATGTGCATCCTCCAACTTACCTTGTGAGAAGTGGATACACCAGCAAGTCAATGAAACTCATGCTTTTCTAAGTCTACTATCTTTATTCCCTGAAAGTTCTGAGTTCAGCAAAGAAATCTCCACTGCATAGACCACCAAGCACATTGGCTAAGAGATAGTGGACAGAAATGGAACTGATGAACACTACGAGGTGAGTGGTAGGCATACAAGTGTCCCCAAGCTGGCCCTGAGCTATCTTGGCTCTGTACCCTCTGTCTGCCATAGGCTGGATGAGGGTAAAGATGTCCTAATTCCCACCTGTTAGAAATTAAAAGTTATAAGATGGAAACAAATTTTGAGATATGATACTCTACAACTTATATATCGTGTTGAGTTAATTCTAAAAATGATTCTCTTGAGAGAGAACTGATACAGTAAAATGGGTTTCCTGCCCAGCAATAGGAATGGCAGGGAATGACCTACTCAGCATACTCACCCGCCTACTCTGAGAGGAAACATTCCCTGTGCAGAAATAAATATTCATCTAGGGATTTTTCTTAGCTGAGCCAGCCTGCTACCTGACTGAAAAAGGAGGAGTAAAAGCTGGGCATGATTTTCATTTACCATGACTTCCTAAGACCGCACTTCTCAATCTCTAATGTACATCAGAACCATCTACATTGCTGGTTAAAAATGCAGATTCCTGGATGTCTCTTCAGAGATTCTCATGCAGTAGATCTTGGGTGGGTTCAGGAACCTACATTGTTAATAGACACCCTTTCCCCCTAGGAACCATGTCTTCAAACACTGTCCTAAAAGCAGTGTGTCAGCCTGAGAGGTTGTGCTAAGTTGGTAAGAGGTATTGTCCTGGATGAGTCAGGTTGCTAAAAGCCACTAGAACAGTGTCCTTCTCAATCATTTCCAGTCTATATCATGAAAAGAACATAGCAAAACACACCCAGGAAGTGTTCCCTGACCCACCCCCACTCCCTGCAAAGCTCTATTCTCCCCTGGACTGGCATCAGTTTTTGCCTACCCCACATTCCTCTCCATGTGCCTATGTTGTTATGGTGACTGTTCAAGGATGGGCTAATGTCCAACAGCAATTTAACAGGCTGGTGCATTCTGAATGTAAACCAAGACTCAAGGAAAACACAGCTTCAAATATGGAGTGTGCACTAAGTCAGTCTGAGTCTCTGCGGAGGAGTTGAAAGAGTCCGTATTCTGGTATCAGAAGCTCTGGGTTCAGGCTACATTTCTGCCACTTGCTAGTCAAGCAACCTTTAGCTTGACTTCTCTAGGTCAGTTTTCTCACATAAACAATGAGGATAATAATATAACCTGCCCTACAGAAGCCTGTGATAAGAATCAACATAGTATCTGGGGAGGAACTTGGAACTGTAAGTTAGGTAAATATGGGGCAAAAAAATAGAAGTTAGGAGCCTACGCTCTGAAGCTGGGTATGAATCCCAACTCCACGCTCACCAACTGAATCCCTCGGCAAATTACATAGCCTTGCATATCTTAATCTGTAAAATGATCATACATCATTTTACAGATTAAGTAGATACATGTAAAGTAGATACATCCACTTTGGGAGGCTGAGGCGGGTGGATCAAAAAGTCAGGAGTTTGAGACCAGCCTGGCCAAGATGGTGAAACTCTGTCTCTACTAAAAAGACAAAAAAATTAACCGGGCATGCTGGCAGGTGCCTGTAATCCCGGCTACTCAGGAGGCTGAGGCAGAGAATTTCTTGAACCCAGGAGGTAGAAGTTATAGCAAGCCGAGATCGCGCCACTTCACTCCAGCCTGGGAGACAGAACGAGACTCCATCTCAAAAAAAGAAAAAAAAGAAAGGTAGATACATCATAAAGTTGTGAGAATTAAATACAGAAGCTCATAGAACAGCACCTGGCCATAAAAAATGCCCAATAAATATTAGCTACCATTTTTATTATGTAAAATAACTTATGTTTGTATTAAACAACCTCAAAATATCTATAGCTTAATAAAATAAAAACTTATTTCTCTCCAATATCACTGTCTAATGATGCAAGTTGGCCTGGAAGATGGGAAAGAGAGACTCTGCTCTACATAGTCATTCAGGGAACCAGGTTCCTTTCATTCAGTGGCTCTGCCATCCCCTGGGGAAGGGTTAAGCAAATTTTTTTCTTAAAGGGTTAGATAGTAAATATTTTAGCCATTGCAGGCCATAAGATCTTAGTTGCAACTACACAACTCTGCCTTTTCAGTGTGAAAGCAGCATAGACAATATATAAACAAATGGATACGGCTGTATTTCAATAAAATTTTTTATTTACAAAAACAGGCACCTGGTCCTGCTAACACCCAAGCCCTGGGCCTCAGAGTCTTCCTAAACTCTTTTTCTCTCCAGCTGGGAGACAAAGAAAAAGACTAAGCACTTGAAAGATTTTGCATGAGGCTTACAGGCAAGGCCTAGAAGTGGTGTATATCAACTCTCCACATTCCATTAGCCAGAATTCAGTCACCTGGCCCTGCTTAACCACTGGAGAGCAGAAATGTAGTAATTGTAAGCATTCAGTAAGTGCTTATAAAAGGAAGGAGTGAGGGGAGGAGAGAGGGAGAAAGGTAAACAGGTACGGAGGAAAGAAGATATTTTGCAGTTTCCCATACTTTTCTAAGGAACTTAAGGGAGGTAGAAAACTAAGGACAGAAAACTACTCCTTGGACAGTCTCTGGAAGGAAAAGTCACTAGGAGTCAGTAATAGTTAACTGGAAAGAAAACAAAATGCTACAACCCCTTGGACTTGGAGAAACAAATTGAAATGCCAGTTATCTAGACTGGGATAGAGAAGGGCTAGGGGCTAACTTCCAGAAGCCTCTATATAGTCCCTGAAGGGTGTTTGTCCAAACCACTGCAGCATCAGGCTCAGACAATGGCATCTGCAATGCTGCAAAATCTTCTCCAATAGCCTCTTTTCTATCAAAACATTTCTCAAGTATCAATCCCAGTAGCACTGGGGATCTCCAATTAGAGCCTCGTAATATCCCTCCCACCCACTCAGACCAAGATTACCTGAAGTGATTTTCTTGGAGGTGATTGTCTTTTAAAGGGAGTACGTTGGTACTGCAGTAAAGTTATGGACAGCACTGTTTGTGCTGGCAGATTAAATCTCCTCTCTGAGTAGGGTCATAACAGCAGCACAGGCTTTCAAAGGTACTAGCCCAGGGGCAACCCCTCATGCTGCAGCTCTAAGTAGGGAACACGGTTTGGACTGGGAGAGCCAGTCTGAGTTGCCACCTAGGGAAACAAGAACAAAGCCCAAAGCTGGACATATGGGGCCTACAATGTGGTCTTCATGGAGGACACCTCACAGCCCTCGAGTGCCTCACATGTTGGCCAGTTGTGAACCTCTGTGCTGGTGGCCTGAGCTCTTCCCCATCTGGCTGCCAGGCCTGGCCCCTTCTGGTCAGATTCCATCTGACCTATCTCAGAACCCAGCCTTTTTGCACACCTCAGCTGTGATCAAACACGTGGGAAGTTCAAAGAAGCTTGACAATGAGTGGGAAGATCTTGGGTTAGGATCTGGATACTCAGGAGCTGATGGAAATGGAAGAAGGGCATACCTGTGCCTCCAAAGCGTGTCTGATCTCTGAAAGCTTTTAGGATCTTTTCTTCATTCCACTCTCTTCTCTGTGCCCTCTGACTTCTGTTTTATGCTTTTTCTTTCTGGTCATTTACTACATATTTTACGACATGATTACCAACAATTATGTTATAATTAACCTGCTTTTTAAGCCAAAGAATTCATTGAGAACAAAATTCACATTTCTAGAGATAATGTGGCCTGAAGGATTTTTAGCTCAATAAATGCATACTGAGCACGATGTTGGCAATTCCAGGTGCACAACTCAGACAGGTGTTCCCTGACGTTCTGCAATAAGACACAAGGCACTTGTAAGATTAGACCAACAATTACAATCCAATTGAAAGTGCCCACATCTCTCCAATGATCTAAAAAGGAAAACTGTAGTAGGCATTATGTTTACCTCCTCAAGATCGTTCCATCCCCCAACCTTGTGCACCGTCCGTACAGTTTGGGGGATGGGCTCCAGCTCCATAGCAGGTTCTAATTAGACTAATCCAGTCAAGGTAACCACATCCCTTTGCCAGTGATTAGTTAAGGAAAAGGCATGTGACTCATTTAAAGCCAATGAAGTATAAGGTAACATTTACTAGGGTTTTGGAGGGAAAATCTCCCAGCTTTTAAGGGAAGGCTAGAAAAAGAAGTGGCCCCTCTCTGCCTCTGGACAGTGTGCTGCACAGATGCAAACTGTGAAACCGCTGCCACCACATCACTGCCAGCTGAGGATAAGCCTGCCACATGGAGGAGAGCAGGGCCAAGAAAATCACAGGAAATGGAGAGGGAGCCCCAGATTCAATCAACCCGGAAGCCACCCCACCTTAGACCACCAGCAATATGAGCCAATACAGCTCCTACTGGCCAAAGCCCATTTGAGTCAGGTTTTCTGTTACTTACACCCCAAAGCACATTAGTTGAGGGAGTTCCCATATTCACCTGCAAAATTATAAGATTTTAAATACTCCACATTCTACAAAGCCATTTAATTGTTCTGATCACAGCAGGAGGGAGTCTTCTTATCCCTCTCTATGTTTTTTGGTTGTAGTTCATCCTCTATAAATGGACACTGAGACTTCACTTTTGCATAAAATTCTTGGTCAGTATTCTAACAATCCTCAGAATAATGGAAAAATGACCCAATCTAAACTGAATAAAGTTAAGTTCAATTGGGCAAGCAGTAAGTTTGAGGTGGGGAAGTGAACAGTGCAATTGGGTTATATGTAAAAGGCCTTTCTGCAATTCAGTAGGGTAGAATGAGGATGAGGGGTCATACTAGACACCACCTCCACCACCATCATCAATAAAAATAATGGTTAATATTTATTGGGTTCTTAATTTTATACTAGATACTATAAGGGGCTTTTATGCAACAAATCCTTTACATTTTTACTTAATTCTCGAAAAAAATCTTATGAAATAACTATTACTGTGAACTCAATTTTACAAATGAGGAAACTGAGACTTAAAAGGATTAAATAATTTTCCCGAGGTTAGGATCACACAGTCATTAAACGGAAGAGCCTCTTATCCAGATCTGACTGACTCCAAATGCCATGCCACCATCTACTGCACCATGCTGGCTCTAATAATGGTATTAGTTCCATTTCTTGAACTCAAGACCTGAAATTCATGTTTATTAACCAACCTATTGGGTAAGTACTTTTATCTTTCCCATTAAGTAAATAAGAAAACAGGGCACAGAAAGTTACCCAAGGTCACATAGCTAGTAACACTGTACCTAGAATTCAAAATCTGATTCCTTACCTAATGTCTCTCTGGAAGTTGAAGTAAGGATAGTATAGGTTGTACTTTGAAAGTAGATGGGCCCTCAAATAGTCCTGTCCCTTGGGTATAAGACTGTGTGTTTCAGTGATGGCATGTACATATGTACATGTGTGTGCAGGGGGGTAATAAGTTCATACATGTTTGTGCCAGGTTCCACCTGACCCCTCCCCCAGGCCTGGCTCCTTGTCTTTATGCAGGTCCATGTAGAGGAAGCAGAGCTGTTGTCAGCAGCACTTTCTAACTAAGGACAGTACTGCATGGGGACGGAGTACGCTCTGGCTTGGCACAGCAGTCCTGGGCCTCTCCAAGCAGCATCATCACAGAGCAAGCTCTCAGACTGCCCCAAGAGGTAATGGAAAGAAGAGGTGGATCATCCTTTGTGATCTTGTGATTGCCTGATGGGAATGAAGTGATGGCTCTGCTCTGGGAGGAAACTAGGAGGAATGGGAAAAATGAGTCTTGGGACCCTTCCCACCTCTTTCCCTGGCCCCTGGGCTCTCTCTCACCACTTATACCTCTGTCCCCCAGCTGCCAGGGTCTTCACACCACCCTCTAACTGTTGCCAAATTCCTGTCTTCACCATAATATTCTACAAAATCCCCCATGATTATGGCAACACTACTCTTCAATCCAAAAAGGAAGATAACTGGTCTGAAAAGAATATTTTTTCTGATTCGCAAATTTATATATAAGAAATATCTCATCTGGTTATAAAAATTAGTATACCTTTAGTTGTGTTAGCAGATCACCTTCTTTGAAAATATGTAATGATACAAAACGGGAGTGAGAGAATGTCTGGGCCATCAATCATCACACACAAGCTCCAAAGTGGCCATCCTACATTTCTTCTACTTCTTCTCAGACCAAACACAAGTGCCCCAGGGCCAGGCTCTTCATTGGAGATGAAAATCGCTGACATAAATAGGCGGTATTTAAGGTGTCGGTATTCTAGGGAGCTGGGCCACTTAACAGCCAGGCAGTAATTCCAAGAGGAGTCAAGAAGAGGGGCCTCTGCTAGCAGGCATAAGAAAGATCCAATGCTTCAAAGTGCAGGGCTGCCACTTCCTCCTGCCACACATCTTTCAAGCATTTTAGCCTGATGTTTCCTACATAAAAATCCGTGCAGTTTTCACTGAAACTAGTTGAATCACAGACAATACAGAAGCTCTGTGACAAGAAGCCCTCCTTTATCATAGGAATTATAAATATAAACTTCCTTTTTTTGAGCCAAGCACCATACTGGAGGTTTTACAAGCCTTACTAGCCAATCTCCTCAACAATCTTCAAGCTTTTTTTAAAGTGAACTGAGTCATTCACTCATTCATTCAACCATTTACTTATTCAATACATTGACAATAAGCACCTATTACTTGCCCAACATTGTGCCAGCCACCAGAGCTTAAAACAGAAAAATAAACAGATTCTAACATGAACCTTGATTTGTGCTCAAGTGGAAAAAACAAATAAGGTTCTCTGGGAGGCTATAGAGGGTCTTGGGGAGTTGGGGAGGCTGCCTGGAGGACAGGGTGTTTAAGCTAAGAACTGTGCATCATGTCAGGGTCAGCAAGGCAGGAAGGATGGGAGTTAGGGTGGACTGCAACTGAAACAGTGTGGTCAGAGTAGGCCTCACCAAGAAGGTGACATTTCAGCATATTCGAAATAAGTGAGGAAGTGGCAATTCTGATATAGGGAAGACAGAAAAAGCTGCACAAAGGCCTAATGAGGGAGCATGCCTAGAATGTTCCTTGCTAGGAGCAGCAAGGAGGCCAGTGTGGCTAGAACAGGAGTAGCAGCAGATGATATCGGCGATGTAATGTTGGGGGGCAGATCACAGAGGGCCTTTGCCTTTTGCTCTGAGGTAAGTGGGAAGCCTTTGGAGGGTTTTAAGCAGGCATGACACTCCTGTGTAGCTGCTGGTGAGGACAGACCGTGGGAGAGCAGGGGAAGAGGCAGGGAGACCAGTTGGAAGCCATTGCAGCCATAATACAGCAAAGCGTGACCCTCTCAAACCCTGGACAGAGACAGCTTTGCAAAGTGCCTGATCAATAGGAGCTCAATGTACCCCAAGGGAAAACACAGGCCATCAGGACTGGGGAGAGGCAGAGAGAGAGAGCCCGTGATGGCCACTCCCTATCCCTAAAGCTCCTGTGTCTCCTGAGTGGTGCAGGAGGCTCTCTGAAGATTTCCTGTCTTCAGCACACGACCTTGAGCCAAAGAGGGGCACGGGGACCTTGCCAATGGTCCTAAAGGGGTCTCGAGGCTTGGGCAAGGAGGAGACAGGGTTCATGTATCAGGAGACAAGAGGCTTGGTAGGGCATGGGGATGCTTCAGCAGCTGATGTGGTGGGGGAGAGGTGTCAATGCCCACAGACAAGGAGGGCCCTCTTCCCTGCAGCCACGGCCAGTCTGCAGCCTCCCCAGAGGGTCTGCAGCCCAGATGCCCCACCCCAACGTCAGGCCACATAAACTTCAGGAAAGGAGGGGTAGCAGGCAGCTGACTGTATATACATCAAAGGAATGATATATATAATCAAAAGAATGATAAATCATCAGTTAACTAGAAAACCTCTGGCTAGAAATAAGGTAAAACATAAATTTAAAAAGATCAAGTTGTTTTCCACTAAAGTGGCTGGAAACTCAGAAATCTAGCAAGATCCTGGAAATAATGAATGCTAGATTTTTATAACCTGAGTTTTGTGAAGCAAATTCAAATCTGCTTCACGATGTACCCCTGGTGGGGGGGAACACTGAGATATAGCATAGAACTACAGTAGATCAGATTCCCTATTATTTATCTGGGTCACCTGTACTATTCATCCTTCAAAACATTTAAGGCTAAAATTTAGCAATGAAGGTCTTAAATGTTCAAGGTTACCACTTAGGGCCTCACCTGTAATTTTTACAGTTTAAATGTCCATTACTATGGCATGGGTTTTGTTAGCTTCATCCCAGGCAATGATATCCATGAAATTGTGATTTGTTGTACTAATTGTATTTTTACTATTTTAACAGTAAATTCCTTACCAAAGAAAATCATCAAGCATACCACCCTGTGGGAAACATCTAACAAGTCACACTTTGGGAAACACTGTCCTCACTGGCACGTAGTATCTACATAATATTAAACAGTCATCTCAGGTGTTAATGCTGAACATGAGGTGAGAACATTAAAGATCCCCCGAGCTATCTTCCCAGTCCTGCTGGAGTCAGCTCGATCACATTCCCTCCACAGTCATTCAGTCTTTGAACACCTCCGTTGACAGGGATTTCACTATTTCATTACCACCCTCTTTCCCCCACCACCCAAGCAACTATTCCAACTTTAGATAGCTCTATTAGGATGATCTTTCTTACTCTGAGCTGAAATCAATGTGTGTCAACACAGAAATCAGTGGTCTGTAAGTAAACACAATTCATTCACCTGTGGCCACCTGGGACAATCTAGAAAAAGAGGATGTAATCAGCAATAAAAACAATGAAGAGAGGCCAAAAATCAATGTATCTCCTGTCAGAATAGCTCTACGGAAATAACTCAGTGTTTTCTAAATTGACTTAGAAGACCACAAGATTTTTCATTTGCTTTTTTTTTTTCCTTCTACCTCTTTTCCTTTAAAAAAAAAAAAACTCTCTAAACTTTCTTCCCTGTGAAAAGCTAATTGTAACTTTCCTGCAAGCCATTACTCAGGTTATTTTGGGAAGAATCAACTCCTACAACTTCAGAGGAAGGACGGAAAGGTCACAATACTGGGAAGAATCAAAGGATTGAGGGGATGTGGTGGGGGGACTCACTGAAGGACCCAGGTTCATGTGAGGCAGAGGAGATTCTCCCTAATATTTATGTCCTCATAGTGTAGACAGAATTTCTGAAGTGACCTTCTACACAGCAGCATTGCCTGGAAGGGAGGAAGGGAGCTCTGTTTCCAGTTGGATCTCCATTGCCTTTTGCCTTTTGATTCAAGCTGAAAGGCTGATTTTTAGGGATGGGGCTACAGATTTCAAAGGGGTGTTGGTTTTCGCTTGATGAAGTCAAAGCCAGTGGAAACTATGACTATAGTAGGTCCAGCTGCACTGCTCAGACCTCGTTTCTGAAAGTGAGACAGGATGGAAAGTGGTCATAGTGAAAGGTGACCAGGTTGGGTGGGGGTGACAGAGCAATGCTGGTGCTTCATGGAAGCCAGTCCTCCTTTAGCTCATGGAGGGAGGGCACTCCGCACACCCTGCTCCAGCTGCCAGGAGGTGCCTCCAGAGTTCCTGCGCTTTGAATCAGCTTTTCTGGCCCTTCTTGCCCTTCTTCCAGCCCTGGCTTTGCAATTTACTGGCTTAATATCCTTGAGCAAGTCAGCCAACCTCTCTGGGCCTCAGTTTTCTCATCTGTAATATGGAGATAATTGTCCTTTCCTCCAATAGATTTATTATGAGGGTTAAATAAAATAAAGTGTGAGCATGCACTTCCTAAGCTACAAAGCTTATGGAAGAAATTGATGTGATCTTAATCTAATTTAAGGTTTTGGCACCAAAAATAGGTGCAAAGTTTTGTTTTTATTTTGTTTTGCCTTGTTTGTGTTTTTCTGGAAATGGTGATAAAGGGAGAGCTGGTCCTTGCACGTCAAGACTCTTCAGAGAAGGAAGGGAAATTAAACTGCCCCTCCTCTCAGCCAAGGCATCTGGGTAGAGCCTGTGGCTTTCATAGATGTTCAGATGGCAGCAGTTTCATTTTACAATTGACCTCAGAAGAGACAGAGGTTGAAGCAACAGCAGAGGGCTGAGCTTCAGAGTGGGGACAGGAGAAAGAGGCGGCTTCCCCAGGCAGACACTAGCTTAATAAGGTGACATTTGCACATTAGCAGCAGGCTGGCTAATTGATTTGTTCCTGTTACAGGAGCATCTGTCTCTGCAAAAAGGCGATGGCCACCAGCTCTGGCACAGTTGCTAGGAGAGTGTCCAGGATCTCTCAGGTCATTTTTTGCCCTAGCCAATAGGGTAAAAGCATTTTGAGAACCAGGAGAATGCCAATGAGAACTGACTGGAGTACAAGAAGGGTAAGGGCTACATGTGGAATCCCCAGGGCTGCGGAGCTCAGCAGGGAGAGGGAAGGACAAGACGGGATGAGGGGGAGGGACACCAGGTCCTGGAGCTGGATTCTAAGCATCGCTGATGTAGCCCATACAAAAGTTTTTCTCACTTTCCTCCTTTTTCCTGGAGTCTTCCTAGTGACGTGATGAGAGGCTGAAACACCCCACCCTGTCCAGGCGCAGTGGCTCATACCTGTAATCCCAGCACTTTGGGAGGCCGAGGCAGGCGGATCACTCGAGGCCAGTTCGAGACCAGCCTGGCCAACACGGTGAAACCCCGTCTCTACTAAAAATACAAAAATTAGCCTGGTGTGGTGACGCATGCCTGTAATCCCAGCTACTTGGAAGGCTGAGGCAGGAGAATCACTTGAACCCGGTAGGTGGAGGTTGCAGTGAGCTAAGATCGTGCCACTGCACTCCGGCCTGGAAATAAACAAAAAACTCACCGAGGCAGGGGCCTGGGTTTTGTAAGGGTTCAGGACAGAGTTCCCATCCACCATTATTGTGGTGAGACGTAGTAATAGAAGAGAATTCTATAATGTGAGGCCTGCTGGGAGCATGGGAGGCATCAGTGAGGACTGATGCTCTTGACCCTCCCAGAGACATTCTGAGAGCTCCTGTAGACCTCTGCCCTTTTTTACTGTGAAGGTCTGTTTGGTTGCCTCTAGAATTCCCTCATCTGGTGGCAGAAAACCCACCTATCTTCAGGGCTTGGAACTACCCTACAAAGCAGGTCTGCAGCTTGCAAGGGAGTCCCAGCTGTTCCATTGGCCAGGTTCGCTGCAGAGGTGTTCAAACCAGGCATCTTCTGCAGGCTGGACAGATGTGTTCTACTCTTAAAATAAAGTAGCTCCAGTCTTTACCCAAGTCCCAGAAGAAGAAGTAGTTAATGGAAATAATTTTCCCAATTTTAAGATTTCTCTCCTGTGATTTATTTTCCTTAAACTCTTGAGATCTGATACCTCTTGTCTCTATAAGAATGTAGTGGGTAATTTTATCTGTTTTAGCGTAAACTATTTATTCTGGGTTGAGGGAATCTCTGTTTCTATGTTATTCCACATTGTTCTACTCAGGACCAGGCTCCAGCAATTACCTTTCTCTTCTGCGTCATCAATTTTTCACTCGTTGGATTACTCCTATCAATGTGCAAACATACTGTTGTTTCTCTCATCTTAGAAAAACCACTTCCTTCATCAGCTATTTCCTGATTTCTTTGTTCTCCTTTGTGACAAACTCTTCAAAAGAGTCATTTCTATTCACTGTCTCAGTTCTCCTCCTCCCATCCCTTCTTACACCAACTTTGATCAAACTTTTCTCCCCACGCTTTTGTTAAGGTTATCAATGCCCTCCACATTGCTAAACCCAATGACCAATTGTTCTTGTCATGCTTGATGTGGTAGCCAGCTTCCAAGATGACCCCACCTCCTGGGATGTTCACCTTTGTGCGGTCCCCTCCCACACTGTACCAGGGTTGGTCTGTGTAACCAAGAACATTCAGAGGTGATGGCATGACACTACCACAGTTAGGTACAAAAGACTGTGGCTTCCGTCTGGGGTGCTCTCCTGCAGTCTGTCTCCCTCTTGGGCCACTTGCTGTGGGGGAAGCCAGATGCTATGTCATGAGGCCACTCAGATGGCCTACATGGCCAGGAAATAGGGTGCCAAGAACTGCAAGAGTGAGTTTGGAATGGGATTCTCCAGCCCCAGTTGACCCTAGAGATGACTGCGGCCACAGCTAACAACTTAATTTCAACCCGCAAGAGATCATGAGTCAGGACTAGCCACCTTAGCAACTCCTAGATTCCTAAGTCTTGGAAACTTTGTGAGATAATACATTTTTGTTGTTTTAAGCTGCTAAGTTTTTGAGTGATTTGTTACACAATGATAGATAGCAAATACACTTGACTCATCACATTATTTGACATAATTGATCACTCTTGCCCCCTTGAAACACTTTCTTCATCTGGCTTCCACGACATCACACTCTCCTGGTTTTCCTTCGACCTCATGGATCACTTCTCAACTTCCTTTGCTGGCTTTTCTTCTTCTGCCTCGATTCTTTAAGCTGGAGGCCCTCATGCCGCTCTTAACCCCAGCTGCTCTTCAAACGCACAAACCCAGGAGGAGGTTCTTGGTACCTGCTTGTTGAAAGTTCCAAATATTTTTTCCAAATACTTGAAATGTAATGGTTTTTAAAGTCTTGAGTCCAAATGAGTACTCACTGCCCCCATCAGAAAAGATGGTGACCTCATCCAGTCATGTGATTTGAATTACCATATATGTTGTCAACTCCAAAATTTATAACTCAGCTCAGACCTTTCTCCCAAATTTCTGACTCATATAACCAGGTGCCTCCATGACTTCTCTACTTGGATATATAACATACAACTCAAATTCAACATGCCCAAGTGTGAACTCCTAACTTTTCCCACCCAAGCCTGCTTCACAATCTCCTTCTGAATTGACGGCAGCTCTGTCCTTCTGGTTGCTCAAGCTGTCCTTGACTCCTATACTTCTCATTCCCCATATCCAATCATCAGTGAATGCTATTAAATCTACCTACAAGATATATAAAAAGATCGAGTCACTTCTCACCATCCACTGCTACCATCCTGGTACAAGCCACCATCATCTCTCATCTGGACACAGCAACAACCTTCTAACTGGTCTCCCTATTTCCACCCTTACCCCTCTACAGTCTATTCTGAACACAGTAACCAATGTGCAGCGTGAGCCTCTTAAATAGGCAGAGCACATCATTCCTCTCTGCATAGCATCCTGCAATGTACCCTCCCTTCACTTAGAGTAACAGCCACAGCTGACCTCCCAGTGGTCAGCAAGGCCCTGCACCATCTGGCTTCCTGTTACTTCCCAGACTCTACCTCCTTCTAGTCTCTCTTTCCTCTGCTCCAGCCACACTGGCCTCCATGTTGTTCTCGGAACATGCCAGGCTCACTCCCACAGCATTTGCACTGACTGTTTCTTCTGTCTGGAATGCTCTTCCCCTAAATATCATTCTGGCTAAGTCCGTCATCTTCTTCACATATTTGCTCAAATATCACCTTAACAATGATGGCCTGTCTTAGCCATCCTGTAGAATCCTGCACACTGCCCCACCCTCAGCACTCCCAATCCCCCTTATCCTATTTTCCCCTTTTCCCCCATAGCACTTATCATCTTTCAACGCATTAGAAGCTGTATTTGTTTATGATAGTGTATTGTCTATCTTTCCCTGCTAAAATCTAAACTAGAAAAGGGCCGGTATCTATGTCTGTTTTATTTGATGAGATACCCCAAACCCTTAAGGATTTTTGGCATGTAGTCAACACTAAAAATATTTTAGTGAATGAGTAAATTATCTGAAATTGTTACAAAAGCCTCACAAAATGTTCTGTATTATCCACATTTTACAGATGAAGAAACTGAGAAAAGGGAATTCACATTTATCAGTCTTACTATGTGCCAGACACTTTAAATATGCTATCTTATTTAAACCTCCCATTTTACAAGGCTCAGAGAAGTTAAGTGGTTTCCAAAAGTCACATAAGTGGTGAGAAGGCAAACTCTGATTTGAACCCAGGTCTGGCTGGAGATAAAGTAAACTCCCCCACCACTCTTCCCATTCTTGTATCAAGCACCTTCCACACACACCTGGACTGAGTCAGCAACCAACCGTCCCCTGAGAAGCCACCTTTGGCCAACTGAAGTCACCACATCACACTCTTGCAGGGTACCTTACAGGCCCTGTCTAGAGACTAGGAGCCAATCCCTACTTTTCTTCCTATCCCCAGGTTCAGGCACTCAGTCCCACTCAGTCCCACAGTGGCTGACAGTCACACAACATAACCCGAGCTGCTCTTCAAAAGCACAAACCCAGGAAAAGGTTCTTGGTACCTGCTTGTTGAAAGTTACAAACATTTTTTCCAAGTACTTGAAATGTAATGGTTTTTAAGGTCTTGAGTCCAGATGAGTACTCACTGCCCCCATCAGAAAAGATCACCAGTCCTTCTTGGCCAGGCACGGGGGCACACGCCGGTAATCCCAGCACTTTGGGAGGCTGAGGCAGGTAGATCACCTGAGCTCAGGAGTTCGAGACCAGCCTAGGCAACATTGCAAAACTCTGTCTCTACCAAAAATACAAAAAATTAGCTGGACCTGGTGGCATGTGCCTGTGGTCCCAGCTACTCAGGAAGTGAGGTGGGAGGATCGCTTGAGCCTGGAAGGCAGAGGTTGCAGTGAGCCAAGATCACGCTACTGCACTCCAGCCTGGGTGACAGAGGGAGACCCTGTTTCAGAAAAAAAAGAAAAGAAAAGATCACCTACCCCTCCAACAGTTCCATCCTCAAAGCCTTGAAGACGACATAAAAGACAACTAATGGTAATAATAACTAATGTCCTGTCAGCTTTTACAATAAGCTAGACATTCTTGAATCCTTTACATCTTGTTTAATCCTATGATAATGCTGTAAGGAAGGTATTATTATTAACCCCATCTTACAGATGAGGAAAACTGAGGCACAGGTTTATCAACTTTCCTAAAATCCCATAACTGGTAATTGGTAGAGCCAGGATTTGAACCCCGGCAGCCTTCCCCCACAGCATGCATTTAGCTGATAAACACATTTCAGCATGAAAGCATGTGGAACATGTAAACAACACCTGCAGCTGTTTATGCCTCCAGCACTCCACAAAGAAAATCCATTCACACTCATGGCAATGCCTGCATTGGCAAACTGACATTATAACTTCCAACACAGATATCTGCAATTAACTCCTTATCATTTCACAGATCTCATTCTTACCTCCCTGAAGAACCAGCCCTACATTTTCCACTAGATCAGTTATGTATTACTCATTGCTAAACATAACATTTCAAAATTGCCAATATCACACAATACCTCCATGCTAAGCTTCCTCAGCCTGCTTCCCATCTCAGCCTCTCTCTTGCCACTGTCTTTTTTTCCAGCTTCCTGTTAATTAGGGGCAGCCTCCCTTCTCTTCATGAGTCACAGTCTCACATTTGGTTCCAATGACTGTATTGCTCTGTCTTATTTCTAAAGCACCCTTTTGGGGTTCTGAGATCACTGATCACACATTTCTACCTGCTCAGCTTCTTCTCCTTTGTTTTATTGAACACTGACTACTTGATCTTTAGGACTGAATACATTTCCCTTCCACAGATGTTGGTCAGGCATCCGCTGTGTTCCTGCACACAGTGATGACATCTCTGGTGAATACAAAGACTTAATGACTCCCTGTCCTGGCCATGGAAGAGCCTGAAATATTTTTGGAGAGGTAAACTATCCTTCTTTGGCAAAACTATGATCTTACCAAGTAGTAAAAGCAACCTTAACCCTTTTAGGAGCTCTGAGAAGGAAAGCAAGATCCCTGAGTGCTGGAGGAAACCAGGAAGGCTTCCTGGAAGAGGTGAGGTTTGAACCATTCTTGAAGAATGATAGGAATTGAATGAAAGGAATCTTACATGCAAAGGCATGGAGGGTGAAATTAGTAAGTCTTGAGTTGAGCGTCAGGAAAAATATTCCAGTTAGAGAAACATGGAAGGTAAGATTGGATGAGAACCTAAAAGGCTTTAATGCCAGATTAAAAGACACTGGGATTGTATTCTGGAGGTACCAAACTCCCTATTCCTTACCCTTTCTGTGCTGATCTACCACAGACCTCTCTTAAGAATATTCTGTGCTTATCCTCCCAGGCTCAACAGGAGGCCAAGAGAGGCTCTTCCTCATTCACCAATCCCTGGCCCAAAAGAGGTCTGTCCTTCCACTAAACACACACACACACACACACACACACACACACACAGAGAGAGAGAGAGAGAGAGACAGAGAGAGAGAAAGACAGAGAGAGAGACAGAGACAGAGAGAAGATCTGGAGTGGCAGACCAGATTCCTGTGCTATGGTACTTTCTGACAGACAAATCCAACAGCCTTCTATTCCACCTACGAGCCAAACCCAGTCTGCATAAATAGTTCAGCCAGTGCCTGAAATTTACTGCACCACACTCCTGTCACATCTGTTTCCACCCTTCAGCATTCCCCAGACTCCCTAGAGAACTGGCTCTAGCAAGGTTTGACCACTGGGAGGCCCCAGGGGGAGACTAGAAGAAAGAAAGAAAAGAGGAGCCCGAGTATTTCCCCTCTCCCTCTTGGCTCTAGCTGGCATTAGTTGGCCATGGTGGTGTCTCCTTTGCCACGGAGCTTCCCCCCCAGACAGCCCCTCCCACTGAATTCCCAGCTACCCCCAGGCAGGACTCACCATGGTTGAGTAGGTTCCAGGTTCCAGGGCTTGGGTGCCTCCAGTGTAAACATGGTAACGGCTGCCTGCCCTGGGTTGCCTTCCATCTCTATTTGTACCTATGCAACCAAATCTTTGTATTAATATTCCCTGCTTGAAATACCCAAAGTTGTTTCACAGCTGGATCCCGACTAATACAGAAATCTACAAAGGTTTTTAAGCAGGGGAGTGGCAGGATCTTAGATTATTTTTTGAAAGATTACTCTGGCTGCTGCAAAAACTGCTGATAAAAGAGGAAAATGAGTAGAATTTTAAACCACCCTTAGGTGAGGCTTTTTCAGTAGTCTCAGCCACAGGTGATGTGCCCAGGGCTCCAGTGGTGGCAATGAATAAAGAGTAAAATTGAGAGCGTTGAGCTCTCTTTTTAAGACAGAAGCTAAGCAATTTGGTGATAGATTGGATGTGGGGAAGATTAAGAAAAGGAGAGAATTGGTGATAACTCCTCCAGATTTTTGGCTTAAGTAACTGGGTGGAAATTACAGAGATGGAAAGGTAAGGGCAGGGGCAGTTTGGCGGCCAATCAGCACATCAATCATCTCCTCCTTCATGAAGCCTCGGGCATCTTTCCAACAGGAAGCAATTTCTCCCTCCTTTGTAATCACACAACACTGGAGACACACTATAATTACATAGTTACATGTCCATCTGACTTTTTCCCCTGCTTGAATGCCATGTGTTATAGCTCACTGTATCTCCAACTCTCTGACCTCCACAGCATTTACGGTTCTAGGATGTTGAGCCACAGGGCAAAAGCACCGAGCTGGCAGCCTAACAGAACAGAATCATCTCTAGGCAACAGATTTCAGGCTCAAGCCTCGTACTACACAAAAGCATATGGCTTTCAGCAACCACTCTGAGCCCTCGCTTCCAGTCCTTGATGTGCTTCCCTGACTCATGGATTTACACTCTCCTACTTACGGGCAGCTGTCACTGACCTCCATGCCCAGAATTCTTCTCTGTCCAGCCCATGATTCCATCCTTTGTGGCAGGAAGGACACGCAGAAGCTCAACAAATGTCTATTGAACTGAATCAAGCTGTCATGACCAAGCAACAAAAACAACACCTCTCCTTTTACAGGTTCTCTCGACTTCTTTCACTTTCCTAACTTCTCATAAAAAACAAATAAATAAATAAATAAATAAATAAATAAGGTGTCTCCTCTCCTCTCCTGGGTAATCACTGCATTCAGCAGAAGCCCCTCCTAAGGCGGTCAGGTTAGCAACAGTGGGAACCCTGGCGCCATCGCTGATCCTGTTCCCTTGGGAAGGTGGCTTAAGCCCCCTCCCACTTTGCTCTTCTGAACAGTGGACACATAGCCCTGCCTAGGCTCAGGGGCACCGTCACGAAGAACAGCAGTCAATCACACGGCAGCAAAGTCCTCGTGCTCTCAGGAAGGAAAGTCCTTCCTGGGAAAAGGAAAACAAGCTTCTCACCAGTCCCATGCCAAAGCACAGTCAGCCTCCTCTAAAATCATCTGTATTGTGGCTGCAGCCACGTCAGTCTCCTCCTTCACTTTCTTCCACTGCCTCTTCATTGATTTTCTGAATTAACCTAAATCTCTGTGTCTTCACTTGAAGTATCTCTTAGGACCTATGCACATCTCTTGTCACATTTCATTCTCTCCCTCAGCTCCTTCTGCTCTAAATCAGCACTGATCTCCTCAGCAGCCCCAGTAACAAAGATTTGCAAGTGCCACTCTGGGTGAAACACTGTGCCAGACATGGCTGATGGAAATGAGAGGCTTGTCCAGCTGGAGCTGAGAGTCCATCTGAGGACACGGGACCAAAAGTAAAACACACACAGACACAAGCCACTACCTGGGACCTCCCTGCGACACACGCATGCAAGAAATTTCTGCTATGGCACTATTCTCCACATCCTGCATGAAGCCAACCACTATTTTTCTGCTTCCTTAGGGTCATGGTACAGTCCATCCTCATTAATTGCAGATTCCGTACTTGTGAACTAGTCTAGTCACTAACGTTGATTTGTAACCCCAAGACCAACACTCACAGCTCATCTGTGGACCTATGCAGGGTGTGAAAAAATTAGTCGCCCAACACACTCTTTCTCAGTTGAATTCAGACAGGTAACACGAAGTCTCCTTGTTTCAGCTCTCATGCTGTACACAAGGGCCCCTTTTGTGGTCTATTTAGTGCCATGATTTTTGCATTTTTGCACCTTCTGTTGATGATGGTGCTGCTAAAATGGCCCCAAACATAGTACTGAGTGCTGTCTAGTGTTCCTAAGTGCAAGAAAGCTGCAATGTGCCTCACGGAGAAAATACACGTTACGTAAGCTTGGTTCAGGCATGAGCTACAGGGCTATTGGCTGAGAGTTCAATGCTAATTAATCAAAAATGTATATTAAAGAAGATGTCTTTAAACAAAAACATACATGAAACAAGCTTATGGATTGATCATTTGATGAAAATGTTGTAAGCAGAAGCTCACAGAAACCTAACCCTATACAGTCATGCACCACAAAACAATGTTTCCATCAATGTCAGACAGCATATACAACGATGCTCCCATAAGATCATAACACGTTTTTTTTTTTTGGAGATGGAGTTTCACTCTTGTTGCCCAGGCTGGAGTGCAATGGCGCCATCTTGGCTTACTGCAACCTCCACACCCCAAGTTCAAGCGATTCTCCTGCCTCAGCCTCCTGAGTAGCTGGGATTACAGGCATGCACCACCACATCCAGCTAATTTTATATTTTTTTTGGTAAAGACGGGGTTTCTCCATGTTGGTCAGGCTGGTCTCAAACTCCCGACCTCAGGTGATCCACCCGCCTCAACCTCCCAAAGTTCTGGGATTACAAGCGTGAGTCACCGTGCCCGGCTTATAATACCATATTTTTATTGTACCTTTTCTATGCTTATATATGTTTATTAGATACACAAATACTTACCATTGTGTTACAAGGGCCTACAGTATTCAGTGCAGTAACATGCCATACAGATTTGTAGCCTAGGAGCGATAGGCTATACCATATAGCCTGGGTGTGTAATAGGCTATATCATTTATGTTTGTGTATCTGTGATGTTCACACAATGACAAAATCACCTAGCGATGCCTTTCTCAGAATGTATCCCTGTCATTAACTGACACATGACTGTATTTCCTCTTTGTCTAGAAGCAATGGCTCAGCATTGGCTAATTGAGGGCTCACGGCGACCTTCTAGAACGTTACCGCAGATAAGGAGCACTCACTAACTGGAGCTCTGTAGTCTCCCACGGTTCTCTTAGGCTGTGTCAAAGGAGTGGAACATCTAGCATGATGTTCCAGCGATGGCCGTGCTCTGGCTGCTCTGCTAAGACCACCGCTGGGTGCTCCACTCTCCGGGGAGAAACAAATGTCTATCGGCCAAGGTGACCACAGGAATTGAGACCTTATCCTCAGAGCAAATGTTGAAGGAACTCTTAGCTATCATCAAATACCAGTTCACATGAAGGAGGGATGATCAGGCTTGCTTTATAGGGTCCCAAGGGGGAAGGTTGGGACCCAGGAGTGAACACTACAAAGGGCAGATTTTAGCTCAACCTAGGGAAATGTGTTGCAATAGTTAGAGGTCCTGAGGTCAGGAGGGCAGCCTCATATGGTAATGTAGTCCACGTCGCTGCAAGTGACAACCACCAGGAAGGGACACAAAAAATGCAAGCACTGACTAAATTACATTTGAAAGTCTGTTATTCTATGAAAATACGTTCCCCAAGTAGGAACCAAGACTCTGCCAGGGCAGGATCCCTGTTCCAACACTAAAATTACCACGTCTCCAGTCTCCGTGTACTCTGAAAATGGGGCAACACCATCTGCACTTCCAGTTAGAGAGAACTAGCCCTGGGCACCGTGTCGTGGGCCTTCTGCTGCCACACAACAGAACACACTGAGGAGCAGCTCTCCCTTGGGGCAGGAGCTTCATATACCTTTGGCTCCTGTGGCTGAGGGGAGCTGGGGAAGAGGCAGATCATCTATTACCCCCAAATCCATTCAGAGCAATTACTATGAGGACATTTCCTTTTATGCCTCAAGCTGAGCCTAAAACATAAGCATGGAAATAGGCCCTTTTTTTAATCATTTTAAAACTAGAAGCCTCAGTGGGAAAGTGATTTGACTGTCCAGAGAAAATACAGGAATGGAAAGCAAGCTCGCTGTCACTGTAAAGCACTCAAAGGAGCAGCCCAAGTGTTCAGGGTGGTGACAGGTGCCTGCCTTTCTGCAGGAAAGCTGAGAACTCCCTCCACCTCACCCCACTCACAGCACAGAAACACCCGAGGGCTGGGCAAATGAGACTCTGGAAGGGCTCCCAGAGGTCACACGGCTTGGCTTCTCAAGGACAGACATCCCCTGTGTACTCTCGGAGGGCTGGGGCACACAGTCCTCACGGGCAGCCCATCTGCAACACTGGTATCTGCATCCTTGCACTTTCTACCCATCAGCCCAAGGAAATCAGGAGTCAATCAATCGAACAAAAGTTATTCAATGAACTCAGGCCATGTGGCCTGCGATGAGGCAAAAACAAAAGCCCAAGAGCGGTCCCCACTCAAAGCGTGTGCAGACTCATTGAGGAGAAATGGGAACACACATAGTTACCCAATTAACCAAGAGATTCAGTCAGTACAAGAGGCTTCAGTGTTTGGGGAAGGCTTAAGAGTTGCAGAAGGGCCTACATGGGGGTGCAGGAGGAATTTGATTGTATTCTGGATATGATGAGCAGACAATACTGATTTGTACTGTCCATTATGCTAGCTACTAGCCACGTGGAGCTATTTACATTTCAATAAAATACAATTTAAAACTCAGTTCCTCAGTTATACTAGTCACAATTCAAGTGTGCAATAAATAGTTTCCATGGCTAGCTGCTGCCATGTTGGCCAGAGACCAATTTCCATCACTGCAAAAAGTTTTATTGGATGGCTCTGATCCTGATTGTCCTCACCCCCTTCGGTGTCCTTCAGATGACCTAGAATAAACCTCAAACTGCCTACTGTGGCTCAGACAGCCCCTGCCTTGCTCTCAGGACTCATTTTTGCCATTCTGACCTTACATGTGATGTGTGCCAGCCACACTGATTGAGCTTCTTCCTGACCTTCCACAAGCTGCTCCCTTCAGCAGCTAGCTGGAACACCTCCCCTGCCCCTTTTGTTGCCAGGCTAACTTCTCACCGTCAAAGTATCCCTTCCCTGGGATACTTTGGATATCCTTCCCTCCTGACCCCTTGGATAAGAAGAGGTCTCTTGCTTTGCATTCTCAGAGAAGTCTGTACTTAGACCATCAGAGCCCCACTATCAGTTGTTCACTGATTTATACCAAGTGCCTAGAACATTGCCTGGCTCATAGTAAGCTCTCCTTATTGATTTACAAATGAAAGAATGAATGAACAAATAACACTTTGTTAGAATTCCTTGTGTTGTTGATTGTCAACCATCATAGTTTGCAAATTACATGAGAACAAAAATCTTATTTACCTCATTTGCTACTTTATCTCTACTCTCTTCAGTATATATATGGTAGATGATCAAAATTATGAGGAATAAGAGTAAAATAAATGAAGGAAGGGAGGAAGAGAGGGAGGGAGAGAGGAAAGAAAGGAAGGTAAAGAGAGGAGGAAAGGAACAAAGGAAGGAAAGAATGGAGAAACGGAGGGAGGGAGGGAGGGAAGAAAGGAGGGAGGGAAGTAAGAGAGGAGAGGAGGAAAGAGGAAGGAAAGGAAGGAAGTGGAGTAGGGAAGGAAATAAAAGTAAGGAAAACAAAAGGAAGGAAGGGGTAGGGGCAGAAATGACGGATTCAAAGTCCCTGCCTTAGGAAACAGGAAAAACAATAGTAATTAAGTAACAGAATAGCTGGAGAGTTCATGGCAGCAAGCCGTCTAGCTTTGGCTATTTACAATGCTAGAACAATCATCTCCCCATCACCAATTCAAGGACGCGCTTATAAAGCTTCCTTGAATATCCCCATCCCTGTCACCTCCACTCCCCAACCCAGTGAAATGAAAAATAGAAGAAGTGCAAATTAAGCTCTTTATTACAATTAGCAGCTGAACACAGGCATCACCTGTCTTGCTGTAATGTGATATTCCATCGGAGATGTTCATAATCATAACCCAATGAGGGAGACTGTGAACCAATTCACTGCCTGTTTTTCAACAGCTTTATATGAAATGATTTTTATTACTTGCACTCGCTAGCTATCTCCAAGGAACTCAAGGCAATTTACAAACTTTTAATTCTCATGACACCCTGGCAGTGTAGGAGGTAAGAGTCTAGAATTTATAGATGAAAGGAGAAGAGCCATGCAACAGGATTAAGTGTCTTTCTCTGCTGAGACAGGAGAGACTCACCCTGTCCCCAGAGACCGCCCTTTGTAAGCTGAAGGGAGGGTATTTACAGTGATATTCCCAAAATCCATCTCAGCAGAGACATCAGGGCAAAATCTAGGCTGGAAAGAGTGAAGGTAAGTGAAATGGAAGGCAGTAGTGATAGCAGGTATGGGCTTAATCATTGGTAAAGAGGAAAGAGGCAGGAAAGCAGGAAAGATTTCTTTTATTTTATTTTATTATTATATACTTTAAGTTTTAGGGTACGTGTGCACAATGTGCAGGTTAGTTACATATGTATACATGTGCCATGCTGGTGTGCTGCACCCATTAACTCGTCATTTAGCATTAGGTATATCTCCTAATGCTATCAGAGGGCAGAATGGAACATGGCAGGGTCTGGGAGGGGCTTGTACCGGGAACACCAGGAGTGAGGATCGTCCCTTCCAAGATAGGAGGAGAAGCACAAAGGGTGCAGAGAGAGAGCAGATATTTGAAAGGAGCATTTTAGAAAAAGAACCAAAACCAGAAATCGCAACTTTAAAGATGAGGAAGCCAATAATCAGAGAAGAAATGTAACTTGCCTGAGTCACACAGTGAGCTATGATGGAGAAGAAACGAGAACCCTGAGTTCACTCTGCTACCCTACATGGAAAAAGGAAGTAGTGTTGCTTGGAGGGCCTCCATTTTTCCCCAATAAAATAGGGTGAAGAAAGATTGGGAGCTCAAGAGAGGCAAAAGAAGAGTAGATTTTCCTTCTAAGAATGACACTGGATAATTGGATTTGACATTAGATACTGGGTTTGTCCAGCCACGTTGGTATCCAGCTGAGATGTATACTATATGAATTTTTAGTATAGGTGAATCAGCAGGTATCCCTCACTTTATGGCATAGATATCGCATCTCCGTGTCTTAACACCATACTGATTTCTCATGTACTTCACTGCGCAGTGCAGGTAAACAGGAGATTCTGCTCCATCCAGTCACCCAGGAACCAGAATCCTTGCATCAAAAGCTGTGGTGCCCAATGTGGCAGCCATACCCACGTAGGGCAGTTTAAATGAATTAAAATTAAATAAAGTAAAAAATGCAGTTTTTCAGTCACATTCGCTCCATTTCCAGCGCTCAGTGAGCACATGATTATCATAGTGGATAGCAGAGGCATGGAAAGTTGCATCACCGTGGAAAGTTCTGTTGGGCAGTGCTGCCCTCTGCCAGATCTCTGGCATGCAGCCAGCAGGAAATAAGAGAAAAGGCCTGGATGATGATGTAGGAGGTTTTGTGGGTCAGGTCTGGAGGTGCCACACATCCCTTTTGCCTACGCTCCACAGCCAGAGTTTGGTCACATGTTCATACCCCGTAAGGGAGGCAGGGAAATATAGTTGAGCTGTGTGCCCAGGAAGAAAAGGAAATGGGTTTAGTGAGCATTTGCCAGTTTCTGCCACAGTATATTCTAGCAAATTCCTAAAATAAAAACCTAATTTCCCAACTGAGTTCTGGAACAAAATCAGATTGATGATCCTAAAAGGAGAGTCTCTCCCCACAGACCGTTTTAAATTTTAAATGAGGAAGAGTTAAGATGGTGGTCAGGCTCCTGCTCAGTCAGAGTTTTCTAAAGGCATTTGCCACACACATACTTTCTTAGTTCTAAGCACTCCCAACTGCTCCGTTTACTACTTCTGCTTCCTTTCTGCCCCCGCTTGCCTCATCATCATACCTGTGTAGAGATAAATGAATCAGCATTCACCAGGGAATCTTAGCTCCCTTCTAATTTTTCTGTGCACCTACCACATCCAAAGGATGTATTTGACCTTGAATGAGTTCAATTAAACAACCTTCACTGGACTGTGCTATATGCATGAGCTACATGCAAGTGGGGCTGTGGGGAATAAAGAAGTGAAAGACACTATAACTCAAGGAAAGTTGGAAGTAAGTATAACAATTGGGCTGAGATAAATGCCTGAAAAGAGATACCAATGGGGAAGTTCAAAGGAATGAGAGATGCGGCCCCGGGGGGAAAGCAGAGAAAGATCCCATTAAGGAGAACACATTACAATATGGACTGTGAACACGGCCTGATTTGAACAGGCTGGAATGTGGGGAGGAGGTCCCCAGAAGAGGAGGCAGCTGTCCTGGCCTTGTCTTAAGACAAGATGGCTGGCTGTGTACTCAGAGCCAGTCTCTGGAGAGGAGTCACTTCTCCAGCTTCATCCCACCACCTAAGCCTCCGCCCCTTCTGCATGAGTCCCACTTTACAACACAGGAACCACCATTCCCTGCATCTGACTAGCAAGATAAGACCAGATCAGCTGGAGCAGAGCACCTGAGCAATGGGCTGAGCTAAAGGTTGGGTCAAGCCATGCCCTTAAAGGAAACATTGATTATGAAGCACACGGGAAGCTTTAAAGGACCACACACATTTGAGAGAAGATTGTTATTGCTATTTGCTAAGGTATTTGTACAGAGCAGAGTGGAAAATAAGGTGGTTGGTCAAGGAGTAATATTAGGCCATCCCTAACTCACTTCCAACTCTAAAATTTCAAGGCCCAAATGATTTGGTCATCAACAAGATTCCTAGACACACTGGGTTTTATCAAATCCTGCTCTTCCTACCTTAAATTCTTCCTCTCCACTGCCATTAACCTAGCCCAAGTCACTGGATGCACCTGAACTACTCAAAGAACATCTTAGCTGATTCTGGCTTCCACTCCTCCCCACTCCACAAGCACTTGTTCGCTTGCAGCCAGAGTGACCTTTCTAAAAACCCATTGATAACTTTCTATTGTCCTGAAAATAAAATCTAAACTCACCACAGCCTACCAGCCAAACCCAGTCTCACACTACCTTCCTCTCCCTTACCAACTCTAGCCACACTGCCCTCCTGAACTGTTCTGAGAACAGTTTGGGTCTTTCTCATCTCAAGGCCTCTGCAATCACTGTTCCTCAGCCTGGAACACTTTTCCCCTCATCTTCATATGGCTGGCTCAGCTCAAAGGGCACCATTTTGGATGACCTCTAATTGCCCTATTCCAAATAGCCCCTTCGCTATTTACTGTTCCAGCCTAGGGGCTGTCCCCAGGCTTCTCTTCCCTTGCTCCATGCTTTCTGGCCAGAGATCTCATCTACTCTCCTGCCTTCTGCTCTCACCTCCATGCTCATGTGCACATTTTCGTGGTAGCATTCACCTCTCTGCAGCTGTAGTTCCACATTCTCAACTAGCTCCTGGGTTTTCTCAGCTATATGTTCCCAACTATATGTTCCCTACATAGATTTGGGAAAATAGAATTCACAATCTTTTACAAACCAGCTCCTATTCCTTTCTTATTTCTGCTGATCCGACCACCACACTTCTAGTTTCATAAGCTTACAACCTCACAGTTATATGTAATTAATTCCTTGTATAGAATTAATAACTAACTATTCTATAGTATTGTACAGCATATAAAGGGCTTTCATGTATCATCTCACTAATCACTGAAGTTTTCATTACTATGTTAACAGCTTTATTGGAGTAGAATTGAGTACAATATGAAACATTACCAAAATCAAGATAACGAACATAGCCATTTTCCCAAAAAACTTCTTTGTATGTATCCCTTGGCAATCTTCCCCTTACCCCTCCCCACTTCCTCATCTTCTCCACGCAATCATTGATATGCTTTCTGTCACTATATATTAATGTGAATTTCCTAGAATTTTATGTAAGTGGAATCATATATTACATACTCATTTTTGCCTGGCTTCTTTCAGTCAGCATACTTATTTTGAGATCCATCCCATGTTGTAGCTCATATCAATAGTTCATCCCTTTTTATTGCCACATAGTATTCCATTGTGTTGATATATGGGTTTGTTTATCCATGCATCTGTTAATGGATATTTCAGTTGTTTCATTTTTTGCTATTATAAATACTTCTATGAACTCTTGTGTACAGGTCTTTATATGGACATTTTTTTTTTTTTTGAGATGGAGTCTCACTCTTGGTGCCCAGGCTGGAGTGCAAGTGGCACAATCTCAGCTCACTGCAACCTCCACCTCCTGGGTTCAAGCGATTCTCCTGCCTCAGCCTCCCGAGTAGCTGGGATTACAGATGCCCATCACCATGTCTAGCTAATTTTTGTATTTTTAGTAGAGATGGGGTTTCATCATGTTGGCCAGGCTGGTCTCAAACTCCCGACCTCGTGATCCACCCGCCTTGGCCTCTCAAAGTGCTGCTGGGACAGGCATGGGCCACCGTGCCCAGCCTATATGGACATATACTTTCATTACCCTTGGGTAAATTATTTTGGGTAAAATGGTTATATCATTTTGTAGGTATATGTTTAATTTTTTTTTAAACTGCTAAACTGTTTTCCAACATAATTCTATCATTTTATATTCCCATTATTAGTGTTTCAGAGTTCCATTTCTTCCACATCCTCACTAACACTTCATACCATCAGTATTTTTAATTTTAGCTTTCCTAATAGACATGTAGTGGTGCCTTGTTAAGGTTTTAATTTACATTTCTTAACAACCAACAATAGTGAGTGTACTTTAATGTGCTTATTTGCCACTTGTTTGAATTCAGTTTGCTGAAATTTTGTTTCAGCAAACAAACTATTTTTGCAACTATGTCCATGGGGGATGTTGATTTGCAGTTTTCTTTTCTTATTATATCTTTTGTCTGGTTTTGCTATCGGACTTTTCTGTTTTCTATGTAATTGATTTTAGCTTTGATCTTTATTATTTTCTTGAACTTACTTTGGGTTTACTTTGCTCTTCTTTCTTTTATTTCTTAAGATGGAAGCTGAAGTCACCACTTTGAGATGTTTCTTCTTTTCCAAAATAAGCATTTAGTACTATAAAGTTTGTGTCTTTATTATTTGCAGTATGTTTCTTGTAGGCAGGATGTAGTTGGGTCTTGTTTTATCCAATCTGACAATGCCTCTTTCAAGTGCGGTATTTATTGATAAGTTTTTTCCTCTTTTTCTGCCTTCTTTTGGATAAACTGAATATTTTGTATTGTTCTATTTTATTTCCATTATTGGCTTATTACCTACAACTCTTTGCTATTTTAATGGTTGATTTAGGCTTTATAATATATATATCAAATACATATTATATTTAAATATATATTAAATATATTTACCTTATGATATATATAAATATATATATATATATATCTTATGACAGTCTACCTTCCCACTACTTTAAAGATGTTGCCACTGACTTCCCATTTGCATTGTTTCCAAAAGAAATCTGCTGTCATCCTTACCTCTGTTCCTCTATCCATTATGTGGCTTTTTCTCTGGCGGCTTTTAAGATTTTCTCTTTATCATGTGCTATGATCTAAATGTTCCTGTCCCCCTCAAATTCATATGTTGACACCTAATCATGAATCTGATATTAGAAGGTGAGGCCTTTAGGAGGTGATTATATCATAAGGGTAGAGACCTTATGATTGGGATTAGCCCTCTTATAAAAGAGATCCCAGAGAGCTAGCTAGCCCTTTCCATCAAGTGAGGACACACTGAAAAGGGCACTGTCTATAAGCCAGAAAGTGAGACCTCACCAGACACCAAATATGCCTTGATCTCACGTTTACCAGCCTACCAAATTGCAATAAATAAATGTTGTTTATAAGCTACCCAGTTTGTGGTATCTTATTAAGGCAGTTCAAACCGACTAAAACATAGTGGTTTTGATTTGATATGCCTTGATTATGCAATTTGATTATAATGTGCCTTGGTATAGTTTTCTTCATGTTTCTTTTGCTTGTGGTTTGTAAGCTTCTTGAATTTGTAGATTTATAGTTTTCATTAAATTTGGAAATTTTCAGCCATTGTTTCTTCAAATATTTTTTCTCTCCTTTCTGTCTCTTCCTTTGTGGATTCCAGTTGCATATATACCAGGCTGCCCAAAGTTGTTCCACAGCTTACTAATGCTCTGTTCTTTTTTTAAACACTTTTCCTTTGTCTTACTTTGCATATTTTTATTGCTATGGACTTGGCCTCTGTTTATTTCCCATGTCTCTACTTAACTTTTTGAACGTATTTAATACAGTTATAATAATGATTTTAATGTCCTTGTCTACTAATTCTTACATTTACCTCAATTCTGATTGACTTATGTCCTCATTATGGGTGTATTTTCCTGCTTCTTTGCATGCCTGGTAATTTTTAACTAGATGGTAGACATTGTGAATTTTACTTTATTGGATGCTGGAAATTGTTTCCCCATAAATATTTGTGAGCCTTGTTCTGAGATCTAATTACTTGGAAACACTTCAGTCCTTTTGTGTCTTGTTTTTAAATTTTGTTTTGCAGAATCAGAGTGATGTTTGCTCTAGACATAGTTTTTCCCCACTACTGAAGAAGACTTTTCTGTGTACTCTACCAACTGTCCTTGAATCTTGAGGTTTCCAGTCAGCCTACTGAGAATAGGCACTATTTATGTCTCTGTGTGAATTCTGGGCACTGTTACCTCTAATCCTATCCAGCAGTTATTTCCCCAGCCTTGGGTAGTTTCCTCACATACATGCACTTATAAGTACTCAGCTGAATACTTAAAAGGAATCCTTTCCAAATCTCCAGAGTTCTCTCTGTGTACAAGTCTCTCCTGTCTGTCACTTTGTCCTGTAAACTCTAATCTCTTTGGTCTCCCTGGGCTCTCAGCTTTGTCTCCTCAATTCAGGGAGTCTGCTGGAATCTACCTGGGTTCCTATTCCCTGAAATGCAGCCTGGAATCTCTCTCAAGACAGTAAAGTAAGGCAATCATGGAGTTCACCTCATGTGCTTGCCATTGCTCAAAGATTACTGTCCTTTTTTGCCTGATGTTCAAGATCTTGCAAACTCTTATCTCATATACCATGTGTGATTTTTGGTTATTTCAGGTGGGAAGTTCAATATGGTCCTTTTTGCTCCATCTTGGCCAGAAGCCAGATCTCTGTTATTATTATTACACCTATATCACAAATAAGAAAATTGAAGGAAGGATCAGCCCAAGCTTCCAAATTGTAAGTGGTCTCAAATCCCACAACAAGTCTAGTGCTAAGTTCTATCAATTACTCCCTTTTTACCCATTTCTATTACCATCACTATAGTTAAAATCTTAATGGCCATCTGAATTACCAAAATAATTTCCGATTAACTAAATGATGAAGGACAAAACTATGTGCATTTTATTTATGTCTATATGTTGCTAGCAGCTCCTGCACATTGTTAGGCTTCAATAAATCCAAAGAGAATGGATAGTGTGTTATTAAGAGTATGGAATGCTGGAGCCAGACTGCCTGAGTACAAATACTAGCTCATTGTATTTGTTTATTGGCTATATGATCTTGGGCAAGTCATTTAACCTCATTATGCATTCATTTTTTACTGTAGCACAGGAATTATTATAGTGTCAATATCAGAAGTTATTGTGAAGATTAAATGATTTAACCTAGGTGAAGTGCATAGAACAGTACCTGATACACAGTAAACATTATTTAAGTGTTAGCTAATATTATGGGCTTGAATTGAACTGGTCTCCTTGCTTTCAATTTCTCCTCCCTTTAATTTATCCTCCAGAAGATAATTATTTTAGAAGATGCTTCCTGAATTTTAAGTTTTATCCTATTTCATCCCTGCTGTAAAACCCCTGATGGCTCCCCACATAACCTCCAAAGTGATCCTACTCTCTAACCCCAGCATTCATCTCTAAACACATCTCTCTACCACCACAAATACCATATGAACTCTTTGCTACAATAATATCAATTCATTTGCCAGACCCCAAACAGGTCTTTATTCTTATTCTGGCCTTTGCTCACACAATCACCTCCACTTAGAATTCCAGAATTCTAGCATCTCCCCTTCCACCCAACTCTACCCCTGATCAAATTCCTATCCATGTTTAGAAGTCCAACTAAAACTCCACCTCTCTTATAAAGTCTATTCTGATTACTCAAAAAATATTTAATCTCTATGTCCTCTCAACTCCTTTGGTAACAACTGTCCATGATTTTCATGTAACCCCTTTTTACGTTCTTTATAAGTGCTTGTTGTCATAGACCTAGGCACCTAGAAGGCACTCAGTAAACATCTACTCAATGAACAAATACATGAATTTGACTCATAAAACTAGCGGGGGCATTCAAGGTAAGGGACCATACAGTAAACTCTTTCCTTAACCAGTTCTTCTTCCTGGGAGAAGCTAAGCTCCTCATCATGCAAATGGTAGGAGGAGCTGAGCTGAAAACAGCCACATTATCCCTGACAGCCTCAGGGGTACAGAAGTAGCAAAGGCCACAAAACTCCAGTGCCAGTTTCCAGACTCTTTAATGGGTCTAATTAACTCACCTTCACTGAGTCGAATGTGACAAAGAGAAGCAGAAAATCCCATCAAATATAGACTCAGCCACCATCCTCCCCTGGAAATAGAAAACTAGGAGACAGCAGCTTAGGATACAGAGGAAGAGTGACATGATGTCAAAAAACTAAAACCAGTTCCCATCCCCGCCAACCCTGCAGCAAGACAGACAGTGGGAGCCACCCCTCACCCTCTCCTGCCCCAAGCTGTGAGGGGCCTTCCAAAAATGGGAAACAGGGAACAAAGGAAAATGTAACACAAGCTGCCTCCCAGCATGAGGTCCTCTATGCCTCTATCTCTTAGAGACTCAGGGAGGAAAAGAAAATTAAGACATAAAAATGTGTCCTGGCATATTCTGCACTGCTATACTGGTTCAGGAAACATGCAATAGGCCAATGCAATCGTAGAAGGAAAAGCGGCTCTTCCAGCTCTCCTTCCTTCTTTCTTGCCTCTGCGCCAGAAAGGCAAACAGCTTACCTTCCTGGGTGGGTAATTCTGGTCAGAGTTTATTTGAAGGCAAACAACAACAAAAAAGGAGGAATCCACATAGATGGTATGATTTGTGGAAGGTTTGTCCTAAAATATCTCCAAACCCCATGCCCACTCTCGTTCCCAGCCACCTTAGGTTTCTACCATGAATTCTTCCTACAGCTCAAGCCCTATCCTGGCTCCATTCACTTAAAAAATATTTATTGAGTGCCTTATGTGTGTCAAACTCTTGCACTAGAGATCAAATAATGAGAAAATGCATGCATAGTTTCTGCCCTAATGGAGATTACAGTCTACAGGGAGAAACAGACATTAAATAACTTTTATTTATATGTTATAAATAACAATATGTAATAATTATCTAGTAAGTTATAAATAATTTAACAGATTGAATGAATAATGTACATAGATAAATTTGTAATCATATAATGTGGTAAGTTCTAAGCAGGGCAAGTACAGCATGCTGTTAGAACACGCAACCAGAAAACTCAGCCTCATCAAGGGAATCAGGAAAGGTCTCCCAGAGAAGACTGGAAGGATGAGTAGAAGTAAATCCCTCACGGAGGAGGGGAAGGGGGGCTCCATTGCTTGCCATTGCTTACCAGCTAGGAAATCCACAGCATGATGCCTGACTTACCTGTGTCTCTGTTTCCTCATCTGTAGAATGGGGACTATAATAGTACTACCTGCTTCACAGAGCTGTTGTGAATATTAAAATAAGCTAACCAACACATTCGATGGAAAATTGTTTAGAATAGTTCCTAGAATAGACGAAGTAAGCACCAAACAAAAGTTTGCTTTTGTTATCATGGTTGTCCCTGATCCTCCAGGAACCAGCTCAAGTTTCTCCTCTTAGCAGACTCTATCAGATATCCCCAGAGGTCTTGGCTCAAACCTTGCAGCTGGGGGTTAGATTTCAACATATGAATCTGTTGGGGGGACATAAACATCAGTCCATTGCACATCCCCAGTACCTGCATGATAAGCATAATGTGCACATTCTATAAATATTTCTTGAAAAAATTAACAAATTCCCATCAAGTTGTTTCCCACAGGTGTTATTTGTCTAATGCATCACTAAGCACCTCATGGTCTCCCCAACTTCAGTGTCTAGAAATCTTCTTCAGAGCAACTATTTTTCTTTCACCTTCTAAAAATGTGACACCTGTGACTAATTGTGTTCTCTTCTTATTCTAGCTGCAAAGAAGTTCAGAGCCAAAACTGAAGCCCACTTCATAACTGAGAAGACATTTATGGCATATAGTGTACCCACTTTTTGATTCATCTTAACTATGTTGTATTATTTTGTTTTCACCCTACTAATCCTAATCCTTTTGTATCTTTTATATTTATTATTTGATATATGTAGAAATACAAAAATTATACGTATGGCTCAGATGTGTAAAAAAAGGTTTTACCTTTTTTAAAGCCAAATTTAGTTTTATTATTGAGCCCTAAATCTCTCTAGGCAGTAAGAGAAGGGGCGTTTAAACATGCTGTTTAAAGTTGCTTAAGACCCTGCTGACTTAAAACAGTTTTTCAGCCATGCTCAGTTGCTCACACTTGTAATACCAGCATTTTGGGAGGCTGAGGTAGGAGGATCACTTGAGCTCAGGCGTTCAAGACCAGCCTGGGCAACATAGCAAGACCCCATCTCTAAAAAGCAAAATTTTTTTAATTAGCCAGGCATGATGGTACATACCTACAGTCCCAGCTGTTCAGGAGGCTGAGATGGGAGGATCACCTGAGCCCAGGAATCCACGGCTGCAGTTAGGCATGATCGTATCACTGCACTCCAGCCTGGGAGACAGAACAATAACCTGTCTCAAAAAAAATTTTTTTTTTCTTTTGGGATATCTCAGCTTTTTAAGAGAAAAAAAACTGAATCAATTCAAAGTTGAATTTCCTCCAAAAAAAAAAACATAAAATAATGCCAAGTACTGTCTTGGACAACAGTGCAACAAAAATAGAAATCAGTATTAAGGACATCTCTCAAAACCATACAATTACATGGAAATTAAACAACCTGCTCATCAATGACCATTGGGTAAAGAAATAAATTAAGGCAGAAATAAAAAAATTATTTGAAACTAATGAAAACAAAGATCAAACATACCAGACTTTCTGGGACACATCTAAAGCAGTGTTAAGAAGAAAGTTCATAGTGCTAAATGCCTACATCAAGAAATTAGAAAGATCTCAAATTAACAACCTAACATCATACCTAGATGAACTAGAAAAGCAAGAGCAAACCAACCCCAAAGACAGCAGAAGAAAATAAATAACAAAATCAGAGCTGAACTGAATGAAATTGAGATGCAAAAATCTATACAAATGATAAACAAAACCAAAAGTTTGTTTTGTAAAAGAATAAACAATGTTTATAGACTGCTAGCTACATTAATAAAGAAAAAAAGAGGACTTCTGGGTCCCAGACAAGAGCATTTTCTCCTCCTCTGTGTCTGCCTCTAAAATCTACCTTGGGCCAGGCACGGTGGTCCATGCCTGTAATCCCAGCACTTTGGGAGGCCAAGGCGGGCGGATCACAAGGTCAGGAGATCGAGACCACGGTGAAACCCCGTCTCTACTAAAAATACAAAAAGTTAGCCGGGCGTAGTGGCAGGCGCCTGTAGTCCCAGCTACTTGGGAGGCTGAGGCAGGAGAATGGCGTGAACCCGGGAGGCGGAGCTTGCAGTGAGCCGAGATTGCGCCACTGCACTCCAGCCTGGGCGACAGAGCGAGTCTCCGTCTCAAAAAAAAAAAAAAAAAAGAAAGAAAAGAAAAAGAGAGAACATCCAAATAAACACAATCAGAAATGACAAAGGTGACTTACCATCAACCCCACAGCAATACAAAAAACCCATCAGAGACTATTGTGAATAATTCTACTTATAAAAACTAGAAAACCTAAAAGAAATGGGTGAATTCCTGGAAACATACAACCTTCCAAGATTGAACCAGGAAGAAATTGAAGTCCTGAACAGACCATAATGAGTTCCAAGATTAAATCAGTAATAAAAACCTACCAACCAGAAAAACCCCTGGACCAGATAGATTCACAGCCAAATTCTACCACAAATACAATGAAGGAGCTGGTACCAATCCTACTGAAGTTATTCCAAAAAACTGAGAAGAAACTCCTCCCTAACTGATTCTATGAGGCCAGCATCATTCTGATACCAAAATCTGTCAGAGAAACAATGAAAAAAGAAAACTTCAGGCCAATATCCCTGATGAACATAGGCACAAAAATCCTCAACAAAATGCTGCCAAACTGAATCCAGCAGCACATCAAAAAGATAATTCACCATGATCAAGTAGGATTTATTCCTGGGATTCAAGGTTGGTTCAACATATGCAAATCAATAAACGTGATTCATTACATAAACAGAACTAAAAACAAAACCCACATGATCATCTCAATAGACACAGAGATGGCTTTTGATAATATTCAATATCCCTTCATGTTAAAAAAAAAATATATATATATATATATATTCAACATCCCTTCATGAGCTAGTAGCTCAACAAACTAGGTATCAAAGGAACATACTTCAAAATAATGAGAGCCCCCATGACAAACCAGCATCTTACTGAATGAGCAAAAGCTGGACGCATTCCCCATGAGAATTGGAACAAGATAACGATGCCCACTCTTGCCACTCCTACTCAATTTAGTACTGGAAATCCTAGCCATAGCAATCGGGCAAGAGAAAGAAATAAAAGGCATCCAAATAGGAAGAGAGGAAGTCAAACTATCTCTCTTTGCAGACGATATGATTCTATACCTAGAAAACCCCCTAGTCTCTGCCTAAAAGGTCCTAAAACTGATAAACAATTTCAGTAAAGTTTCAGGATATGAAATCAATGTACAAAAATCAGTATTATTTCTATACACCAATAACATCCAAGCTGAGAGCCAAATCAAGAATGTAATCCCACTCACAATAGCCACAAAAAGAACAAAATATCTAGTAATACAGCTAACCAGGGAGGTGAAAGTTCACTACAATGAGAACTACACAACACTGCTGAAAGAAATCAGAGACAACATAAACAAATGGAAAAAATATTTTATGCTCATGTACAGGAAGAATCAATATCATTATAATGGCCATACTGCTCAAAGCAATTTACATATTCAGTGCTATTCCTACCGAACTACCAATGTCATTTTTCACAGAATTATAAGAAACTATTCTAAAATTCATATGGAACCAAAAAGAAGCCCAAATACCCAAAGTAATCCCAAGCAAAAAGAACAAAGGCATCACATTACCTGAGGTATCACGTTACCCAACTTCAAACTATACTACAAGGCTACAGTAACCAAAACAGCATGGTACTGGTACAAAAACAGATACATAGACTAATGGAACAGGTTAACGAACCCAGAAATAAAGTCACATGCCTACAACCATCTGATTTTCCACAAAGTTGACAATAACAAGCAATGGGGAAGGACTCCCTATTCAATAAGTGGTGCTGGGATAAATGGCTAGCCATATGCAGAAGATTGAATCTAGATCCCTTCCTTTCACTACATAGAAAAATCAACTCAAAATAAATTAAAGACTTAAATGTAAAACCTAAAACTATAAAAACCCTAATAGAAAACCTAGGAAATACCATTCTGAACATAGGCCTTGGCAAAGATTTCATAATGAAGTCTCCAAAAGCAATTGCAACAAAAACAAAAATAGATAAGTAGGACCTAATTAAACTAAAGAGCTTCTGGCCAGATGCAGTGGTTCATGCCTGTAATCCCAGCACTTTGGGAGGCCAAGGCAGGATTGCTTGAGCTCAGGAGTTTGAGAACAGCCTAGGAAACATAGTGAGACCTTGTCTCTACTAAGAATAAAAATAAATAAATAAATAGTCAGCTGGGTGTAGTGGCACATGCCTGTAGTCCCAGCTGTTCCATAGGCTGAGGTGGGAGGATTTCTTGATGCTGGAAGATGGAGGCTGCAGTGACCTATGATCACACTATTGCACTCCAGCTTGGGCAATGGCAAAAAATAAAAATAAACTAAATTTAAAAATAAAATAAAGAGCTTCTGCACAGCAAAAGAAGACATCAATAAACAGACAACCTACAAAATGAGAAAATATTCATGAACTATGCATTCAGCAAAGATCTAATATTCAGAATCTATAAGGAATTTAAACAAATCAATAGCTGAAAAACAACCCCATTTAAAAATGGGCAAAGGACATGAACAGACACTGCTCAAAAGAAGACATACGTGCAGCCAACAAGCATATGAAAAAATGCTCAACATCACTAGTCATTAGAGAAATGCAAATCAAAACCACAATGAGATACCATCTCACACCAATCAGAATGGTTATTATTAAAAAGTCAAAAAATAACATGTTGTCGAGGCTGTGGAGAAAAGGGAATACTTATATGCTGATGGTAGAAATGTAAATTAGCTCAGCCACAGTGGAAAGCAATTTGGAAATTTCTCAAAGAACTTAGAGCAGAATTATTTGACACAGCAATCCCACTACTGGGCATATACCCAAAGGAAGATAAATCATTCTACCAAAAAAAATGCACCCATATGTTTATCACAGTGTTAGTCACCATAGTGAAGACATGGAATCAACCTGGATGCCCACCAATGACGGACTAGATAAAGAAAATATGGTATGTATACACCATGGAATACTACACAGCCATAAAAAAACACGAAATCATGTCCTTTTCAGCAACATAGATGCAGCTGTAGTCCATTATCCTAAGCTAATTAATGTAGGAACAGAAAACCAAATACCACATGTTCTCACTTATAAGCGGGAGCCAAACATTGAGTACACAGGGGCATAAAGAGGGGAACAACAAATACCAGGGCCTACTTGACGAAGGAGGGTGGGAGGAGGGTAAGGCTTGAATCAGGTACCATGCTCACTACCTGGGCATGAAGAAATCATTTGTACACCAAACCCCAGTGACATAAAATTTACCATGTAACAAACCTCCACATGTACTCTCTGAACCTAAAATAAAAGTTGAAAGAAAAAAAAAAAAAAACTATGAAACAATACAAGTGTGAATAGTTAGAGTATCCTGGAACATGAGATGATTTTCTGAAACAAAGAGGAAGGCAACACTAACACAGTGTCCAAGTTGGAATGCAGCTTTTCAGGGTTCATTGTATTTTAATTTTGTTTTTTTTTAACCACACCCCTGAATGTCCTAGTCTTTCAATTTTGCAAACTGATTGACATCAATTAATAATTTTGAAAAATTAAAATTCTCAACTGTGAAAAAAAATAAACAAAGTTGAGTACACATGGACACAAAGAAGGGAAGAGCAGACACCAGGGCCTACTTGAGAGTGGAGCGTGGGAGGAGGGTGAGGACTGAAAAACTACCTGTTTGGTTCTGTGCTTATTTACTTGGATGACAAAATAATCTGTACCTCAAACCCCCATGACACACAATTTGCCTATATGACAAACCTGAACATGTACCCTTGAGCCTAAAATAAAAGATTTTTTTAAAAAGACAAAGTCGAATTTCCTACCAAGGGTGTTTCTCCCCTCTTCTCCTACTAATCAAATGGTGTTTGAGTTTCAGGAGGCCCATAGGGCATCTTGACGGCATACAGAAGGGACTCATTGGTCTTCCTGTGTCTCCAGGGCAGTGTGGTTAGTCTGGCCTGGCCCTGAGCAGCTGGAGCCCCTTGGTTCTTTGGTGTGTCATGCTTCAGGCTGGCACCAGCTGCTAAAAAAATGTCTCCTGGTATGCGGTCCCCACCTTTGAGGCCTATGTATTAAAACTACAGGATGGCTTTCATTCTACAAATTCACTCGAGAGAAAGCTCTGTGATGTTGCCTTTTGAGCTTCACAAGTCCCTTAGTTAATGTCTAGAAAATTAGCTTCCCTCGCAGGGGACTCTGACAGCCAGAGCAAGGCTCGTGACACCACAGACATTCGTTTTCTCCTGTGGCCAAGTCAGACCAAGAAACAGAGCCCGAAGATGCGGCCATTAAAAAGACTTGGTAGCAAGCCAGGTAATTTCTCCAGTTTCCAATCTCCACACTGAATTTTGTACAAAGCAAGGCTTCAATTAGTGGAAATTTCCAAGCTAGAAATACCTTGGAGCCAACTAGCTTTGAAATGTTGACACACAACTATTCACTGGTGTACTTGCAGTCCTGCATCATGAAGTGACGAATGTCCTGACCTGAACTAGTGGAGTCGCTTAGACAAAAGAGTCTACTCTCTTCCACAGCATGCGCTTCAACCCTCTGGACTGTGCTTCTTCTAGCATAGCCATCCTCCTGATAGAACATCATTCATACAAATCCTAGCAGTAATTTTAAAAGAATCTACCGTGGGCCCAGTGCTTTGCATATATCATCTTTACCTACTGAAGAATATGTAGGGAGAGTATTCTGAGATCCATTCTAGGAAAGTGGAACTGAGTAATCTGACTCCAAAACCCATGCTCATTTACCCTGCTGCCTCCAAGATACTTCATTTGTCTCCTTTCTTGGAAAGTTAGAAACAAATTCAGTATAAATAAACACCAAACAAAATCTTTTTGTGGAGTGCGAGGGGCTTTGTTTATACAACTTTTTCAAAATCAGTTCCATGGCCACTCATACTGAAGCCGCTCATGTTAACTATGGGCACAGCACTGCCCCCTCCTCCCTGGTCCTGCCCCCCAACCCCATCTCCTTTTCTCCATCCTCACAGACAGAAGAGGGAAAATGTCAGATGGAAATTTTGAAAAGCAGTTGTTACTACAGCTCCATAGGGATGTCTGAATTATTTGTTACACAACTCAACCTTCTCTCACATAAATTGATATTCTTATTTCAAGCTAATTGCGATTTTCAGCTTTGATCATTTCTAATTCAATTGTCTTTAATAACTTTTTAGAAATCTTTTCAACAATAAGATTTGTACATAGGTTCTCTGCGAAAATAGTTTTCATTTGTCACCCTGTTATAAATACCTTCTTTCTGGGTATTCTGGTAGATTTGCGATGTATTTTTTTTTTTTTTAGACAGAGTCTCTTTCTCTGTCTAAATGACACATTTTCTTTTTATTTTATTTTTTTTAGACAGAGTCTCTCTTTGTCACCCAGGCTGGAGTGCAGTGGCATGATCTCGGCTCACCGCAACCTCAGCCTCCCAGGCTCAAGCGATTTTCATGCCTTAGCTCACCAATAGCTGGGATTACAGGTGTGCACCACCACACCCAGCTTATTTTTGTATTTTTAGTAGAGATAGGGTTTCACCATGTTGGCCAGGCTGGTCTCGAACTCCTGGCCTCAAGTGATCTGCCTGCCTTGGCCTCCCAAAGTGCTGGGATTACAGGGGCAAGCTACCATGCCTGGCCAATTTTCTTTTTGTCAACTACTTCACAAGACAATCTATCAAAAGCATTGTTAAAGTTATTCTGAAGACTATATGAGAAATAAAGCATTATTTTCAAAGAAACCAAAGTAAATTATAAATAAATTGGCATATTTCTATGACTCTGGAATAGAATTATATTCATTGCATTTGAAAATGATTAAAATATAAAAGCTACTTTACCATATCTTACCCATCTCTTATGAAACATTTTTAAGTAGTCAACTAGTTACTCTCTGCTATTTTAATATCTAATTAAAGTTATAATTAGAAGTTATTCATTAGTAATAATTTGTTATATTTGATTAATCATATATTATATAATTATATTATAGTTATATATTATATATTATAGTATTATAATATTATAGTTATATAAATATAAATAATTGATTATTAATTCAAATCAAGTTCGTCTGGAAAGTTTCAAGCTTTATTTTTATTAATTTCTTCTACAACTCCAATGTCTATACCCCTTTGAGATGACAAGCTAGAGATCCCTAAATGTTTTGCAAGGTTATAGTGCACAGCAGAAATAAATATCCAGGAGGTCCTGGGAAAAGCTGAGAAAAAAATTCCTGGAACCCAAACAGGAAAAAAAAAAATTAGTTTGAAAGGAGAGATGAGACGGTGACAATTCAACTCAAAAAAGAGCTTCTTAAACAGCACTTTGGGTGAGGCACCAGGCCAAAGATCTTTGACAAATTCTAAATTTTGCTAAGAACCTGCCTTGATCCTGATGAGCGACAGGGCACCCAAATCAGAAGGCGCAACCACAACACTCTTTTGCGTGGCAACCTCCAGGGATGGGAGAGGTAGGAGACGCAGAGGTGTCCCAGGAAGCCAGGTGTCCAGGGCCCGCTCTGGGCCCACCCATCGGTAGCTCCCAAAGTAGCTAATAGGACACGTTAGGCAGGGAAGGCCTCCTTCACCACAGACACAGAATCACAAAATGGAAAGAGGAACAAGTTTTAAGGGATGCAAAACTCCATGCCATTGCCCCTTTACTTATGAAATGGAAATAAAAGTACCCCTAGATGGCTGCTTATGAGAATTATAGATCATACAGGTTAAGTGCCAAGCACCACAGGGGTCTTCAAAGGATGATAGCTACCACTATTATCAGTATTAATCTATCACTCTTCAGTTACCCAATATAAAGGCATATATGCTTCCTCTTCATTTTTGTGAGGCAGGTCTCAGGTTCAGAGAAGTGAAGCAAGTTGTCTGGGGTCACACAGCAAAGAGGTAGCAGGATCAGGGCTCACACTGCTAATCCTTGCAATTGCAGTCGGCCACGTAGCCCACTAAAGTGCCAGGATGCTCTCCCCTCCTACAGCAGCCCTTATGAAGCCTTGGCTCAAATGTTATCCCTGCAACTGTGGCCTCACCTTGGTAGGCTGCTGTTTTACTTCTCAAGTTGCAAAAAAAGAGGGATAAATGAGAAAAGCAGAGGAAAGTGGCAAGATTACAACAGGACCCCTCAAAGTGCCTCAGGTCAAATCAGTTAATAAGATGTACTTATT